>NW_011332701.1:717518-1076278 GCF_000001405.40 Homo sapiens
TTCTGGTGGTTGCCACTCGCCTGAGGATGTGAGTCTTGGCTGGCCGGGCTCCTGGGGACAGAGGGCCCAAGGGGTGGTGGAGGGTAATTGTTAAGATTGTGGAAGAACTGCCAGGTACTGGCTAAGAATTCTGGGTTTGAATCCTACCCCTCCATCTGCTAGGGATATGATTTAGCGCAAATTGCTTGAGCTCTTTGGGCCTCTCTTTTCACATCCGTAAAATACGAGTGGTATTGTTTTCCTTACATTTGTGAAGTTTAAATGAGATTTGTCATTGTGTTTTTATGTTAATCCCTCGTCCAGGACCTGCTGTAAACTCTCCTTCTTGGGCTTGCGTTTCCTGAGGTAGAGTTAGAGAGTATCAGAGGTTTCTGTTAGCTCTGAGAGCCCGAGAGTTAAAGGCCCACTAGAATGGAAACCTCAGGGCCAAGGGCTCCTGTCTGCCTTTTCTGACCTCTATTCCCGCTGTGAAGAACCGTCCCTGGCCCGTATGTGCTCAACGTTTGCTGAGTGAATGCACCTTTCTAAATCACAAGCTGGCGGAAGGGTGGGCTTTTCTCGCACTCCACCTCTGAAGGTTTCTGTTACTGTCTTTTCAAGAGAATCTAGTTTCAGACTTTGAGTTCTGTGGCTGTGGGCAAAAACCAAAAAGACCCAAATCCCTCTTCTTTGGGAGTTGAGGAGAGTTGACCAGTTCATGTTCCCATTGGGTCTGAGAACTGTGCCTTTTAAATCCATTCCTGGCCCCTGCCTATCGCTTCCTGGCCTGGGGAATAGAGTCAAGGGGGCCACCCTCAGTCACCTTCCTTTGACTCTCCCCACAGAAACAATAGAACCGAGCTCAGCTGGAAGAAGTCGTGTGATTTCTTTGCTCACGACATGACCGCTGGGTTTGGGGGCACTCAGATGTAGAGGCCCCAGGCTCATCTCACCCACTCCCAGCCTGGGGAAGAGGGCTCACCCCCAAGATTCCACCCCATCCCCACAGGGTCCCTGATAAACTGGTCCCATGGGTGGGCCTGTTCTGGGGCAGTGGTGCCATTCTGGGGGCATGTCTCTTGCTGTGGATCTCTGCCTCCCCCTAGTAAGAGCTCTGTTTTCCTCTTTCTATAGGAACAGAAGGCAAGCCACCAACATCAGGAAGCCCTAAGGAGGGAGCTAGAGGTGAGTGGAGGGTGTGAAGTTCCCTCCTGCCCTCTGGAGAATGTTTCTTTGCTTCTCTTTCAGCATTTGCTTGTCTTTTCTCCCAAAGGCCCAGGTTCATACCATACGAATCCTTACATGTCAGAAAACTGAGCTTCAGATGGCACTCTACTACAGCCAGCATGCTGTCAAGCAGTTGGAAGGTGGGAATCTGGCACCCCATCATCCTTCAACCTGGCACTTTGACAGGCCTTTAGGGGGAGTCCTTTGGGCCACATCTGAATGTCTCTCATTCCAGGAGAGGCCAGGGATCTGATCAGCCGCCTGCATGATTCATGGAAGTTTGCAGGAGAGTTAGAGCAGGCTCTCTCTGCTGTCGCTACACAGAAGAAGAAGGCGGATAGGGTGAGTCCAAACACGGCCCCGTCCCTTGGGAGCCCAGCTTCGCAGATGGAGGAGTGAGCCTAAAGGTCCCTTCTGTAGGATGGAGTGTCCTGCCCAGAAGGCAGCATAGCCATTTCTTGCTGCTTTTGTGTGTGGTTGTTAGAGGCAGACTGGGGCTGAGTCGGCTGTTGTGGGTGAGTTGGGGAGCACTGTGAGGAGCGAGCACTGGACATAGATCTCAGAGGCCAAGTGCCCGCCCTGCCCATACTTGGCTGTGGCCTTGGCCAAGTCCTAAGTGGCGGTTAGGGTACTTGTACCATAAAGGTACAGAAGAGTATCTTGAGTATGTTATTATTTGTGTGGAGAGAGGGGGCAGGTGTATATGTGTGTGTGTGTACGTATTATGGTAACATACATAAAACACGTTTGTAAGGATTCATTAAAAAACTCAGGATAGAGGCACAGTGTTGGGGGGAGATATTTCCCTTCTGGACTTTCTGAGTTTTGGACTATGCGAACGTATCATCCTTTCAAAAATTCAACAAAGGATTAATTTCCTCCTTCTTAACTGTGCCCCTACCTCCAGCGGAAGAATGGGCTTAGAGAATCAGATATACCTGGGTGTTGAAATCCCAGCTCCAAGTGATCTTAGGCAGCACTTAACCTTTAATACTGCATGTTTTTCATCTACACAATAGAGGTAATAATGGTAACCGTCTCCTATGGAGGTTGTGAGGATTAAATGGGATTGTTAGCATAGTGCCTGGTGAAGCACCCAATAAAGGCTCCAACAGTGGTAGTAATAACAGTAATAACAATAACAATATTATCTGATCGCTCTGGGCCCCTGTTAGCCAGCCCTAAATTCAATCTCTTTCCCTGTCCCTTCCACATCCACTGAGTTCTTTGAAAAACAAATGAGGGCCAGGTGCTCTCGCTCACGCCTGTAATGCCAGCACTTTGGGAGGCTGAGGTGGGCGGATCACCTGCGGTCAGGAGTTCAAGACTAGACTGACCAACACGAAGAAACCCCGTCTCTACTAAAAATACAAAATTAGCCCGGTGTGGTGGCACATGCCTGTAATCCCAACTACTCGGGAAGCTGAGGCAGGAGAATTGCTTGAACCCAGGAGGTGTAGGTTGTGGTGAGCTGAGATTGTGCCATTGCACTCCAGTGAGGGCAACAAGAATGAAACTCTGCCAAAAAAAAAAAAAGAAAGAAAGAAAGAAAAACAAATGAGACCATGGGCTTGGAAATGCCTTGAGAACACGTCAGGTGTGATTGAGAGTGAGGAAGTGTTACTGTGGAGTAGTCACTGTAGCAGTTGTTCCTGGTCGTCCAGCTACTGCTGTGCCTGCTCTATCCTGACTTAACCTTTCTCTATTTGCAGTACATTGAGGAGTTAACAAAGGAGAGGGACGCCCTGAGTCTGGAACTGTACAGGAACACGTAGGATGGGGGAAGGTGGAATGGGAGGTCTGGGGGCCCTTAGCATGGGTGGTGTGCTGGGAGGTGGGGGGTCCAGGTGAGTGTGGGGAGAGGCTCATACATGTTTTCATGTGTGCACACGGAAACTCTAGTGCTGGCTGTGCCACTGACTCATGGGGTAGCCTCAGGCAACTCATGTCTTCTCTCTGGCCTGCCACCTGGGACTTTTAATTCCTGGGGTCCCTTCCAGCGCCACGGTTCTGTGGTTGTGGGGCGAGGGTAGGGGGTCAATCACCAAAGTGGTCTTTTATGTTCTTCATTCATTCCTTTCTCTACTGCCTCTGGCCATAGCATAACTGATGAGGAGCTGAAGGAGAAAAATGCCAAACTACAAGAAAAACTTCAACTTGTAGAATCTGAAAAGTCTGAGATCCAGCTCAACGTAAAGGAGCTAAAAAGGAAACTGGAGAGGGCCAAGCTCCTGCTGCCACAGGTGAGCAGCTGCAGCCCCGGGGGTTGTGGGAGACCCATCCAGCTGGGACCATGGTCTAGGGATCATGCAGGGTATGGGGAGGCTCCAGCCAAGAGCTGGAAAATTTGGGTCCTTGTTCTGGCCCCGCCATAGAATCCTCTAGAGTGTACTAAAAATGTACAAATTGGGGCCCTGCCTGGGGAATCAGAATCTCAAGAGTTAGGGCTTAAAAATATTTTTTTAAAGGATCATGGATGAAAACCATTATTTTATAGATTACATTTATTTATTTATTTATTTATTTATTTATTTATTTATTTGAGAAGTAGTCTCACTCTGTCACCCAGGCCAGAGTGCAGTGGCGCAATCTCGGCTCACTGCAAGCTCCACCCCCCGGCTTCACGCCATTCTCCTGCCTCAGCCTCCCAAGTAGCTGGGACTACAGGTGCCCACCACCACACCCAGCTAATTTTTTGTATTTTTAGTAGAGACGGGGTTTCACTGTGTTAACCAGGATGGTCTCGATCTCCTGACCTCGTGATCCGCCCACCTCGGCCTCCCAAAGTGCTGGGATTACAGGCGTGAGCCACCGCGCCCAGCCTATAGATTACATTTATGTGGCTAGCTCATGATTCTGCTTCCTTCTGAGGTTCAAAAAAACACTTTCACTATTCCAGCAGCAGCTGCAGGCGGAGGCTGACCACCTGGGTAAGGAGCTGCAGAGTGTGTCAGCAAAGCTCCAAGCCCAGGTGGAAGAGAACGAGTTGTGGAACCGCCTGAACCAGCAACAGGAGGAGAAGATGTGGAGGCAGGAGGAGAAGATACAGGAGCGGGAGGAGAAGATACAGGAGCAGGAGGAGAAGATACGGGAGCAGGAGGAGAAGATGCGGAGGCAGGAGGAGATGATGTGGGAGAAGGAGGAGAAGATGCGGAGGCAGGAGGAGATGATGTGGGAGAAGGAGGAGAAGATACGGGAGCTGGAAGAGAAGATGCACGAGCAGGAGAAGATACGGGAGCAGGAAGAGAAGAGGCAGGAGGAGGAGAAGATACGCGAGCAGGAGAAGAGGCAGGAGCAGGAGGCGAAGATGTGGAGGCAGGAGGAGAAGATACGGGAGCAGGAAGAGAAGATACGGGAGCAGGAGAAAAAGATGTGGAGGCAGGAGGAGAAGATTCACGAGCAGGAGAAGATACGGGAGGAGGAGAAGAGGCAGGAGCAGGAGGAGATGTGGAGGCAGGAGGAGAAGATAAGGGAGCAGGAGGAGATATGGAGGCAAAAGGAGAAGATGCACGAGCAGGAGGAGAAGATACGGAAGCAGGAGGAGAAGGTGTGGAGGCAGGAGGAGAAGATGCACGACCAGGAGGAGAAGATACGGGAGCAGGAGGAGAAGGTGTGGAGGCAGGAGGAGAAGATACGGGAGCAGGAGGAGAAGATGTGGAGGCAGCAGGAGAAGATACGGGAGCAGGAGGAGATGTGGAGGGAGGAAGAGAAGATGCATGAGCAGGAGAAGATATGGGAGGAGGAGAAGAGGCAGGAGCAGGAGGATAAGATGTGGAGGCAGGAGGAGAAGATACGGGAGCAGGAGGAGAAGGTGTGGAGGCAGGAGGAGAAGATACGGGAGCAGGAGGAAAAGAGGCAGGAGCAGGAGGAGAAGATGTGGAAGCAGGAGGAGAAGATAAGGGAGCAGGAGGAGAAGATACGGGAGCAGGAGAAGATACGGGAGCAGGAGGAGAAGATACGAGAGCAGGAGGAGATGATGCAGGAACAGGAAGAGAAGATGGGGGAGCAGGAAGAGAAGATGCAAGAACAGGAGAAGATGCGGAGGCAGGAGGAGAAGATAAGGGAGCAGGAGGAGAAGATACGGGAGCAGAAGGAGAAGATACGGGAGCAGGAGGAGAAGATATGGGAGCAGGAGGAGAAGATACGAGAGCAGGAGGAGATGATGCAGGAACAGGAAGAGAAGATGGGGGAGCAGGAGGAGAAGATGTGGGAGCAGGAAGAGGAGATGCAAGAACAGGAGGAGAAGATGCGGAGGCAGGAGGAGAAGATAAGGGAGCAGGAGAAGAAGATACGGGAGCAGGAGGAGAAGATACGAGAGCAGGAGGAGATGATGCAGGAACAGGAAGAGAAGATGGGGGAGCAGGAGGGGAAGATGTGTGAGCAGGAAGCGAAGATGCAAGAACAGGAGGAGAAGATGCGGAGGCAGGAGGAGAAGATAAGGGAGCAGGAGAAGAAGATACGGGAGCAGGAGGAGAAGATACGAGAGCAGGAGGAGATGATGCAGGAACAGGAAGAGAAGATGTGGGAGCAGGAGGAGAAGATGTGTGAGCAGGAAGAGAAGATGCAAGAACAGGAGGAGAAGATGCGGAGGCAGGAGGAGAAGATGCGGGAGCAGGAAGTGAGGCTGCGGCAGCAGGAGGAGAAGATGCAGGAACACTAGGTGAGGCTGCAGGAGCTGGAGGAGAGGCTGGGGAAGCTGGGGCAGAAGGCCGAGCTCTTGGGGGGAGCAGGCGGAGGTGTGTGCAAACCCTGGAGATCATACAGAACGACCTCACCACAACTTAGCAGATGGTGGTTGGCTCCCTCTGCTTTTCCACCAGTCTGTGGCCTACAGTTTAAATGGTGGGAAGAAGGGTGTGAGATTTGAGGCTGGGGAGGGAGGCATGGGCCTCTAGGCAAGGGAGGCAGTCATTTAGGCCTGGAGGAAGGGGCCAGGGCCAGGGGCCTGGGTAGGCGACAGAGCCCCGCAGTGCCCTCACTACCCTGTTTATGGGCCCAGAATCTGGAAGCCAGCCACTACCTACCCTGACGCCTATCCTGCAGGTGGAGCTGAAGAGCCAAGAGGCTGAGTCTGCAGCAGCAGCGAGACCATTACCTGGGTCACCTGCAGCAGTACGTGGCCGCCTATCAGCAGCTGGCCTCTGAGAAGGAGGCACTGCCCAGCTGCAGCAGCAGGAAGCTCAGGGCGAAGCGGTGGCCGAGATGGCCCACCGATAGTTGCAGGAGACCCGGTTGAGGGAGTTGATGAGGGCGGGGCCCCAAGGGGGATGATCTGGCAACCTCCGTGCCTTCTCACTCTCTTTCCTGGCCCCTTAGGAGCACCTGGAAGCTGCCATCTAATGAGCACATGACAAGAAGGCAAAGACAATAAACATGTAAAAGCCGGCAGCAAGGCCTGGAGAAGAGTAAGCCGCCATGTGACTGTTTAGAATATAGTCTGAGCACAAACCTGAAAAAAAAATTTTATTTATTTTAAATTGTGGCAAAATACTGGCCAGGCATGGTAGCTCACGCCTGTAATCCTAGCAATTTGGGAGGCCGAGGTAAATGGATGACCTGAGGTCAAGAGTTCAAGACCAGCCTGGCCAATACAAAAATTAGCCGGGCATGGTGGCGCATGCCTGTAATCCCAGCTACTTGGGAGGCTGAGGCAGGAGAATCGCTTGAACCTGGGAGGCAGAGGTTGCAGTGAGCTGAGATCGTGCCACTGCACTCAAGCCTGGGTGACAGAGCGAAACTCCGTCTCAAAAAAAAAAGTTTCTTCCTTACATGTATGTTTCTATTAGTTTTCTTCTTGGTCTTTCTCATTTAGTCTTGTGTTGTCTTTTGGCATTCATAGTAAACTTTTATCTGCCTCCAGAGAGTATTGACTTTGAGTTTATGGCACACAATTGGAGTAAGGGCAGATCGCCTTCATCTACTTCGGGACTAAGCTGGTTCAAAGCAGGTTTTAGGTTTTCTGATGGCTGGTCTATGTTTTATTCATTTGGACTCCCAGGGGTGGCCCTTCCAGGGTCCCCACCAAGGTCCCATCTCCCTCCTGGGACCCAAATTCTCATTAGGTCATTTCAGCCCTGTGAGAGTGCCAAACATTCAGCTAGGCTCTCCAGCCTCTTAACTACCACTTCATACTCAGTTTCTTAGCCTCTTAGCCCTCTACTGTTGACCAATCACCAAATGTGGGAAAGCACTACAGACTGTCAGGATCACCTCCTAGGCCTGGTCACTCAAGTCCTGACTGAGGTCTCCAATTACCTTCCAACAATTGTTTTTGATTGGGGGCGGGGCACATTTTTATCCAGTTTTTCTAACTGCTCTTGCGGGGAGGCGAATCTGTAACAAGCTCCTCTGCCTTTATTGAAAGTTGAAAACCTTCATCTGTCCTTTTTTTGTTGTTGTTGAGATGGAGTCTTGCGCTGTTGCCCAGGCTCTAGTGCAATGGCACGATCTCTGCTCACTGTAACCTCTGCCTCCTGGGTTCAAGCAATTCTCCTGCCTCAGCTTCCCGAGTAGCGTGTGCCACCATGCCTGGCTAATTTTTTTTTATACCTTTAATAGAGGCAGGATTTCACCATGTTTTCCAGGCTGGTCTCGAGCTCCTGACTCAGGTGATCTACCTGCCTCAGCCTCCCAAAGTGCTGGGATTACAAGTATGAGCCACTGCATCCGGCCCATCTGTCTTTTAAAACATGTTTTTAATTGGAGGTATAATTTCTATTAGTGAAATGCACAGGTCTGGTTTACATTTTGATGAGTTTTAACTCATTTAACATTACTATGGAACCCACCTCCTTTGAAGATACAGAGTATTTCTATCATCCAGAAAGTTCTCCTGTGCTTTCATGCTGTCCCGCACTCCCCCAGCAGCTGATGAACATGCTGAGGACATTGGTACTGGATTCTGGCCGCCCCAAAAGAGCCGCTTTGACCAGGCTTACCCAGCACTAAATCCCTGCCTGCTCTCTCAAAATTTCCATCTTTAAACTGGTTGTACCTATAACCCTCCCTCATCAAGTCAATAGATAAACAAACCCTGAAAAATAAACAACTCTTCCTGGCCCAGCAGCCCACAGCCTAATATTTACTGTATTCCCAGGCTTTCAGAAATGTAACTCGCCTGCCGGTTCACCCTCACTAGGGCGGCAGCTGCACGGGAGCAGCTGGGCTCACCCATTAAGCAAGAAGCCAATAGCTGGACAGTGACACTCAGACCCCAGGCTGGGCGAGCCTGGCTGAAAGCCCCCTTCTTTCCATCCGACTGTGGAGAAAGGGGGCGGAGCACACACAACTCTACTGCCCTCCACATCCTTCACCCGTGCTTCCTCCTGGGAGAGGGAGCCGCTCATTAATTTGGCCAAAGCCTTCTTGAGGGCTGTAGGTTTCACAGGCTGGGTGTGTGGGGGCCACCGTGCTAGAGACAGAGGCTGGTGTGTCAGAAGGTAGCCACCTGGCCAGAGGGGGGTCAACCCCCTTGGTGACCTCCTTCCCCCGGCTGGACACAGTGCCCTGCACTCTCTACATGTGACTGTTCCCCTCAGAGCTGCTTCCAGGGGAGGGGTTCTAATCCTGTGGGTGGGGACATTGTGTTACTTTACAGTGGGCCATGGCTCCCTCTGACATCTCCAACTCAGAGGCAGTAGAGAGAAGATGAGAAATTCCCTGCCCCTCCTCCCTCAGCACCCCCACCTCTGCACATGTCCACATGTGGAGACCCTGACAATGGGCCCTGGGAGTGCCGCCATCTGTGCCTGCTTTCCATGCCTGCAGCAGCCATGCCCACTCTCCAGACCCTCACCCGCCTGGGTCAGTAGACGCTTCACTGCCTGTGGTCCTGCGCCTACACCTGGGCCTCTGTACCCGTCAGTTCCCCCAGTCTGGTTCTTATTCCCTGCAAAGAGTAGGGAGCCTATAAGGTCACCTGTTGAGCAAGCTGGGGGAGAGAGTAGGGTGGGGCTGGGAGGATGAGGAGGAGAAGCTCATGGTCGTGCTGGAGACTCAGCTGAGCAGAGTCTATGCAGGCCCATTGGCTGCCTAGCCAGTGGTGATCTCGCTCCCACCCTCATTTCTTCTTTGTTAACAAAACCATGACCTCATTAAATACTGGACACCTATAAACCTCATGGACCCTCCTCCAGCCTCCCCACCGTGTACCGGTGAGTCTAAGTCAACTCTAGTCATTTCATTCCTCTGGACATTGACTGCTTAGGGCTTGGGCATGAGCTTCCTCTTCACCTGAGCCTGAGCCACAGGTACCCTCTGCACCTACCACGCTGATGCACTGGGCCAGGGAGAGCGCCGTCTGGATGGAGATGAGCTGTGAGGAGCTGGTGGCTGGGCGGATCAGGTTGTTGTAACAGGTTTTGTTCAGAAGGTCGTCCATCAGCTTCTGCTCGGCATGGGCCATGCGGCAGTCCCCTGGGTAAACACACAGACATGCTGGGCCCTTGTGCAGCTGTCTCCCACTGCAGCTGACAGCTATGAAGCAGGAGCTGAGAGGGCCAGGGAGCACAGACACCCTGAGAGCTGGCTGAAGCAGTGAAGGTGCTGGCCGGCCTGGCTTTCCCTGGGGACTTCAAATGACATTCACGACAGAGCTCAGCTACCTCCTCCCCATGCCATACCTCTTCCTCCTCCTCCTCCCTCCGTCAATGAACAGCATCCCACGCTCTACACATCTGATACAAAACTGGGTGTCTCTTCCTGACTCCTCCCTTGGTTCACCCAAGTGGCCACCAAGTCCTGTCTGTCCTCCCATCTCCACGGCTACAGCCATGTCCCTGCCTCCCCCGCCCTGCCCACCTTCTATTCTCTCCACCCACACTCTGCCCGTGCCATCCATGTGCCATACAGTGGCAGACTGGTCTTTCTACAGCAAACTGGACTTGGGCCCTTCCCTACCCACAGCTCTCAGAGCTGGAGGTGGAGTTGAAGCTCATGTTTTGGCTTGGCATTCAGAGCTCTTTCCCCCTCAGCACTGGCTTATCCAGAGTGCTCACAGTGCAGGGCAGGAGCCTCGTGACTCAAATGTGGGTTTGGTGCAGAACTGGGTCTGAGGTGGTGCTTTCCCTGTGAAGAGACAGGGCCGACATGGGGGAATTTTCTGGGTTCAAAGTTAGACCTACAGAGTGCAAAGTTTCTCTGAGGCACCAAATGGAGGGGTCCAGCTAGCAGCTGGCTCCTGGTCTGGAGCTTCAAGGAGAGGTCTCAGCTCAGAGCCACATTCAATAGCCAGCTTACATGTGGCCTCCTGCAGGGAGCCCCTGGAGCTTCCACAGCCTCCGTTCTGCCCCTCTGCATACCCCAGATCTCCTGCTAAGTGGCGTTTGGGTCTTCATGTCATCTCCCTCCCATGTCTGGGAGTAAAGGTGAGGTGCAGGGACTTGCGCTTGTGTACTCTGGTGTCTTAAGGGAGAGTGTGTCAAGTAGAGTGGAGGCGGCTTGGAAAGAGGGAGACTCAGAGGAGAGTGAAGGACACATGACCAGGCGAGCCTGGGAGCAGGAAAAGAGAGTGAGCAGAGGCAACTGCTGGGTCAGGGGAGCGGATGGGAGGATCAGGGAATGCGGGGGGGCTGGAGAGGTAGGGGTGGGGATGTTGGCGAGGGGCTGCCTGGCTCGCCAGGCTCAGGAGTCAGTTACATCCTCCCACAAGGGCCAGCTCACCTGGTCGCCCCAAAGACCTCCCTCTGTGGGTGGGACCAGAGGGCCAAGAGCACGGATAACCCAATTGAGCAGGACTGAGGCGGACTCAGGTGGGTGCTGGGCCGGACTCCTGGCTGTGGGGAGCAGCCGCCACCCTGCCTATTGCATCCACTTTCCAACTCGCTGCCTATCTGAGCAGATGCGATATTGGGCACCTTGTGAAACATGCTCCTGGTGCACCTGCTGCCTGCTGCCCCTCCTGCAGAGTGCCCGGGCTCTCCAGAGGGGATTCCTATGGAGGCTTGGCCTAGATTCTGAGTCCTGCCTCTCATACCTGGGGCTGCTACCCCAGAGGCCAGCTGCTTGAGTACCCCGGAAGCCAGTCTGTAGCCCCAGGCTACAGCTGGGTCCATCCCACAGCCCTTCTCTAATGTACCTATTTGGACTGGCTGCTCATTTCATAGAGAGGGGTGTGTCTTGCCCCAGACCATCTGGCATGTCTAAGGCAGCTGTGGGGTCAGAATCTGCAGCTCCCAGCCCTCAGCCCAGCAATAGTAGGAAAGGCTGGACCCCACATCTCTGAAGTCCCACTGGGTGGGTGTGAGCGGGCTCCCGAGTACAGGGCTGCTCTGCAGGCTGTGGGGCTCATGCGCCAGCTCTGAGCCCACCTGATGTGCTCACGTTGCTCACCTTTGGGCCTGTCCTGCCTCTCAGGCATTCGGCTGACCCTGAGGGCCTCTCCCTCATCTTGACCACCAGCTACGGGCTCTGATTTAGAGGTTCCCAGAACCTTAGACCATTTGGCCGGCCCCCCATTTCTCACCTGAGGAAACTGAGACCAGAGAGGGATAGCAACTTTCTCAAGGACCCCCAGCAATTCAGAGGCAGAACCAGGTCTAGGAGCCTCTTCTCGATAGAGGTTCCCCCTGTCCCCTGAGCCTTCGTTAGTGCCTCATTAACTTCCCTGTAAGGAAACTGCCCCGCTGAGGCTGGAAATGGTGCTGTCCAGAGTGGTGTGTGCCAGTGACTGTGCTTGTGTTTGTACTTGTGAGTGTGTATGGGGGTGGGGATGAGGGGTGGGAATAAACGGCAGGGATGCTGGGGGCTGGATGCACTCCACCTCACCCCAAAAAGGGGCACAGCAGAGCCCAGCCAAGCACAGCACATGCTTCGACTTTCCAATCTGCTGAATGCCTGTGAGGCCGGCTGGGCCCAGAAGACAAGGGACAGGCCTTTCCCCATAGATGGCAGGGGGGACCCAGGATGGGTGGAAGCTTCTGCCGCAGCTTTGGGGGTCACAACCCAGCCCATGGGCTGACACTTAAGCAGAAAAGCCACCTCTAGGGGTCAGTCATAATCTAGTGATTCTGATGAGGAGGGCCCCACCAACCTCTGTCCAGGGTCTTGTCTGGGAAAAACTGCTCCCTGGCAGAAAGAGGCTAATAATTTGAGAGGAAGCCATAGCTGAAACCCTAAGCTGTGTGAGTGTGTGTCCAGTTTGAGAAAGCATATCCGACTTAAACATTTGTATTGAAAAAATGGAAACATATTCCCCTTGTTTTGGAATACAAACTGCAGAAAGCAGCAGTTAACAGAATCTTATCGGAAAGGTCAGACTCTGCATCTGGAAAGGCACAGTGATTTTCAACTGCAGTGTGTGTCCTTAACTGAGGAAGGGAAGGTGAGATTTATGTTTAGTAAAAGGCAGCTATGAATTTACCTTTTATAAAGAGCTTGCTATATACTATTAGTGCTTTTCAGTCATGTCAGAATCAGCCAGATGCCTGTGGAAATGCAAATTCCCAGGCTTCATTCCCAGAGATTCTGGTCCTGTGAGCCTAGGGTGGGGCCCAGAAATCTCTATGGGGTGGTGCAGCCTGCCCCAGGACCACACCAAGAAACACTGCAACTGGCCCACACACATCCCAGTCCACAAATATGTAGGCAGGCATCTTATCTCCACAGAACAGATAGGGAAACTGAGGTCAGAGTGGGGAAAGAAACGTCATGGGGCCACCCAGCAAGTAGTAGCAGAGCCACGATACACCCACTGCCTGCAGACACCATCTCTGATGACAGCTCCACCTCCCCACAGGAATCTTGCCTACCCCCACCCCTACCTCCTGCTGCCCCTATGGTGGGTCTCTGTCCAAGGAAGATGTATCCTAGGTCCTCTAGGCTGACTGCGGCTCAGAGGAAACCTTGGCCCAGAGTGTAGGAGCTAGAGGGGTCCTTGGAATTCACGTGGGGAATTTGAGGCCCAAAGAAGGCAGCCCTCACATTTGAACTCTGTCTGGAGAAGGGCTAGGTCTTCTTCCTGAGTGGTAGTTTTGACTTCACCAGCCTGGCCCTCAGTCAAGCTGGCTGTCCAGGCCCGCCACACCTCGGGGTGGGTGACCAGAGGCGGTGGTGCCATAAAAACACGTTTCCTGGGAGATCCACCCCCAAAGCTCCAAACATTCCAGGGCTGGTGATTTGGGGAAGCCCCCTTCCCTCTCAGCCCAGTTTCCCCATCTCTGCAACAGCCGTGCTGGTGGAGACTTCTGATACTGAGCTGCAGATTTTCTCCTGGGTGCCTACACAGCCCAGGTTGCCGGCTCCTCTGTGCCCACTCTTCAAGAAAGTCAGCTCTTAGGTAAGGAAGGTGCCTTGGCCCTATCAGGAGCAGGAGCCGGTGCACCCCCAGCTTCCCAGACCAGTGGGGATGACCCAGGCTGCCTACAAAGCTGCTGCCCAGCCCGGAGACACCCGCCTGGGAGGGTGGCCCTGGCCCTTGCAGCGGCTCTGAGAAGAGTCGGCCCCCACTCCAAAACTGGCAGAGCCACCCATGCCTTCCCTCAGCCCAAAGAGGCTTTTAGGAAAATGAATCGTCTCAAGTTCAAACCCATGGGGTTGCTGAAAGACAAGACAGTGCAGGGTGAGCTGGTGCGAGGGAGCGCTGCTCGGTGCAGACTTTGCAGGGAGGGCACTTAGGAAAAAGGACTGGAGTCTGGGAGGGTTAACTAGCTTAGGGTTAAAGGGAGGGGATGGAGCTGGAGTGAGCTGGCCTCGTCCTCCCCCTTGGGCCTTCCAGCCTGAGCTCAGGTGATTCAAGGGAGCAAGCACCTCCCTCTCCCAGCCAGGGAGTTCTCGCCACATTCTGCAATCAGTACCATTCCCCTGGGGGCTGGGTGACAGCCCCCACCTCTGGACCTGGCTGGAACTGCTGTCTCAATTCTAGATCCAAAAGAATCTCTGGCAGCTTCTCCATCTCCCTCTCAGTCCAGCCTCACCTCTTCGCCCGTGGAGGAGCTCCAACAGCAAATCTGGCAACTGGAGGAACAAGGCAGGAAGGGCAGGGTCTGAGGAAGGAACCACCTTCAAAAGGCAGCTCTGCCACCTTCTCTCCAGGACTCTCAGGCTTGCTTTCCTATTGCTCCCTCGACATCCTTTTGCTATAATCTGCCATGTTGACGTATAGTCTTTAAAAGCAACAATGCTGTTGACGTGGAGCAGACTTCCCATTTGGGATGGTTTGGAGAAGTTAGGTTTGAGGGCATCCTCTCTTCTGCAAACTGCAGCAGTAATAGATGAGATATACAAAGTAAATAAAGGCTGGGTGCGGTGGTCGTGCCTGTAATCCCAGCACTCTGGGAGGCTGAGGCAGGAGGATCACTTGAAGCCAGGAGTTCGAGACCAGCCTGGCCAATATGGCGACACCCTGTCTCTACTAAAAATGTAAAAATTAGCTGGGCATAGTGGTGCACACCTGTAGTCCCAGCTACTCAGGAGGCTGAGGCAGGAGAATCACTTGAACCCGGGAGGCAGAGGCTGCAGTGAAATGAGATCCCGCCACTGCATTCCAGCCTGGGCGACAGAGTGAGACTCCATCTCAAAAAATAAAAATAAAAAATAAAGTAAATAAAAAAGACATGCCCAGGCTGAAAAATAAGTTAATTATCTCCATGAACGAAAAGCAGACAAGAAATGCAAAGTGGTTGGAGGCTGAAGAGCCTGGACCCTCCTGGGCTTTGGGAACCAAAGATGGTGGCAAGTCCTTTGGGATAAAGAGGGACAAAATGACTCCTAGCTAGAAGCTGGGAGCTTGGGTGTACCCCAGTACTTGAAAGGATGCTAGCTGGGCGCGGTGGCTAATGCCTGTAATACCAGCACTTTGGGAGGCCGAGGGAAAGTAACTCTTATGTCAGTGTGAAGCAAATCAGACAGGACAGGGGAACATGGAGGGGAGGAGAGCCAAACCAGGGCCTGGTTCCAGACCCACCACACCTGCCCCGTTGAGCCAGGAGCACAGGTGGCTCTCTGCACAACATCAAGAGCGAGGACATGCTTTCAGCTCCACTTTAACTCAGGTTCCTAATGTGACAGCAGGCTTGTCAATCCCACTTGCCCCCGTGTCTCACACCAGAAAACTACCAGCAGCATGAGTAAGGACAGAAGCAGGAGACAGAGGAGCCAGGGTTGGGGAATCCCATAGCAACCCACAGGCCCTCATCACACACGGCAAGGATGCGCCTTCACTGGGCTCACCACCACCAGACATCACCTTCACTACATGATACCCTGCCTGGATAACACCACTGTAACACAAGAAACAGGTCTAGAATCTAGCATGTATGCTACACCTGAAGGAGCAAGAGACGGTAATACAATACAATGAAATTTTTAGTTTATTTAATATAAAATTTAGAGCCATAATCAAAATGTGTAATTCTGATGGGATTCACTACTTATAAAAACTTTGCAGCGCTCTATTTTCAAATGTAAATGGTATTCTGTGGCTCCTCGCCAGCAAGTAAATAACGATCTACTCTGAAATACGTTTCACGGCTTATTTTTGGCAAGCAGCGATTTCTCCAACTCACGTTTTCCAAGGGAAAAAAGGACGTGAAATGTCTCCAAAAGTCTCTTACGATCTTTAGATAAACTACTGTTCAACAACTGCATCTGCCAAGTCAACACATCAAGAATCCTTCACTCACAAACACTTAAGGTGAGAAAACAGTGTCTACCCATGCGGGAGAGGGACACATGATCCATGCTTATGAAGACAGCCTGGATATCGGCTACTGGAAAGCTGCGAATGCATTTTTCTTTTTCTACTTTCCAAAATTTTTGTGAGGTGATACTTATTTCTATGTTTGTGTCTATTCTTTCTATTTTGTATTTTTTAGTAGGTACATCCTTACTATAAATCTGCTGTAGAACCAATGTCCCATACAGGACCCCACGTGCCACAGGAACCAAAAAGTCACACGCAGCGAAGACGAAGACACAGGAGACAACCTGTGTGGACAGCACAGAGCCACCTGCCCAGGACACCAATGGAGCCACAGGTGCAATTCAGAATGTTCTTAGTCGTATTAATAAACATGGCCAGGTGCGGTGGCTCACGCCGGTAATCCCAACACTTTGGGAGGCTGAGGTGGGCAGATTACCTGAGTTTGGGAGTTCAAGACCGTCCTGGCCAACATGGTGAAACCCCATCTCTACTAAAAATACAAAAATCAGCCAGGTATGGTGGCATGCTTCTGTTAGTCCCAGCCACTCAGGAGGTTGAGGCAGGAGAATCATTTGAACCCAGGAGGCAGAGGCTGCAGTGAGCTGAGATCGTGCTACTGCACTCCAGTCCAGGCAACAGAGTGAGGATCCATCTCCGGGTGGGGAAAAAAAATTGTTCTTAGTCACATTAACAAAAGTAAAAAAAAAAAACAAAAAACACCAACAAGAAAAACAACAACACATAAAATTAATTGTAATAATGGCTGGTTGCAGTGGCTCATGCCTGTAATCCCAGCACTCTGGGAAGCCAAAGCGGGCAGATTACTTGAGGTCAGGAGTTCGAGACCAGCCTGGCCAACATGGTGAAACTCTGTCTCTACAAAAATACAAAAATCAGCCAGGCGTGGTGGTAGTCCCAGCTGCTCGGGAGTCTGTAGTCCTGTAGTCCCAGCTGCTCAGGAGGCTGAGGCAGGAGAATCACTTGAACCCAAGAGGCGGAGGTTGCAGTGAGCCAAGATTGCACCACTGCACTCCGGTCTGGTCAACAGAGTAAGATTCCATCTTAAAAAATAAAAATAATTTTAATAATGTATCATAGTTATTCCAACAGATCAAAAATATGACCATTTCAACATGAAATCAATCTAAGAAAAATTATTGAGATATTTTACATAGGTTATTTCATATTAAGTCCTCAAAAACCATCTGAGTAGCTTACATATGTAACACATTTCAATTTGGACAGTGAAATTTGCATTGAAAACATCTGATCTCCATTTAGACTCATAAAATACACAGTTGACAAAGTAGACTCCCAAGGCCAAGTGATTCTAAACATACTTAAGTGCTTTCTAATAACAGAATCAAATTTTCAAACCTGCATTTTAATGAATAAAAATTAAACAGATAAAATATTCAGTGTCTCAGCTATGACGGACAGACTTCAAGTGCTGATCAGCAAACGGTGTTGAGTGTAGCCAGATGGGCCAGCGCAGGCTACACAGCTGCAGCTCAAACAGCACAGCTGCAGGTCAAACAGGCCAGTCTCTCTGCGCACGGGAACAGTCTGGGCAAGCAGGAGACGGGGAAAACGGGCACTGCCCTCGTGAGAACAAAGGACCCACAACAGGAACCCTGCACTCACCCCCTGCCAAAGACCAACAGCCCCACGAAGCAGCCACTTCAGAAAAGGGAGAGGCATTCAAGAACTTAGAAAAGCACCTCTGGAAAATGCTCACTTTAAAACTTTGCATGTAACTGTACATTTTAATTACAAGGTTTTTAACATCCATTTTCTCATGTATTCTTAATTAACTCTGTGAAAGTAAACACAGCTTTTATTCTTACTCCTATAGTTACTGTGTTGGAAGTCCACCTATATGAACAAACTGTTGTAACTGAAATTTTCTGAGAACAAATCCCAAGCTCTTTCCATCGACACAAACTATATTGTTTAGTTCTCTTTATTTCCATTTGTTAAAGACCAGAATGTGTGAAATATGCATTATCAGATTAGAAAAACAAAACAAACATCAGAAAAAGGTTTTGCAAAATAGCATTTACTAAAATCTATGACAGAAACTAGCTCTAAAACTTCCTGTTTCAAAATTTCACTGTGTGTGCACTAAGTTAGTTTTGCTGGCTGTGGACAGCAGGCCCACCCCATGCCGCGGGCCCACCCCACGCCGCGGGCCCACCCCACGCCGCGGGCCCACCCCACGCCACGGGCCCACCCCACGCCACAGACCCACCATGGCCCCATGAACAGGCCAGCTGAGAGCTGCAGCCACTGCCCAGGGCTCCCTGGTCTGTACTCGGCTGCCTGACCCAAGCTGCCAGGGCTCTGCTTTCTCTATGTGTAGAAACAAAAACCAGGAGCATCAGTTGACGAAAAGCAGATTTTTATTGAACAGAGGTATAAATGTGTTTCATTTTCTAATAAATCTCTTTCACAAATCACCTTGCTGTTTCGCTCTTCTTGAATGATCATTTTTACACAACACTGTCTGACTGTTTTGGCTTCTGCCAAGGTTAGCGTCTGTTCACAGGCTGAGTCTGACTTCCTCCTCCCACCTCCTCCTAGTCTGGCCTTCCAAAATAATGCTCACCATTCTATCACATTGACTTCAGTTTTGAAAAGAAAAGTTATCTTACAAAGTAGTAGGTACAACTCTGTAATGTGTAAAGTGAGGCAATGATAGAACCAGTTTTAAAAATAACCTTCCATGATGATTTTCATTCGCACCTACCTGCTTATTAGTAAGAATCTTTTTACATGTTTACTGCACGCCCCAATTTCTCTTCTGTGAAAAACTTCTGAGTATCATCACACCCTCCAACTTCTCCTCTCACCTATATTGAGAAGGGTCTGCTCTTTATCCTAACATCTATACTAGGTAATTTTCAGAATATTCCTTCAATCATCAAACAAATTTTTGAGACCCTTGCGCTAGATTTCACTATCTTAATATGAAAACCAATAATCACCTATTAAAATACAATACAGGCCGGGAACAGTGGCTAACACCTGTAATCCCAACATTTTGAGAGGCCAAGGCAGGTGGGTCACCTGACGTCAGGAATTTGAGACCAGCCTGACCAATATGGTAAAACCCCATCTCTACTAAAAATACACAAATCAGCCAGGTGTGGTTGCAGACGCCTGTAGTCCCAGCTACTCGGGAGGCTGAGGCAGGAGAATAGCTTGAACCCAGGAGGCGGGGGTTGCAGTGAGCCAAGATCGTGACACTGCACTCCAGCCTGGACGATAGAGCAAGACTCCATCTCAAAAAAAAAACAAAAAACAAAAAACACCATTAATAAGTAAATAAATAGGCCAGGCGTGGTGGCTAATGCCTGTAATCCCAACATTTTGGGAGGCCAAAGTGGATGGACCACCTGAGGTCGGGAGTTCAAGACCGGCCTGACCAACATGAAGAAACCCTGTCTCTAATAAAACTACAAAATTAGTGGGGCATGGTGGCGCATGCCTGTAATCCCAGCTGCTCGAGAGGCTGAGGCAGAGGAATTACTTGAACCTGGGAGGCGGAGGTTGCAGTGAGTCAAGATCGCACCACTGCACTCCGGCCTGGGCAACAAGAGCGAAACTCTGTCTCAAAAAAAAAAAAGTAAATAAATAAAACACAATACAATACAGCTAATATGATTTACCTAAGAAGCTGTTGTATGAGCTGAACCAGAGGCAAACACTGTTTGCCAGAAGACTCACAGATCCCCGTATTAATAAGGTCTTTATCCAATGGAGTCCTCCTTCTATGAAATGTTGAGGCATTTGCTTCCTGTTCATAAATTTCTTTTTCCTTCCGTGCTTCTTTTTTTGTATCCTGTAATTGATAAACAGAAATTGTTTACAAGTGATCTCATTACCAGGTGTGAAGGCACACAGGCTGGCTGAGCCCTGACCCCAGTGCCAAGCTATCCCAGCCTCTGTGGCTGCCACACCCATCCACCCACAGGCCCCCCACCTGCCCTGTTGGAAACCCCAACTCATTTGTGCAGTTTCAAACAGTGTCTTCTTTTTACAGATCCAAGGTCCAGGCTGCCTCTGCTGATGCTCTCCAGCCTCCTTCTGTGAAGTCCCTAAAATCCTTAACCCTGCTAATGGCTCACACAAAACCCAATGTGATCGGCTCCACACACGCAGCATCCAGCTGCTCTGTAAGGACAAGAAGGAGCTAGAATTCTCACACACAAAAGTCCTGGTTCAAATGCAAATGGCAAAGCCACTTTGGGAAACTATGAACACACACTTACCCCAGGACCTAACAAATTCCACTCCAAGTGTTTATCCAAAGGGAGAACATATGTTCACTAAAGTACTTGTTCACAGCACAATTGTGGCAGCTCTACACGGCCAAAAACCAGAAAGCCTGGGCGCGGTGGCTCACGCTTGTAATCCCAACACTTTGGGAGGCCAAGGTGGGGGGATCACTGGAGCCCAGGAGTTGAAGACCAGCCTTGCAACACAGTGAAACCTTGTCTCTACAAAAAAATCAAAAAACTAGCCGGGCATGGTGACATGTATGTGGTCCCTGCAACACAGGAGGCTGAGGTGGGAGGATCATTTGAGCCTAGGAGGACAAGGCTGCAGTGAGCCAACATCAGGTCACTGTATACAGCCTGGGTGACAGAGCAAGACCCTGTCTCAAAAAAAAAAAAAAAAAAAGAAAACAAAAACCAAAAACAATTACATGTCCTTCAATAGGAGAATGAACTAACAAACAGTACTACACCTATAAAATGGAAAACTTCCCAATAATAAAAACGAAGTCGCAATACACACAACAGTGAGTGAATCTGAAAATCATTCTCCAAGGCAAAGCAGGAAAGAGTGCATACTATACAGTTATATTGCTGCGACACTCAGAGCAGGAAAAATGAATCTAATCTCAGGGCAGGGGAGTATCCTGGCTGCAAGTGCCAAGGAGCACAGGGATCTTTCCGGGTGACGGGAATGGTCTACATGAGGAACAGGTTACCTGTTAACTTCACTGAAACAGACAACATGCAGTATTTTATCACAAATCATCTCAATAATTTTTAAAATTAGCACATAAAAGAATTTTAATTTAAAAAAATACTTGGATATAAGTTTAGTGTTTTACTGTTTTCAGTTATTCTTCACATGTGTGAGTGTGGTATTTCCGATCTCAGCCCACCACCAGGTCACGTGTGCCTCCAAGGCCATACCTGGATCTCTGCAGTAATGGCTGCGTGTAAGGCTGACTCCAACCCTCCATCAGCCATCAAGCTGCCCACCAGAAGATCAATCACCAATCGATGACCTGGACTTATGTTCACTTCATTGCCTGAAACTGAAATAGAAAGTCTGTGCCAATTTGAGTGAAACGCCATCCCCTCCCAGCACCCTGACCCATGCCCTCTCCTGTTCCTTCCCCGAGCCCACCTCCACAGGACAGGAGAGCAGAGTGCCCGGGCCTGCTTCTCAGCGGTGGGCAACAGCATGGACCAGCCGCTCTGCAGCATGGCCTGGGAGGCCGACTGCACGGTGCTCAGCACGTCTGCGCTGCTTGCCAGGGTCACCACCTTCTGCTTCAGGCTGTTCAGGAAGACGCTGCCCAGACCTAAACCAAGGAATTCCAGGTCAACCTGGTGACTAATGGCAGCATGCAACTGAAAGGAGAAAAACAATTTTCACTTAGAACCCCTAAAAATGAGTGAATTTCAAAGTCTTATTAAACACTGAATAAAAGTCAATTTGAAGTATTATTTAAATAGACAAAATAACTTCTCAGTTTACGTATTTTTAAAAACTGGACTAAAAAAACTCTTACCCACAATAGTTGAAGTATTTTCTAGAGGAATTTTTTTTAACCCCACTATGAACACATATATGGAAAAGCTCAAGATGAGCAGAAGAGCTAAACAACTAGCAACAGCAACCTCCACCCCGCCCCAACAATCTGCACCAAACACAGAAATAATGGCTACAATGTAACCACAAAAGCTGCCACAGGCGGTGGCTCATGCCTGTCATCCCAGCACTTTGGGAGGCCGACGTGGAAAGCTCACTTGAGATCAGGAGTTCAAGATCAGCCTGGCCAACATGATGAAACCCCATCTCTATAAAAAAATCAGCCGGGTGTGATGGTACACACCTGTAGTCCCAGCTACTTGGGAGGCTGAGGCAGGAGAATCACTGGAACCTGGCAGGCCAAGACTGTACCACTGCATTCCAGCCTGGGTGACAAAGTGACACCCTGTCTAAAAAAAAAAAAGAGCTGCTAAAAATTAGACTGCGGAGCTGAGAGTACACAGGGAAACTCCTCAAGTGCAAAACCAAAATTCACATGGGCACACACAGCAGGAGTCAAGAGGTTCCGGGCTCTGAAAGCAGAGCCAAGCCGCCAGGCTTCAGCACAACCTCCCACACGGGAATGCACACAAGGACCCACTGAACCCGAGCTTCCTGCAGAAGGCTGGGAGCCACTCAGGATCACCTGCCTGCCAGCCAACCGCAGCCAGGGGGCAACACACTGCCCGTCCCAGGCTCTGGGTAGCAAGAGGCCCCATGAGAAATCAGAGACCCGGCCTTGCCCTGTAAGTAGAAGTGAAATCAAAAGCACACCACTCATCTAGGTATAGATATCACAGGTCAGGAAATGACCACCGAAACTCACCTGGAGTCTGTGAAACCTACAGAACCCTCAGGACCCCGGAGAGGCAAATGCAAAACCATACGCTGGGACACCTCGACAGCCTAAGACATACGCAAGGCCACGCCCCACAGCACTGACCAGAACAGACACATCACCGCAAACCAGGAGGGGCAGCAAACACCTGGGGCGCAACCACGCAAACGCCAGGATGCCACAGGTATGGTGATAAATGAGTGCTACAGAGGACTAGAGGAGAAGCATGCTCCAGACCTCTGCTCAGTTCATTACTGCAACTAAACACTACACTCAGTTCTGTACATTCTAGAAGCAGGGCAAAAAGGGGAGGGGCTGGAAGAGGGACATGACGGGTTGTTACAAGAAACCACTGTAATAAAAGGGAAAAATTACTATGTCGAGAAAACCGTGGTTCTTGTCATTAAGTTAGAGGGTTTTATTACAAAGACAAAAGATGATGATCAAACACTTCAGCTTTAGTTTTGCTAGGGAGGAAGGCTTTTGTAGCTTTTATTGTGACCCTAACCACAGCCTTCATGGTGAGGAAAGGAAGGTATTGCTTTGGGAGCCGAGCTTACTGAGTAGATCAAGCTTGTTCAACCCACGGCCCGAGGGCAGCATGTGGCCCAGGGCAGCTTTGAATGTGGCCCAAAGTAAAATTTCTTAAAACATCATGAGATATTTTTGGGATTTTTTTTTTAAGCTCATCAGCTATCATAAGTGTATTTTATGTGTAGCCCAAGACAATTCTTCTTCCAGTGTGGCCCAGGGAAACCAAAAGACTGGACCCTCCTGGAGCAGGGTTTTCACAGGACAGAGGAGAGACAGGCCAGCACTGGTCTCTCAGCTGAGCTCTGTCTCTCTCCATCACCTGTGATCTCACCCAGTCATTTCTCCACACGCAACAACAGTAAAACAGTAAGAATACCAACAAACTAATGATTATAGCAAAAATAACACAATCCATATACACTCTTCCTGCATGCCGAGGCTGACTTCCAGGACAAACATAAAATAAACAGATCAAGTTTTTTAAGCCTTGCGTCCATTATTAGTGCATTACAATCTTACTTTAAAATACTTCCCCCAACAGGCTAAAACCTATGTCCTTCAGAATACATAAACCTTCTTACAAATCGCTAAGACACTTATAAAAGGAGCAAGAGGAAGGGAAATCACGAATACCTGAAGTCGGGGAAGATTCAGCGTTGCCACGGCCACGCACTCTTTCTCCTGGGGCGGGGGCCAGTCCGCGGAGCCATCCATCCCCTCACTCACCTGCCGAAGCAGGAGATCCAGCTGCTCAAAAGTCACTGAGCAAATATCCACCCCAAAAGGGACATGGAGGCCAATGGACCACTCAGAACACGATGACCAAGCAATGCTCTAAGAGGAAACGCAACAATCGGAAATGAATCTCCAAATGCAGCTCTTGGTCTGTCGCACAGGAGTCACCAGCTTGTGTGATGGAGCTGCCTTATATTATTACCTATCATCCCTCTAACTGCCCAGTGGAAAAGCATTCATGGGTGTCTAGCTCACACACTATCAGCTTCCAATTCTCCCACCCATTTCACTAGCCCCATCTCACTTGGCCATACCTAAAAAAGTAAAAACATTTTAAAAAATCTTTTCACTCTCAAAATGATTAATGCACATTAATGGATGGCAGTGAGGCTCTCCATCCACTTGAAGTGGTATAATAGCAACTCTAACTAGAAAATGAATTGTTAGACACATATAACACACACAATACCTTTCATAGTGAGAGAACAAGTAATCGGCAAAAATCTAGGAGAACTGTAGAACACCTTCAATAAACTGGATCTAATTTATAGAACACTTCACCCAACAACAGCAAAATACATATACTTTTTTTTTTTTTTTTTGAGACAGAGTCTCGCTCTGTCGCCCAGGCTAGAGTGCAGTGGCGGGATCTCAGCCCACTGCAAGCTGTGCCTCCTGGGTTCACGCCATTCTCCTACCTCAGCCTCCTGAGTAGCTGGGACTACAGGTGCTCACCACCACGCCTGGCTAATTATTATTATTTTTTTAATTTTTATTTTTAGTGGAGATGGGGTTTCACCATGTCAGCCAGGATGGTCTTGATCTCCTGACCTCGTGATCCACCTGCCTTGGCCTCCCAAAGTGCTGGGATTACAGGCGTGAGCCACCGTGCCCGGCCATACATACACTTTACATATACTTTTTTTAAATTTTATTTTTTTTGAGATGGAGTCTAGCTCTGTCGCCCAGGCTGGAGTGCAGTCGCACGATCTCAGTTCACTGCAAGCTCTGCTTCCCAGGCTCAAGCCAGTCTCCTGCCTCAGCCTCCCAAGTAGCTGGGACTACAGGCGCCCGCCATCATGCCCGGGTAATTTTTTTTGTATTTTTAGTAGAGACGGAGTTTCACCCTGTTAGCCAGGATGGTCTCGATCTCCTGACCTTGTGATCTGCCTGCCTTGGCCTCCCAAAGTGCTGGACCATACATATACTTTTTAAGCACATACAGACCATACATATACTTTTTACACATATATGTATACATATATGTATATACAGACCATACATATACAGACCATACATATACTTTTTAAGCACATACAGAATGTTCACTGAGAACATAACCTGACACATAAATCTTAACAAATTTAAAAGAAATGAAATCATATGCAGTTTGTTCTCCAATCACAATGGTATTAAACTAGAAATCATTAACAAAACAATCTGCAAACACTTCAAAATAAAACAACATACTTAATAATCCATGGGTCAGGCCGGGCGCACTGGCTCACGCGTGTAATCCCAACACTGTGGGAGGCCAAGTTGGGGGGATCACCTGAGGCCAGGAGTTGAAGATCAGCCTGGCCAACATGGAGAAACCCCATCTCTACTGAAAATACAAAACAATTAGCCGGGCATGGTGGCGGGTGCCCGTAGTCCCAGCTAATCAGGAGGCTGAGGCAGGAGAATCGCTTGAACCCAGGAGACAGAGGTTGCAGTGAGCCGAGATCATGTCATTGCACTCCAGCCTGGGCAACAACAGTGAAACTCCGTATTGAAGAAAAATAATAATAATAATAATCATCATCATCATCCATGGGTCAAAGAACAATTCTCAAAAGAAATTAGAAAATATTTTGAACATAAATGAAAATGCACCAAAATTTGTGGGTTTAATTAAAGCACTGCTTAGAGGAAAATTTATAGCATCAAATCATTATATATTACAGAAAAGATAGGTCTAAATCAGCAATCTAAGTTTCCACCTTAAGAAACCAGAAAAAGAGCAAAGTGAACGCAAAACAAGCCAAAGGAACAAATGCCAAGATAAAAGCAGAAACTAATGAGATTGAAAGCAAAAAAAGAAGGGAAAAATTAATGAAACTTAAAGATCATTCTTTGAAAAGATCAACAAAATTGAAAAACTCTAGGAAAACTGACAAAGAAAAAAACAGAAAAGATACAAATTATCAGTATCAGGAATGAATGAAGGGACATCACTGCAGGCCCCACAGACTTCAGACGGTTAGCAAGAGAACACTAAGGAAAACTTGACACTTAAAAATCAGACAACTTAGATGAAATAAAGCAATGTCCGAGTGCCACAAACCAGGAAAATCCTCCTAGAAACAAACAGGTTACCTGAATAGTTCTGTATCTGTTAAATAAATTGAATTTGTAAAAATTTTTTTTTTTTTTTTGAGCCGGAGTCTCACTCTGTCACCCAGGCTGGAGTGCATTGGTGCAATCTCAGCTCTCTGCAATCTCTGCCTCCCAGGTTCAAGTGATTCTCCTGCCTTAGCCTCCTGAGTAGCTGGGATTACAGGCGCACGCCACCAAGCTCGACTAATTTTTTGTATTTTTAGTAGAAACGGGGTTTCACCATGTTAGCCAGGCTGGTCTCAAACTCCTGACCTCAGGTGATCCACCTGCCTCAGCCTCCCAACGTGCTGGGATTATAGGCACGAGCCACCGTGCCCGGCGTAAAATCTTTTAGAAAGAAATCTCCAGGTTCAGATGGATTCAAAAACATTTAAAGAAGAAATAACACTAATTCTACACAATCCCTTAGAGAAAATGGAAAAGGAGGGAACACATGCCAATACTTTGTATAAGGTCAGCTTTCCCCTGACAGAAAGCCAGACAAGATAGTATAATACAAAGAAAGAAAACTGCAAACCAACATCCCTGATGAGCATCAACAGAAAAATCCTCAAAAACGTGTTAGCAAGTCAAATTTAGCAATATAGAAACAGAATAGGGCCGGGCGCAGTGGCTCACGCCTGTAATCATAGGAATATTGGGATGCCAAGGAGGGTGGATCACTTGAGGTCAGGAGTTGGAGACCAGGCTGGCCAACATGGTGAAACCCCATCTCTACTAAAAACAAACAACAAACAAACAAAATTAGCCAGGTGTGGTGGTGCACACCTGTAATCCCAGCTACTCAGGAAGCTGAGGCAGGAGAATTGCTTGAACCCAGGAGGCAGAGGTTGCAGAGAGCTGAGATTGCACTAATGCACTCCAGCCTGGGTGACAGAGTGAAATTCTGTCTCAAAAAAAAAAAAAAAAAAAAGAAAGAGAGTAGTAAATCGTGGCCAAGTGATGCCTATCCCAGTAACACAAGGCTTGGTCAGTATTTAAAAATCAGGCTGGTATAGTGTCTCACACCTGTAATCCCAGCACTTTGGGAGCTCACTGCAACCTCAAACTCTTAAGCTCAAGCAATCCTCCTGCCTCAGCCTCCTGAGTAGCTGAGACTACAGGTGCACACCAGCATGCCACGCTAATTTTTAATTTTTTTGTAGAGATGGGATCTCGCTGTGTTGCCCAAGCTGGTCTCTAACTCCTGGGCTCAAGTGACCCTCTCGCCTATGCCTCCCGAAGTGCTGGTGTGAGCTGTTGCACCCAGCCAAAATACGGCAGATTTGTAGTACCCCAGAAGGCTCCTTCCTGACCTACACTTTCCCACAAAGGAAACTACTCTTCTGACTTCAATCATCGTCAGTTCTGCCTTCCTGCGCTTCATCTAGGTGGGCTGGTACTGTGCACTGTCTCTCATACCTGGCTCCCTCTATTCACCCATGTCGTTGAGTGTTCCTACCACTTCATTTTTCTTTTTTGGCTGTGTAGTATTCCATGATGTGACTGTATCACCATTTATTCACTCTCCTGTTGATGGACATTTAGGTTGTTTTCATTTGGGGCTCTTATGAATAAAAATGGCAGTGAACATTCTTATATAAGTCTTTTTGTGGACATATGCACTCGTTTCTCTTGTGTACATGCTTAGGATGGAATTTCTGAAGGTAGGCATAGATATAGCTTTAGTAGAAGCTGCCAAACAGGTTTCCAATGTGCTTATACAATTTTATGCTACTGCCAGCTTGACAGTTCTTGTAGCTCTACATCTTTACCAATACTCTGTATAACACAGCATTTAACTTTAAATAGAGATAAAACGATGGTAAGATCCAAAGAAGTGTGCATGTTCCTGAAGAACATCCCGTAAAGGGCCTATTTTATTCATCTGTTTCGGGCACTGAAAACCACTGCATGGCTGGATGAGGAAGGAGGCCTGGTACAACTCCCAAGAAGGCATGTGTCCCTCGGGTGGGCTTTGTTTCCCAGAAACTCTGGGGAAGGGGTGGAGAGGCACCTTCTGGGCCAGCTGGTCTCCTCTGGCTTTTCTTGTACCCTAGGGCTCCCTCCAAAGAGACAGAGAACAGCCTGGCCGGGGAGCAGTATCTCCTACTGCGCTTGCTGTGAGCCAGCCACTCTGCCTTCTTTCAGGAATTACAAAATCCACAGGTCCCCGGCATTCTTATTTATGTATTTATTCATTTATGAGGCATGGTTTTCCTCAGCTCTGTTGGATGGGTCTCTGTGAAGGGAGCTTGGTGGGGGCGAGTGGCCCCTCCCTGGAGGAGGCAGGCCCCTGGTCAGGATCTTTGGGGCTCCAGGTCTCATAAGTGGGGGGCCAGGCTCCCTAGAGAAACCCTTCTTGGCTAGGGCTGGGGAGCCCACCAGAGTGACCCAATCAGTTCTCAGGGCCTGTGATGGGGCCAAGTGGTTTTGAGAAGCCAGTGTTCAGCTCCATCCTAAAGAGCACTCATGCACGTTGAGGAGGAGGGCCGGGGTGCACAGCTCTGACCTGAGTCAGACCCACCTCAGGACTTAGCCCAGCAGGAGGCCCAGAGTCACTGACCATAAAACGAGCAGATGCCTCCCCCGTGCTGATGGAGATGAGTCTTGGGCATCAACTCTAATAATTTCTAACTGCACCCAGAAATACTGATTCACACAGCAACTAGTGAATAATAGCCTTTTAGAGCTAAAAAAGCCTCATATATTATAAATTAACATATGCATTTTACACAAACTAGAGGCACCGTGGTGGGCCAGCAGCAGCCTGTTCAGGGGCCACAACAAGGGAGATTGGATTTCCTTAAGTGCAATGGGAGTTACTGGCAAGGCTTTAAGGTTTTAGCCACAGGAAAGATGAAAGTATTTTAGAGCAATGTGGGTGGATTCAAAGTGAGGTTTTGAACTAGATCAGTTTTTTTTTTTTTTTTTTTTTTAGACAGAGTCTGACTCTTATTGCCCAGGCTGGAGTGCAGTGGTGCTATCTTGGCTCACTGCAACCTCTGCCACCCAGGTTCAAGCAATTCTCCTGCCTCAGCCTCCTGAATAGCTGGGATTACAGGCACCTGCCACCAAGCCCGGCAAATTTTTGTATTTTTACGGGGTTTCACCATCTTGGCCAGGCAGTTCTTGAACTCCTGACCTCGTGATCCACCTGCCTTGGCATCCCAAAGTATTAATTTTTTTTTTTTTTTGAGACGAAGTCTTGCTGTGTCGCCCAGGCTGGAGTGCAGTGGCCCGATGTCGGCTCACTGCAAGCTCCGCCTCCCAGGTTCACGCCAGTCTCCTGACTCAGCCTCCCGAGTAGCTGGGACTACAGGCGCCCGCCACGATGCCCAGCTAATTTTTTGTATTTTTTTTTAGTAGAGATGGGGTTTCACCGTGTTAGCCAGGGTGGTCTCAATCTCCTGACTTCCTGATCTGTCCGCCTTGGCCTCCCAAAGTGCTGGGATTACAGGGGTAAGCCACCACGCCCCTCCAAGTATTAAATTTTTTATTTAAAAAATCTCCCCTCTCCAAAGATCTCCCAGCATTTCTGCAGAGGTCTCTACCTAGGTAAGGAGAAGAAACTATTCTTGGCCGGGTACAGTGGCTCACGCCTGTAATACCAGCACTTTGGAAAGCCAAGGTTGGAGGATTCCTTGATCCCAGAAGTTCGAGACCAGCCTGGCCAACATGGTGAAACCCCATCTTTACCAAAAATACAAAAATTAGGTGGGTGTGGTGGAGTGTGCCTGTAGTCCCAGCTACTCAGGAGGCTGAGGTAGAAGGATCGCTTGGGCCTGGGAGGTCAAGGCTGCAGTGAACCAAGGTGGTGCCACTGCACTCCAGCCTGGGTAACAGAGTGAGATCCTGTCTCAAAAAAAAAAAAATTATCTGTGAGGGTGAAATTTAAATACCTTTGTGCATAGCTATCAGTTATTCTTTGTTTTAATATTTAGTTTATTGTGAAATATAACACATATAGAAACATACATAAAACAACACACAGGGCCAGGCCCGGTGGGTCACGCCTTGTAATCCCAGCACTTTGGGAGGCCGAGGCGGGCGGATTACTTGAGGTGAGGAGTTTGAGACCAGCCTGGCCAACATGGTGAAACCCCATCTCTACTAAAAATACAAAAATTAGTCGGATGTGGTGGTGCATGCCTGTAATCCCAGCTACTTGGGAGGCTGAGGCAGGAGAATCGCTTGAACCTGGGAGGCAGAAGTTACAGTGAACCAAGATCGCGCTACTGCACTCCAGCCTGGGCAACGGAGTCAGACTGTGTCTAAAAAAAAAGAAAAAAAATATAGGCCGGGTGTGGTGGCTCACGCCTGTAATCCCAGCACTTTGGGAGGCCGAGGCGGGCAGATCCCTTGAGGTCAGGAGTTCGAGACCAGCCTGACCAACATGGAGAAACCCCATCCCTACTAAAAGTACAAAATTAGCCGGGCATGGTGTTGCATGACTGAAATCCCAGCTACTTTGGAGGCTGAGGCAGGAGAATCGCTTGAATCTGGGAGGTAGAGGTTGTTTTGAGCTGAGATCACGCCATTGTACTCCAGCCTGGGCAACAAGAGCGAAACTCCGTCTCAAACAAACAAAAAACAAAACAAAAACAAAAAACACAGTGTAACATGTTATTATAAAGTCACTGCTCAGGGACCAACTTGGCCGGTCCTGTGCCTCTAGAGGGAAGCTCCTTCCCACTGTTCTTTAGAGTTTTATATGTTAAGTACAGGAGTCAACAAACTAGGCCTATGCACCACATCTGGCACCCAGCCTTTATTTATTTTTTGAGATGGCGTCTCACTCTGTCACCCTGGCTGCAGTGTGGCAGCACAATCTCGGCTCACTGCAAACTCCACCTCCCAGATTCAAGCAATTCTCCTGCCTCAGCCTCCTGAGTAGCTGGGATTACAGGTGTGTGCCACCACACCCGGCTAATTTTTATATTTTTGGTAGAGACGGGGTTTCACCATGTTGGTCAGTCTGGTCTCGAACTCCTGACGTCAGGTGATCCGCCTGCGTTGCCCTCTCAAAGTGCTGGGATTACAGGCATGAGGCATGATGCCTGACCCAGCCTTTTTTAAAATGAAGGTTTCGGCTGGCGCGGTGGCTCATGTCTGTAGTCCCAGCATTTTGGGAGGCCAAGGCAGGTGGATCACCTGAGGTCAGTAGTTGGAGACCACCCTGGCCAACATGGTGAAACCCCGTCTGTACCAAAATACAAAAATTAGCTGGGCGTGATGGCAGGCACATGTAATGCCAGCTACTCGGGAGCCTGAGGCACGACAATCACTTGAACCCGGGAGGCGGAGGTTGCAGTGAGCCAAGATCACACGATTGCACTCCAGCCTGGGCAACGAGCGAAACTCCATCTCAAAATACAATAATAAAAAAAAGGATGTCCTTTTTTGTCTCTCAACCCCGTTTTTTATTTTTTTTTATTTTCAGACAGGGTCTCGCTCTGTTGCCCAGGGTGGAGTGCAGGGGCCCGATCTTAGCTCACTGCGGCCTCAACTTCCCCAGCTCACATGATCCTCCCACCTCAGCCTCCCAAATAGCTGGGACCACAGGTGGGTACCACCATGCCCGCCTAATTTTTGTATTTTTTGTAGAGATGGGATTATGCCATGTTGCTCAGGCTGATCTCGAACTTCTGGGCTCAAGTGTCTCTCTGCCTCCACCTCCCAAAGTGCTGGGATTGCAGGCCTGAGCTACCATGCCCAGCCCTGCTTTAATTTAAAGTGTATTACATTTGATATTAGTACAGCCCCTTCAGCTCTTTTTTGGTTACTATTTTAATTGTATCTTTGTATCCCTTTACTTTCAATCTGTTTCTGTATTTAAAATGTTTATCTTGTAGATAGCACATTGGTGGATCATATTTTGTTCTTCAATCCTTTCAGCCAGTCTGCTTTTCTTTCTTTCTTTTTGAGACAGAGTTTTCCTTTTGTCACCCAGGCTGGAGCGCTATGGTGCGATCTCAGCTCACTGCAACCTCTGCCTCCTGGGTTCAAGCGATTCTCCAGCCTCAGCCTCCTGAGTAGCTGGGATTACAGGTGCGTGCCACCAGGCCTGACTAATTTTTGTATTTTTAGTAGAGACAGGGGTTTCTTCATGTCGGTCAGGCTGGTCTTGAACTCCTCACCTCAGGTGATCCACCGCCTCAGCCTCCCAAAGTGCAGGCATTACACGCGTAAACCACTGCGCCCGGCCAAAGTGGTGGATTTTTTTTCTCAGAAAATCTATTCCATTCTTTTTCCAGAAACCAAATTTGTACAAGTTAACTAAAATAAATATTTATACTCTAATTTTTTTGTTCTGAGGTCTGAGTTTTTAGAATTTTATCTTTACATGTTTAGAAAAATTAGAAAATATAGATAGAACATAACCAAGAAAATAATAACAACTTTCCTTCTGTTCAAAGTTCATTACTATTAGCCGAGTGCAGTGACTCACACCTGTAATCCTAGCACTTTGGGAGACTGAGGCGGGCGGATCACTTGAGCCCAGGAGTTCGAGACCAGCCTGGGCAACATGGCAAAATCCCGTCTACAAAAACTACAAAAATTAGCCAGGTGTGGTTCCATGTGCCTGCAGTCCCAGCTAGTGGCAAGGCTGAGGTGGAGAACCACCTGAACCCGGTAAGTCAAGGCTGCAGTGGTGCAGCCTCTGTCCCCCAGGCTGGAGTGCAGTGGTGCAATGTCGGCTCACTGCAACCTCCGCCTCCCGGGTTCAAGCGATTCTCCTGCCTCGGCCTCCCGAGTAGCTGGGATTACAGTCACGTGCCACCACACCTGGCTAATCTTTGTATTTTCAGTAGAGAAGGGGTCTCATCATGTTGGCCAGGCTGGTTTTGAACTCCTGACCTCAGATGATCCACCTGCTCTGGCCTCCCAAAGTGCTGGGATTACAGGCCTGAGCCACCACGCCCGGCCGTTATTTTTCTTTCTTAGAGGCAGGATCTCACTCTGTCGCCCAGGCTGGAGTGCAGTGGCACGATCTAAGCTCACTGTAGCATTGATCTCCCAGGCTCAGGCGATTCTCCTGTCTCAGCCTCCCGAGCAGCTGGGATCACAGGTGTGTGCCACCACACCTGGCTAATTGTTAAATTTTTTTATTTTTATTTTTTAGAGATGGGGTCTTGCTATGTTGCCCAGTCTGGCAACATGGGATCCTCCAACTCCTGGCTTCGAGGGATCCTCCCGCTTCGGCCTCCCAAAGCGCTGAGAATTACATACGTGAGCCACCACGCCCGGCCTATATTGTTTTATAGTTCTTCAATTTTGTTTTGTGGTCGCCGGAGGTGTTTCCTTCTTCGATTCCCTGCACAGTGCTTCCACAGCTGCTCCATGGAATCTGCCCAAGACTTTTGCTGCGTTCAGTTGAACACACAGGAGGAAGCTCTTCAGGCCCCAGCCAGCCGACCGCACAAAGATGCGTTCTCATACCCAGGGGAGCTGGTCTCGCCACTCGACCCGCGCCCTGGATAGCTATAGTTAGTGTGAGCGCCACCACCCGCCGCGGCGTGATCAAGAGCGCTCCGGGCCAAGCAGTCTCCCGTGGGAGTGCGGGAGTGCGTGCGTGCGGCGGAAATCCCGCCTTCCGGCGCCCGCTGTTGGCCTTGGCCGCAGCCAGGGCGCTCCAAGTAGGAAGATAAGCGGGATTGCTGGAAGCGGGAGAGTCGGGAGGAGCGGCGAAGGGCTCCTCTTCCCCATTGGCTGCGCCCACGGAGCAGCCTCGTTGCGATTGGCCGTACGCGGGGGGCGGCAGTCCCGCGTCGGCCCGCCCCTCGGGCCGCGAGAGGCGCCGGGATCGCGGGCGCCGGCTGAGCCAGCGGCTCTTGGGAGGCTGCGTCCGCGCGCCGGCGAGGCGAGGCGGCCGGGCCCTGCGCGTCAGGTCCTGGCCTGGGGCACCTGGGCGGCCGGTGGCGGGGGCGGTACGGGCGCGGGGCTGGCGGGCGGCCGAGCCCGGGAGGCGGGCGTGGGCGCGGCGGCCGCACCGGGGCCTGCGCGGACCACCCGCGGGGCAGCCTCGGGCCTCTCTCCATCTCTTAAGTGGTGGTGGCTGTGGGTTTTTCTGCAGGCGATCCTTTTGAGTAATTTGTTTCACGCACGCGCCCTGCTGTGGGGTAAAGCGGCAGATTCATGCTGCTGTCATTTGTCGTTAAAACGATGTGTGTTATGTGTGTGTACTTCTTGGATTTGAGGGCAGGGGGATGACATTGTGACTTGGCTTCCTGTGACCGTCCATTCTCAAGGTCTCGTCAGCGTGGTGCAGAAACTCGGCACACCCTGCCTACCTTGGAAGGAGGCTTTCCCTTCCCCACCTCCCTCTCCCTCCATCTCTTCCCTCTTTCCCTCTCTCCCCTTCTCTCCCCTCCACCAGCTCTTCTCTCCCCCCTTTCTGTTCTCTCTCTCTTTTTTCTTTTGTGCATTGAACCTTTCGGGAGTGTCTTTGTAAACTATTAAAAAGCATTAGGTCTTCAGCGTATGTGTTTACTTGCAGGCCTGAGACCTGGGAGGAAGCTGGAGAAAAGATGCCCTCTGAATCTTTCTGTTTGGCTGCCCAGGCTCGCCTCGACTCCAAATGGTTGAAAACAGATATACAGGTGGGGTTTGACATGTCTTTTTCTTGGTGTGTTTCTGCTTCCATGTTTAAATTTCTCGTGTAAGGCTTTTTTTTAGGGTATGTAAGGGGAAGTCAGTTGTATCTTGCTGAATTAGAGGAGCAGGTTTATTTCCTGTAACTTAAAATGTAACAGTCTTATGGCTGTTTTTGTAGATCGTGCGCGGCTGCCTTTTAATTAGTTTCTTGCAAGTGCACGAAACTTGAGATCTATTAATAGAGAAAATTTTTTTCCTATTTATTATTACTGGTTAAGAAATCTGCCACACTCCTAACCATATCATGGTGACTGTTGTTTGTTACTGATCGTTTTTGAGCTGTTGAGTTAACTGTGGAGGGGAAAATTGGAGAAGTAAGTTGCAGTAATTATGGCCTATAGAAACTCACTCATTTTATGAGGTCTTGTGTTTGTGTTTCTGGAGAGACGAGTTAGTTCAGTTGAGCTGTTTGTTTTGTCTTTGTAACTCCTTATTAAGAGGAGTGCTCAGATTTTCACATCAAGAATATGAGGAAACAATGTTGGCCTTAGATCCTAATTTTTTGATTTAATGAGATAATTGCAAGCTTGTCAGGACATTATTAAATAAATAATAACGGTAATATTTCGATAGACAGTTCTTTACACCCAATCTACTTTTATTTGGAAATGGCTTGGAAAAACTACTTTTGGAACTCCTTATCAGCAGCAAAAAGAAGTGTTTGAAATATTTTGTGTGTGTCTGTATTTTCCTACTCCCTAAGGTTAACCATTTTAAGTATTAAGTAATGTGCCTTGACTGTTCATCAAAAGTCGTGTAGGCTGTTAAGCAGTAGTTGATCATGGATACTTACACTGAAGTGTTATTGCCCCTTCCTAATTTTTTTTTTCTTTTTAAACAGGTATTGAGTGTTGGTGGATATGAGAGTCCAGTGTTTAGAGCTGTGTTGCGTGGCTGGGCGCAGTGGCTCACGCCTGTAATCCCGGCAGTTTGGGAGGCCGAGGCGGGTGGATGCCCTGAGGTCAGGAGTTGGAGACCAGTCTGACCAACATGGTGAAACCCCGTCTCTACTAAAAATACAAAATTAGCCAGACGTGGTGGTGTATGCCTGTAATCCCAGCCACTCGGGAGGCTGAGGCAGGAGAATCGCTTGAACCCGGGAGGTGGAGGTTGCAATGGGTCAAGATTGTGCCGTTGCACTCCAGCCTGGACAATGAGAGCTTTTTTTTCAAAAAAAAAAAAAAAAGCTGTTGTGGATGATGGGATTGTTATTCATAGTGTAATGTTACATAAGACAGAGTACAGAGAATTGGGTCAAGAATTGGTGTAGTTACTCTTTGGGTTTGTTTCTCTTTAAACATTTCCTTTGATTTAGCTATAATGATCTGTTTTGTCATTTTAAGTGGATGGGAGACGTGAGAGATGAGTACTTTCATATTTCTGAAATCCTGAGATTCAGGCAAAGTTTTAATAGTCGTTTTTATATTAGTGTTTATGTATTTTGAGAAACTTTTTGGAGTAAAGGACTTTACGTAATGAAGTTTTTTTCTTAATAATTGTAATTTAATAACTGCTAAACATGAGTTCTAGTGTCTTGATCTAAAACCAGTTTAATGCTGAATTGAGTTCCTATGATGGGTTGGGCAGATAAACATACAGTGAAGCACCATTTATATCTTAGAGGGCCTGTTGTTTTGATTTATTAAGTTTAATACACAGTACTTGGTCCTTGTTACACATTTCCAATATGATTAGAAAGTCTTTTTTTTTTTTTTTTGAGACGCAGTCTTGCTCTGTCGCCCAGGCTGGCGTGCAGTGGCGCAATCTTGGCTCACTGCAACTTCCGCCTCCCGAATGCAAGTGATTCTCCCACCTCAGCCTTCCGAGTAGCTGGGATTACAAGTGTGTGCCACCATGCATGCCCGACTAATTTTTGTATTTTTAGTAGAGATGGGGTTTCACTGTGTTGGCCTGGCTGGTCTCCTGACCTCAAAGCGATCTGCCTGCCTCGGCCTCCCAAATTGCTGGGATTACAGGCGTGAGCCACTGCACCTGGCCAAAAAAAAAAGTCATCTAAATTCCTCCTAGGAGTAAGGGAAACGACTAGGTTTTGGATAGTGTGCACCAGAGGAAAAATGTGTTACAGGTCTAAGTAGCATGAAAAAAGTGATTGCTAAGTTTTGTTTTATGTTCCACCAGCATTGGTTGTTAAACACAAGGAATGAATGGTGGTGTTTTACCGTAAGGAATAAGACATGGTTTCCCTCTTTGGGGAGCTTCCCTGCAGACAGGAATTGCAGATGGAAGCCTTGTGCTCACAGGTTTTACCCTTATCTTGTTGAGGATGGCTCTCCCAGCTGGAGTGGGAAGCGCTTCACTGCTTGAGACTTTTGTATTGGAAACAGAATTGACACCTGGGTAATGAATAATACATGGGATAGGAAGATGTTTCTTAGCCATAGGATTTAACCGATCTGTTTTCCACAGCTGTTTTTGTTTGAAATGCCCTTAAAAGTTTTAGTAACTTTAGAAAGGAAGAGTTTTTGGAGTGTGAAAACTTATAATGCTTGTGTGTTATAGAGAGCACTTATTGACTTCTTTATCATAGACATTATTTGGATACGTCAGGCCTAGGACCCTACATCCAGCAACCTCTAATGCAGGGCTCATTTTATGCCAGGCATATATATCTGGTTATTACATATAAACAGTTTAATTGTTCAACACTTTTTTTTTTTTTTTTTTTTGAGACGGAGTCTCACTCTGTCTCCCAGGCTGGGGTGCATTGGTGCCATCTTGGCTCACTGCAAGCCTCCTGGGTTCATGCCATTCTCCTGCCTCAGCCTCCCGAGTAGCTGGGACTACAGGTGTCCACCACCACGCCTGGCTAATTTTGTGTACTTTTAGTAGAGACAGGGTTCCACCATGTGGGCCAGGCTGGTTTTGAACTCCTGACCTCAAGTGATCCACCCGCCTCGGCCTCCCAAAGTGCTGGGATTACAGGCGTGAGCCACCGCGCCTGGCCTGTTCAACACTCTTTTCTGCTTGATGTGTGGAGTGATTGAATCACCATGTTTTCCTTCACTGCTCTCGTGAAGAGTAATACATTACAGAGGTAAGAGGTGTCAGTCACATCACTTTTTATTTTTACCGTGAAAGTACTTCTAATCTGATGTGATTGGTAGTTTTTTAGCAAACCAAAAAGTCAGTTAAGCAAAGGAATCATAAAAACCAATATATGAGACCTTAAAAGCTTTTTATTCTTAAAACACATGCCTGTTCGCCAGTTTTGTTGTAAGGTAAAGGTGCATGTCTTTGAGCATAGGTCCAGAATGGAGTTATCCTGCCCCTTCTTGCATAAGCTGCACTCAGATGAATTTCCTACAGTTTCTATTTTTGGGTTCTTTTTTAAGTGGCACATGAAACTAGATATGCATGAAGCAATTTTTAAAAAAACTTTTTATTTTGAAATAATAATAGACTCTCAGGAAGTTGTAAAGAAACTAGAGAGGTCATTGTATATTTGCGCATACTGCCCCAGTGGTTACATTTTATGTAACCATAATAGAGTATAAAAACCCAGAAATTGAAGTTGGTACAATGTGTGTGCGTAGTTCTGTGCCATTCTATCAAGTGTCTGTAAATATAACTACTACTACAATTTCCTATGCAGAACTGTTTCATCACCAGAAAGATCTCTCTCCTGCCTCTCTTCTGCCACCATCTCTAACTCCTGCCAACCACTGATCTGTTCTTCATCTCTATAATTTTGTTACTGTGAGATTACCAAGTGATATGTGACCTTCGGAAATGATTTTCTTTACTCAGCATAATGCCCTCAGGTCCGTCAAGGTTTGTTGAGTATATCAGTAGCTAAACTGGGACCATTTATTTGTCTCTTCATCTAATCATCAATTAAAAATGACCACGCATAAATGTAAGCTTTTACAGTTAAACTTATTGTATATAAATAGTCACTTCGGCTGGGCGCGGTGGCTCACGCCTGTAATCACAGCACTTTGGGAGGCCGAGGAGGGCGGATCACTTGAGGTCAGGAGTTCAAAACCAACCTGGCCCCCATGGTGAAACCCTGTCTCTACTAAAAATACAAATGAGCCAGGTGTGGTGGTGTGCGCTTGTAATCCCAGCTACTTGGGAGGTTGAGGCAGGAGAACTGCTTGAACCCAGAAGGTGGAGGTTGCAGTGAGCCGAGATCATGCCATTGCACTCCAGCCTGGCCAACACAGCAAGACTCCTTCTCAAAAAAAAAAAAATGTCACTTCATGCTTAGAAATATCAGTAGATGGCCGGGTGTGGTGGCTTAGCCTGTAATCCTAACAGTTTGGGAGGCTGAGGTCAGGAGATCGAGGTCATCCTGGCGAACATGGTGAAACCCCATCTCTACTAAAAATACAAAAATTAGCTGGGTGTGGTGGCACGTGCCTGTAGTCCCAGCTACTTAGGAGGCTGAGGCAGGAGAATCGCTTGAACCCAGGTGGCGGAGGTTGTAGTGAGCTGAGATCGCGCCACTGCACTACAGCCTGGTGAGAGAGCGAGAATCTGTCTCAAAAAAAATAAAAAAGGGCAGTAGATAAAAAAAGTACAAACATGAGTATCTTGATAAATTCTATTCTCAGGCTTTCAGGTTCATAATCCTGTTGATAGATGACATGTAGAAATAGAAGAATTTGTAAATATAGGAATATTCATTGATGTTTTTAGGACTGGATTCTAAGGGTGGTTTTTACCTCTAATATCCAAATACTGCTGCCTCAAGAGAACAATTTTTGTTTTCAAAATTCCATGATAAAAAAGATGCAGTAACCCTGTATGTGGCATTTTGTCAGGTTAATTAAGAGCATTTTGCAGCAAAAAAAAAAGTTTTTTGTAGAGGCAGGGTCTTGCTTTGTTGTCCAGGCTGGTCTAGAACTTCTGCATTCAAGTGATCCTCCTGCCTTGGCCTCCCAAAGTGCTGTGATTAGATGTGTGAGCCACTGTGCCTGGCCTGGTGTTTTAAAGAACTAACTTTTAACTTTGGTTCTTGGAAAAGACTAGCAATACTTGTTATAAAAAAAAGGAAAAGGGTTTAGCCGTAGGACTTTGATGACAATTCCTTTTTTTTTTTTTTTTTTTTGAGACAGAGTCTCACTCTGTTGCCCAGGTTGGAGTACAGTGGCACTATCTCAGCTCACTGCAACCTCCACCTCCCAGGTTCAAGCCATTCTCGTGCCTCAGCCTCCCAAGTGGCTGGAATTACAAGTGTGCACCACCACACCCAGATAATTTTTTATATTTTTAGTAGAGATGGGGTTTCACCATGTTGCCCAGGCTGGTCTTGAACTCCTGAGCTCAGGCAGTCCACCTGCCTTGGCCTCCCAGAGTGGTGGGATTACAGCAGTGAGCCACTGAGCCCAGCAGATGACAATTCTTTATGAAGAAGAAATTGAGTATCCTGTTTAAGGCACTCAAGAAAAGAAAATGTGAGTAAAGCATTTTTTGTTCCAGCAAAACCGACTTTTCAGATGAAAAACACACAAACTTCTCAGTGAGCTGTAACTTAGGAAGTATTGTTCTCATGAGCCCTTCCTTAGGAATGGAGTGGAGAAAGATCTTTAGACAACTGGATGACTGTAGATCAACCTGCAACTGATGATGGGCATGAAACAGTTATTTGTTAAACCTAGACTGCATGAGTGTTAAGGGAGAGAGCATGGCATAGCCATGTGCTTAGACATTGTAGATTATGGTTGTAACTGTTATGCAGTTCTGTTAATCTCATCCATCCATTTTGTATTTTCATTTCTAGAGATTCCATTTGAGTCCTTTTTATATCTTCTGTTTCACTCCTTATAACATTCATGCTTTCCTTCTATTAGTATAGGGAGAATTTCTGTAAGAGAGCTTTTAATGTCCTTGTCTGTGAATTCTGTAATCTCTGATCACTTCTAGATCCATCTCTGTTGATTGATTCTGTCATTTCTATTGATTGATTGCCCTAGTTATGGGGGCATGGTTGTATGCCTGCTAATTTTTGATTGAATGCTAGGCATTAATTTTATCTTCTGTGCAGGATTTTGTTTTATTTTTTTAAAGAGCCTTAGTTTTCTTCTGCCATACATGTAAGTTACATGGGGTCAGTTTGATCTTTTCAAAGCTTGATTCTGAGGTTTGTTAGGCTGATCCACACAGGCTTTACTCTTGGGCTCATTTATCCATACAACGAAGGCAATACTGTTCTCAGGACTCCACCTGATGCTTGGTGTATGAGAAGATCTTTCTGTCCTTGTTTGTGGAAACACAGGCTTTTCCCAGACTGTGCATCATGGCAGTGCTGCTTATTACTTTCTAGTGCTGCTTTCCCCAGTATTCCATAGTTTTCTTAACCTATGCTCAGAGTAGTACTCAGACAGATACTCAAGGGGCCCCTCCACTCATCTCTGGAGCTTGCTGTATTCTTGTCATTTGGCCTACGTATAGCTGATCTGTCTCCTGAGCTCAGCAAGTTCTTTGGGCTCTATTTGGGTTCCCCTTTCCTGTGCTGCAGCCTGGAAGCTGCTTCTGGGCAGTGTTTCCCTTCTCTCAGGGATCCCAGCTCTGGGCTGTCTGTTGTCCAGTTTTTGGTAACAGCTTTTCGGTATATTCTGTCTGGTTTTCTAGTTGATTATAGCAAGGAAGTGATTTCTACAGAATTCATCCTTTATAGGTGGAGGAAGCACAGGCCTTCCCAATCTGATTTTAATCAAATCCATTGAGTTTTAAATTTTACTATTATATTTTTCTATTCCAGAATTTCCATTTTTTAAACATATCAACTTTATTGAGGTATAATTATATTAAACACATCCCTTTAAAATGTTTAGTTTGAAATGTTTGACAGTTTCTTTAACTGCCACTTTAGGTACTTTTTTCTAGTTTCAACTTCTGTGTTGAAATTGTTAATGTGATCTTTTTTTTTTTTTTTTTTTTTGACAAGGAGTCTCGCTCTGTCGCTCAGGCTGTAGTGCAGTGGCACAATCTCGGCTCACTGCAACCTCCATCTCCTGGGTTCAAGTGATTCTCCTGCCTCAGCCTCCCGAGTAGCTGGGACTGCAGGTGCCCGCCACCACACCTGGCTAATTTTTGTATTTTTAATAGAGACGGGGTTTCACCAGATTGGCCAGGCTGGTCTTGAACTCGTGACCTCGTGATCCGCCTGCCTTGGCCTCCCAAAGTGCTGGGATTACAAGCATGAACCGTGCCCGGCTGTTAATAGGATCTTTTAATTGCTTGACTCTATTAAAGGTAGTTATTTTAAAAGTGTGTTTATAAACCTTGTCCGACCCCATAGATTCCTTAGCCGCCTCTCTCTGTCCCTCTTGGCTGACTCATGCCTGTGAGCCGCCCTTCGGCTCCAGTCTCCGCTGTGATGTCACGCAAGAGAGTTGGAGTATGGCTTCCTGACTGCCTACCAAGGAGCCAGTGACACAGCCTGGAAGGTGTGGCGAGTGTGTGTGGGTGTGAATTCCTTGTGGTATGAACGTTCACCACTTTACAAGGAGAGATGAGGGAACTCAGTGTTTTTATTCCTCCCTTTTTTCTTTCCTCTTTGGACTATTTTATGGTGTAGTTTCTTCTTGCAAACCTTCTGGAAAAGCCACATATGCCTAGTGAATGTGCTGGCTGAACAGTTGGTTGTATTTGCAGCTCATTGAGAAGAGGTGGCACTAACATAGGGGTCAGCACATTTTTTCTGTAAAGCACCAGATAGTAAATGTTTATGTGGGCCGTACGTGCTCTTTTAGAACAGCTCACCTTGGCCATTGTCCTGCGAGAAGCTGCCAAACATGTGTATGGCTATATTCCAGGAAAACTTTGTGGATACCAGAATTTGAATGTCATATAATTTTCATTTGTTGACATATGATTTTTTTTTTTTTTTTTTTTCTGAGAGGGAGTCTTGCTCTGTTGCCCAGGCTGGAGTGCAGTGGCGCGATCTTGGCTCACTGCAACCTCCACCTCCTGGGTTTAAGCAATTGTTCTGCCTCAGACTCTGGAGTAGCTGGGATTACAGGCGTGTACCATCATGCCTCACTAATTTTTTTTTTTGTATTTTTAGTAGAGATGGGGTTTCATCATGTTGGCCAGGCTGGTCGTGAACTCCTTACCTCGTGATCCGCCCGCCTTGGCCTCCCAAAGTCTGAGATGACAGGTGTGAGCCACCGTGCTTGGCTGACATATGATTCTTTTGATTATGTTGCAACCATTGAAAAATATAAAATCACTCTTTTTTAATATATATTTTTCTTTTTTTAGGAAATTAAAGGAAATAAGAATGGCTCCTACATAGGCAGAGTAGGCTAAAATCACACTTAGCTGACTGTGAAGTCATATACTGCATATCGTTACTTCATTGATCTCCTTGTCTCACTTTCCCACTTCCCTCACCCCATTGCCCCGAGCTGACATCTGCTGAGCAGAGTGTCAACACTTCAGTTCATTCCTCAGGCTCTTCTTTCACGACAGAAGTCTTTATATTTCTGTTTTCAGGATCTACTCGGTCTGTTCTAATGACTTCTATTTTTTTTTCATTTTTCAATGATGTGGTCTTGTATCTTTGTCATTATTATATTTGCTTGACTTTCAGATATTGTATATGCAATATTGTAGCAATAAATCGAGGCTCTAGGTAACAATATCTTCCTCCAGAGAGGATGTTCTAGGCAATCCCAGGTCACTGCAGTCCCTTTGGAAATTGAGAGAATGCAAAACTGGGCTGGTTTTCCGTGAAGGCTGGTCTACTTCTAACTCACCTGTATTTCTGGTGTGTGGCCCTTTGAGGTTCCAGCTCAGAGCATGGGATCTGCCAGGCCTCTTTCTCCTGTATGAGGGCCCTGGGAGTCTCTCAGAAGCTCCGTTTTGCTTCTCAGTCTCATCCCTGCGTGCTTAGGTTCTCTGGGCCTCTTTCTTCCTCTCGTGGGTCTTAGACTTTAGGAAGACCTCACTCCCTTGCTGCTTCTAGGATGTCTTCAAATCGACGTACTTAATGTTCCTGTCTGACCTTTCTAATTGTTCTAGGAACCTGTTCTTAACATTTTTTCATATGTTGTCCTACGTTCAGTAGGTGTTTAGTATTTTTCTGTAGGTTTAAGAAAAAAAGCCGTATACCTTTACTCATCTGCAAATATTTGAAGATTACTTTTCTGTCAAATTGTAAGGACATGAAAAAGAAACATTTTCTAACCTATACATTAATCAGATATTCATTTGTTATATTATTCAGTTTTGGATTTTATTGCCTGACTCTATAGTTCTGAAGTCACTTTAATAAATGCCTTAACGGGCTGGGTGCGGTGGCTCCCGCCTGTAATCCCAGGCCGAGGCGGGTGGATCACAAGGTCAGGAGATCGAGACCATCCAGGCTAACACGGTGAAACCCTGTCTCTACTAAAAATACACAAAAAATTAGCCGGGCGTGGTGGCGTGCGCCTGTAGTCCCAGCTACTTGGGAGGCTGAGGCAGGAGAATGGCATGAACCCGGGGAGCCAAGATGGCGCCACTGCACTCCAGCCTGGGCGACAGAGCAAGACTCTGTCTTAAAAAAAAAAAAAAAAAAAAAATGCCTTAACTGTTTGCTTGCCTAGTCCTGATTGGTATTAAAATATTGGTGGCCTATGTATGGGAGCGTGAAGGCTTGCCCTGGCTGCCGTGCTGCAGGTGTGGGTGCATGTTATGGTGTTGGTGGGAAGCGAATAAGCCTTGGAGTTGGGCCTCTTCCCAAATCCCGCCTCTCACAGCCTCAGTGTTGTGTGGCCTTTGGTCAAGTCATTGGCCTTCTGAGCTTCAGTTTAGTAACTTACAAAAAGTGAGCCTGTTACTGCCTCTTTTGCTGGGGTCTTTTGACGATGAAAGTGCCTTTACTTGCCATGTCATTTCAGAGGTGTAAGATAGGAATGTGAGATTGGAAAAGATTGGAAAAGAGTTCTTAGCCCAAATAACCTAATTAGAAGCTTCTGGGATCTGAACCAAAAAAGTCAAAAGTTGAAAAGCTACTGGGCACGTTTAGGTAAGTCAGCTACTAATAAAAAGCTAATTGGAGACAGTTGTAGAAATAAATACTCTCACTTTACAAATGGAAAGTCCCATTCATTTTTTTCTTTTTCTTTCTTTTTTTTTTTTTTTAAATGAATAGGGTCTCTGTCACCCAGGTTGGAATGCTGTGGTGTGATCAGAGCTTACTGTAACCTCAAACTCCTGGGTGCAGGTGACCGTCCTGCTGTAGCCTCCTGAGTAGCTGGGATTACAGGCACGTGCCATGCACTTGGGTAATTTTTACATTTCTGTAGAGACACGGTCTTACCATGTTGCCCAGGCTGATCTTGAACTCTTGGCCTCAAGCAGTTCTTCTGTCTTGGCCTCCCAAAGCTCTGGGATTACGGCGTGGGCCACCACGCCCTGCCTGTAGTCTCCATTCTTCTCAGTGCCACGGCTGTCTTCCAGTTGTTCCCAGGCTGCTGCTTCCTCAGTCAGGATCCTGTACTGTCTGTGATCTGGAGAGCTCTTCTCCTGGGCTTCACTTTTGCTTGTTCACAGTCTAACTCTCTGGAGACCTCCTCCAGTGAGGCTTGCTTTATTGCCTTAGTAATGTTCCACCTTTAAGGTGCCCAAATTGTTTTTTGAATGGTGCTTACCATTTATTTGGGTCATCAGTTCCTAGGAGGCTTCCACAGTGCATGTCCTTCCAGGAGTCCAGTGTCTACCTTCCAAAAAAGAATTCCTTGTTACTCAGAAGGACAAGGTCTGGCCTATCCTCTTCCTTCCCAGTGCTACCCAGGTAATAATCGAAAGGTGGTGGTAATTATTCTTGTTTCCATGTAAACTGGGCTTCCTCCTTGGCTTAGTCTTTAAATGTTCCATCTTTTGGCTTTTTTTTTTTAAATGGTACCTCTGTAACACTAATGTTTCTCAATCTAGGCTGTACCGCAGAACACTGATGTGTGGAGCCCAGCCAGTCTGGGGCGATCTTAGAGTGCTTTCAGGGCTGGGCAGGGGTCTCCCCTCTCTGCTTGGGTGTTGGCATCTTCTCCAGGACACCACCTACAGTCCATTTGTTGACTACTCCCAGATTTGAGTCTCTAGCCCTGAACACTCTGCTAAGATCTGGATCTATATTTACTGAGGGTTGGTGGAGTGGGGAGGAGCTCCATGTTTATGTTCAGTAGTTAGTGCAAATCTTAGTGGTTAAAACGGAACTAATTCTCATTCCTCTTCTGTTCCCTCCCTTATTTTCCCTTTCACATTTGATTTAACTTACGTGATTTGAAATAGTTTCTTTTTTTGTTTTTTAAGTCAGGGTCTCACTCTGTTGCCCAGGCTGGAATGCAGTGGCACCGTCACGGCTCACTGCAGCCTTAACCTCCCCGGGCTCAGGTGATCCTCCCACCTCAGCTCCCTGAGTAGTGGGACTACAGGTGCGTACCACCACGCCTGGTTAATTTTTGTATTTTTTGTAGAGACCGGGTTTCACCGTGTTGCTCTGGCTGGTCTCGAACTCCTGGGCTCAAGCAGTCTGCCCACCTCGGCCTCCCAGACTGCTGGGATTACAAATGTGAGCCACCGTGCCCTGCCTGAAATAATCTTAAAGACTGTACTTCCCTGTGTTGACTTCTGCTGTCATCCTTTCTTTTTTGGACCCTTGGTAATAGCCTTTTTTTTTTTTTTTTTTTTTTGAGATGCAGTCCCACTCTGTCACCCAGGCTGGTGTGCAGTGGTGCGATCTCCACTCACTGCAACGTCCGCCTCCCAGGTTCAAGCAATTCCCTTGCCTCAGCCTCCCGAGTAGCTGGGACTATAGGCGCGTGCCACCACATCTGGCTAATTTTTTGTATTTTTAGTAGAGATGAGTTTTCGCTGTGTTAGCCAGGATGGTCTTTATCTCCTGACTTCATGATCCACCCGCTTTGGCCTCCCAAAGTGCTGGGATTACAGGCGTCAGCCACCGTGCGTGGCCAGTAATAGCTTCTTAGTTCACCTTCTCTGTTTCTGTTTTCTGAAACACTTTAAGACACGGGTCAAATGTCGTATTCCCTTGAGTGCCTAAAGATAGTCTGAAACTCCTGGAGCACGGCCCACATGGAGCTGTGAGTTCTGACCACTGTTAGCCTCTTATCATGTGCATTGTGGTAGGGTTTGGACTGAACCCCAGTGCACGTATTCACTGCTCTCCTCTGACTGAAGACTAGAAGAGTCAAAGCTTTCCATTCACTCGTTAAACTTCAGGGGCCCTGAATGTTTTTGGCTCACTTTTTAATTTTATTTTTTATATTATTTTAATTTTTTAAATTTAAATTAAAAATTTTTTTTGACAGGGTCTTGCTCTATTGCCCAGGCTGGAGTACAGTGGAGTGATCTCAACTCACTGCAACCTCTACCTCCTGGTCTCAAGCAGTTCTCCCACCTCAGCCTCCCAAGTAGCTGGGAGTACAGGCGCGCCACCACCTCTGGCTAATTTTTTGTATTTTTGGTAGAAATGCGGTTTTGCCATGTTGTTCAGGCTGGTCTTGTACTCCTGAGCTCAAACAATTCACCTGCCTTGGCCTCCCAAGTGCTGGGATTACAGGTGTGAGCCACCATGCCCAGCTTTCTGGCTAATTTTACAATTTTTTTTGTAGAGACAGGGTCTTGCTATGTTGCTTAGATTGGTTTTGAACTCCTGGGCACAAGTGATTCTCTTGCCTCAGTCTTCCAAGGTGCTGGGATTAGAGATGTGAGTCACTCTACCTGGCCAGGGCTCACTTTTTAGGAAGGAGTTTACCTCTCCCCCACCAGCTGATATTTTTACCAAAAGTCATATGTTTTGGTTCCAAGTATGTTTATGGCAGTTATCCTGTTAGTGATGTGAACAGAAAAAATAACAGTGCTGAGAGAAAGCTGTTCCTTCTACAAAAACTGAAGGATGCTGGCTTGGTTTCTGTCGCTACAGAACAAGTTACCAAACACAAATTTGGCAGCTTGTAACAACAAGCATTTACACTCTCACAGTTTCTGTGGGTCAGGAGTCTGGCCATAGCTTAGTTCTATCCTCTACTTCAGGTGTCACAGGCTGTAGTCAAGGTGTTGGCTAGGGCACGCTGTCATCTGGAGCTCAGGTCCTCATTGGTAGAATTGAATCCATTGTGGTTGTGGGACTGAAACCCTGGGCTCTTGGAGGCTGCCCCTCCCCACAGGCAGTTCATTGGCTGCTTGCTTCTTCAGATTGGAGACCATCTCTTCAGGACGGTGCGGAGGGATGGAAAAAGGGAGAGGCAAATGGAAATCACAAAAGAGCATAGCGGTTATATCAGACCAAATAGATTTCAAGACCAAAACTATAAAAGGAGACCAAAAAAGTCATTATGTAATGATAAAGGGGCCAATTCAGCAAGAGGCTATAACTATTATAAATATATGTATATATGCACTCAACACTAGAGCACCCAGATACATAAAACAAATATTACAGCTAAAGAGAGAGAAAGGCGTTAATACATTAATAGATGGAGGCTTCAACACTCCACTTCAGCATTGGACAGATCAGATCATCCAGACAAAATTAACGAAGAAACATCAAACTTAATCTGCACTGTAGACCAAATGGATTTAATAGATATTTCTAGAACATTTCATCTGATGGCTGCAGAATTTACATTGTTCTCTTTAGCACATGGATCGTCCTCAAGGTTAGACCATATGTTAGGCCACAAAATAAGTCATTAAAAATTGAAACCTTGATACTAAAAGCAGACAAAGACACGTCAAAGAAAGAATACTACAGGCCAATGTCTCTGATGAATATTGATGCAAATATCCTCAACAAAATACTAGCAAACCAAATTCAGCAATACGTTAGAAAGATCGTTCATTGTGATGAAGTGGGGTTTATCCCTGGGGTACAAGGATGGTTCAACATATGCAAATCAATCGATGTGACACATCATGTCAACAGAAGGATAAAAACCATGTGATTATTTCAGTCGATGCTGAAAAGGCATTTGATAAAATTCAACATCCTTTCATGATAAAATCTCTTAAAACTGATTATGGAAGAAACATACCTCAACATAATAAAAGCCGTATATGACAGACCCACAGCTAGTATCATACTGAATGGTGAAAAACTGAAAGTCTTTCCTCTAAGATCTGGAACATGACAAGGATGCTCAGTGTGGCCACCGTTATTCAACATAGTACTGGAAGTTCTTGCTAGAGCAATCAGACAAGAGAAAGAAATAAAAGGCCTCCACATTGGAAAGGAAGAAGTCAAATTATCCTTGTTTGCAGATGATATGATCTTATATGTGGAAAAACCTAAAGACTCCACAAGAAAATGATTAGAGCTGATAAATTCAGTACAGTTGCAGTATACGAAATCAACATACAAAAATCAGTAGCATTTCTGTGTGCCAACAGTAAACAATATGAAAAAAATTAGAAAACTAATCCCATTTATAGTAGCCACACATGAAATTAAGTACCTGGGAAGTAACCAAAGAAGATAATTACAAAGATCTCTGTAATGAAAACTCTAAAACCCTGATGAAAGACATTAAAGAGGACACAAAAGATGGAAAAATATTTCATCTTCATGGATCGGAAGAATCAATATTGTTAAAATGTCCATACTACCCAAAGCAATCTACCGATTGAGTGCAATCCCTAGCAAAATACCAATGACATTTTTCACAGAAACAGAAAAAAAAAAAATCCTAAAATTCATGTTGAACCACAAAAGACCCAGAATAGCCGAAGCTCTCATAATTGAAAAGAAACAAACTGGAGGAATCAGATTACCTGACTTCAAATTATACTACAGAGCTATAGTAACCAAAACAGCATAGTACTAGCATAAAACAGACACAGACCAACGGAACAGAATAGAGAATCCAGAAACAAATCCGCACATCTACGGTGAACTCATTTTCGACAAAGGTACCAAGAACAAACACTGGGGAAAAGACAATCTCTTCAATAAATGGTGTTGGGAAAACTTGATATTCATATGCAGAAGAATGAAGCTAGATTCCTCTTTTGCCATATAAAAGTTAAAAAAATTATGTTAAGTATCTTCTCTGATCACAATGGACTATAACTAAAAATCAATAACGAGGAATTTTGGAAACTCCACCAACACATGGGAATTAAACAATATGCTCCTGAATGACCAACAGGTCAGTGAAGAAATTAAGAATGAAATTAAACAATTTCTTGAAGCAAATGGCAATGGCAGCACAGCATACGAAACCTGTGGGATATAGTGAAAGCAATACTAAGAGGAAAATCAAAAAAGTAGAAAAACTTCAAATAAATAACCTAATGATACATCTTAAAGAACTAGAAATGAAGGAGCTAACCAAACCCATAATTTTAAGGACAGAAATAATAAAAATTAGAGCAGAAATAAAATGGAGTTGAAATGAAGAAAATAATACAAAAGATCAATGAAATGAAAAGTTGGTTTTTCTAAAAGATAAATTGACAAGCTTTCAGGCAGGCTAAGAGAAAAAGAAGACCCAAATCAGAGGTGAAAAAGTAGGCATTACAACTGATATTGCAGAAATTCAAAGGATCATTAGAGACTATGAACAGCTATATGTCAATAAATTGGGAAACATGGAAGAAATAGATAAGTTTGCAGGCTGGGCGTGGTGGCTCATACCTGTAATCCCAGCACCTTGGGAGGCTGAGGCGGGTGGATCGCTTGAGGTCAGGAGTTTGAGACCAGTCTGGCCAACATGGTGAAACTCCATCTCTACTAAAAATACAAAAATTAACCAGGTGTGGTTTTGCGTGCCTGTAATTCCAGCCACTTGGAAGGCTGAGGCACGAGAGTCACTTGAGCCCTGGGAGGGGGAGGTTGCAGTGTGCTGAGATCATGTTACTGCACTCCACCCTGGGTGAAAGAGTGAGACTGTGTCTTCAAAAAAAGAAGGAAAAAGAAATGGATAATTTCACAGGCACATACAGCCTTCCAAGTTTGAACCATGAAGAAATCCAGAACCTGAACATACCAATAACAGGTAATGAGATTGAAACTGTAATAATAAAAAGTCTTCCAGCAAAGAAAAACCCCAGGACCCAGTGACTTCACTGCTGAATTTTACCAAATATTTAAAGAAGAACTATTACCAATCCTAGTGAAACTATTCTGAAAAATAGAGGAGGAGGGAATACTTCCAAACTTACTGTAGAAGGCCAATATTACCCTGATACCAAAACCAGACAAAGACATAATCAAAAAAACAAAACAGGCCAGTATCCCAGATGAACATTGATGCAGAAATACCCAACAAAATACCAGCAAACCGAATTCAACAACACATTAGAAACATCGTTCATCATGACCAAAGTGGGGTTTATCCCAGGGATGCCAGGATGGTTCACCATATCCAAATCAATCAGTTTGATACATCATATCAATAGAATGAAGGATAAAAAACCATATGATCATTTAAATTCATGCTGAAAAGGCATTTGATAAAATTCAACATCCTTTCATGATAAAAACCCCAAAAAACTGGTTATAGAAGGAACACACCTCAATGCAATAAAAGCCATATACAACTGACACACAGCTAGTATCATACTGAAAGGTGAAAAACTGAAAGCCTTTCCTCTAAGATCTGGAACAAGACACGGATGCCCACTGTCACCACTGTTATTCAATATAATAATGGAAGCCCTTGCTAGAGGAGTCAGATAAGAGAGAGAAAGGCCGGGTGCAGTGGCTCACACCTATAATCCCAGCACTTTGGGAGGCTGAGGTGAGTGGATCACTTGAGGTCAGGAGTTTGAAGCCTGGCCAACATGGTGATACCCTATCTCTACTAAAAATATAAAAATTAGCTAGGCGTGGTGGCGGGTGTCTGTTGTCCCAGCTACTCGGGAGGCTGAGGCAGGGAAATCACTTGAACCCCAGAGGTGGAGATTGCAGTGAGCTGAGATTGTGCCGCTATATTCCAGCCTGGGCTATGGAGCAAGACTCCATCTCAGAAAAAAAAAAAAAGAAGAAGAAATAAAGGGCATCTAAATTGGAAATGAAGATGCCAAGTTACTCTTGTTTGCAGATGATTGTTATATTTGGAAAAACCTAAAAACTCCACCAAAAAATGATTAGAACTGATAAATTCAGTAAAATTGCAGGATACTAAATTAACATACAAAAATCAGTAGCATTTCTCTCTCTCTCTTTTTTTTTTTTTTTTTTTTGAGATGGAGTCTCACTCTGTGGCCTAGGCTGGAAAGCAATGGCGCAATCTCGGCTCACTGCAACCTCTGCCTCCTGGGTTCAAACGATCCGCCTGTGTTAGCCGCCTGAGTAGCTGGGATTACAGGCGCCTGCCACCAGGCCTGGCTAATTTTTGTATTTTTAGTAGAGACAGGGTTTCACCACATTGGCCAGGCTGGTCTTGAACTCCTGACCTCAGGTGATCCACCTGCCTCGGCCTCCCAAAGTGCTGGGATTACAGGTATGAGCCACTTTGCCCAGCCAAATCAGTAGCATTTCTATATGTCAACAGTGAACAATATGAAAAATAAATCAAGAAAAATAATTCCATTTATAATAGCTACAAATAAAGTAAAATACGTAGGAATAAACCTAACCCAAGAAGTGAAAAGATCTCTACCACGAAAACTGTAAAACATTGATGCAGAAAATTGAAGAAGACACACAGAAAAGGAAAAGTTACTCTGTGTTCATGGATTGGAAGAATCAATATTAAAATGTCTGTACTACCCAAAGCAATCTACAGGTTCAATGTAATCCCTATCAAAATACCAATGACATTCTTCACAGAAATAGAAAAAAAAATCCTGAAATTTGTATGGAATCACAAGAGACAGAATAGCCAAAGCCATCCTGAGCAAAAAACAAAACTGGAGAAATTGCATTATCTGACTTAAAATTATACTACAGTCACTTCCTGGTCTTTTTTGGCTTAGATCAAGTGCAAAGTTTACTAGAAAGGTATACCAAAACAGCATGGTACTGGTATAAAAACAGACACCTAGACCAATGGAACAGAATAGAGAACCCAGAAACAGATCTATACATCTACAGTGAACTCACCTTTGACAGAGGTGCCCGGAGGATACATGAGGGAAAGGATAGCCTCATTGATAAATGGTGCTGGGAAAATGGGGCACCCATATGCAGAAAAATGAAACTAGACCACTATCTCTCACCATATACGAAAATCACATCAAAATGGAGTAAAGACTTAAACCTAAGACTTCAGACTATGAAAGTGCTAAAAGAAAACATTGGGGAGACTCTCCAGGACATTGCACTGGGTAATGATTTCTTGAGTAATACTTCGTAAACACAGGCAACCAAAGCTAAAATGGACAAGTGGGATCACATTGAGTTAAAAAGCTGCACAGCAAAGGAAACAATCAACAAAATGAAGAGACAACCCACAGAATGGGAGAAAATATTTGCAAACTACCCATCTGACAAAGGATTAATAACCAGAATATATAATTAGCTTAAGCAACTCTATAGGAAAAAAATCTAATAATCCAATAAGAATGGGCAAAAGATTTGAATAGACATTTCTCAAAAGAAGATATACAAATGACAAACAGGCAATACGAACAGGTGCTCAACATGGTTGGTCATCAGAGACATGCAAATCAAAACTATAATGAGATATTATCTCACCCTAATTAAAATGGCTTATATCCAAAAGACAAGAACAAATGCTGGCAAGAATATAGAGAAAAGGGAACCCTTGTGCACTGTTGGTGGGAATGTAAATTAGCACAGCCATTATGGAGATTAGCTTGGAGGTTCCTCAAAAAACTAAAAATAGGACTATCATATGATTCAGCAATCCCACTGGTAGGTATATACCCAGAGGAAAGAATATCAGTATGTTGAAGAAATATGTACACTCTCATGTTTATTGCAGCACTATTCTCAATAGCCAAGATTTGGAAGCAACCTAAGTGTTCCCAGCAGATGAATGGATGAAGAAAATGTGGTATATATACTCAACGGAGTACTATTCAACCATGAAAAAGAATGGGATACTGCCGTTTGCAACAACATGGATAGAACTGGAGGTCGTTATGTTAAGTCAGGAACAGAATGTCATGAGCCAGACCCAGAAAATCGAACTTTGCATGTTCTCACTTATTTGTAGGTGCTAAGCAAATGAAAGTAATTGAACTCATGGAGATAGAGTAGAATGATGGTTATCAGAGACTGGGAAGGATAAAGTGGGGGTGAAGTGCGGATGGTTAATGGGTATAAAAATGGAGTTAGATAGGGCTGGGCACAGTGGCTTACGCCTGTAATCCCAGCTCTTTGGGAGGCCAAGGTAGGTGGATCATGAGGTCAAGAGACCCAGACCATCCTGGCCAACACGGTGAAACCCCATCTCTACCAAAAATACAAAAATTAGCTGGGTGTGGTGGTGTGAGCCTGTAGTCCCAGCTACTCGGGAGGCTGAGGCAGGAGAAACCCTTGAACCCAGAAGGCAAAGGTTGCAGTGAGCTGAGATCGCACAACTGCACTCCAGCTTAGTGCCAGAACGAGATCCGTCTCCAAAAAAAAAAAAAAGTTAGATAGAATATATAACCCATATATATATACATACAACTAGTGTGTATCCACAGAAGTTAAAAAAAAAAAAAAGATGGGCAAACATCTGTCTCTTTTAATTAAAAATGGCTTTTGTTTTGCCAGACAAGGGAGCTTCTGTCACATACGCAGTTTTCAGAATGGATGCCTTCCCCCAGTGTCTGAAATGCTCCCTTTTCCTGTTCTGGGAAGCCTTTTCTGACTCACAAATGTTGACAAGCAAAGGCGTTTTTGATTTTGATGCTCACAGTTATTATAATTATTATAAATTTGGCCAGGAGTCCCTATCGTCTTTGAACAGCTGCTTTTTTTTTTTTTTTTTTTTTTTTTTTGAGATAAAGTCTTGCTCTGTCACCCAGGCTGGAGTGCAGTGGCACAGTCTTGGCCCACTGTAACCTCCGCCTCCTGGGTTCAGGCTATTCTCCTGCCTCAGCCTCCCAAGTAGCTGGGATTATGGGCGCCTGCCACCATGCCCAGCTAATTTTTGTATTTTTAGAAGAGATGGGGTTTCGGCATGTTGGGTAGGCTGGTCTCGAACTCCTGACCTCAAGTGATCTGCCCGCCTCAGCCTCCCAAAATGCTAGGATTATAGGCGTGAGCCACCGCACCTGGCCATGTTTGAGGAAACAGCTTTTTCTTTGAGGAAACAGGCTCATCTTTGTCTGCCCTGGCCCTTGAATCTACTTATTTTCCCAAGAGCCCTAGCGTCTTTTATCGGGAAATGGTTCTGAGAGACCAAAATCTGGGTGCCGCTGTCAGATTGCCTTTGATTCTAGTCCTTTAAAAAACAGAGTAAGCAAATATATTCAAAAATAAAGTTCATAGATTTCCAATTTAAGTTGTTTTTCAAAATTTCTTTGATTTTTTTTCCTCTTTTCCACTGAAAACCTTAATTTTTTTTTTTTTTTTTTTGAGATGGAGTCTCGTTCTGTTTACCCAGGCTGGAGCACAGTGACATAATCTCGGCTCACTGAAACCTCTGCCTCCTGGGTTCATGCTAGTCTTCTGCTTCAGCCTCCCGAGTGACTGGGATTACAGGCATGCACCAGCACACCCGGCTAATTTTTCATATTTTTAGTAGAGATGGGGTTTCACCATGTTGGCCAGGCTGGTCATGAACTCCTGACCTCAAGTGATTTACCTGCCTTGGCCTGCCAAATGCTGGGATTACGGGTGTGAGCCACCATGGCCGGCCTAAAACCTTAATTTCTAAGAACATTTAATACTTTATCATAAACATGTTTTATTGTATTTACACTGCTTTATTGTGCAACATGAAGTAGTTCTAAAATTGTGAGAGTGTTATCAATACCGATAAATATTTTATTTTTCATTATAGTATATTCTATTAATGATATGTAGTTCAAAAGTCCCTTGACATACTTTTCTTTGTATATGCATGGGTTAATTTGCTTGTTGCCAGTTGTAGGTTTTGCTTTTTTATGATTTAATTTTAATTTTTGAGGATGAAAGTCATGTATGTTTCAGAAGTAAAGACATCTAAAGTATACTCACAATGTTGTTGCTTTTTCTGGTCCTGCTGCCTTTGTCCATGTCCCCTCCCCATTTCCCCGTAGGTAGTCATTGGTACTTGCTTTCGGTTTATCTTTTCAGAGCATATGCACGTGTGTGTGTTTGTGTGTGTGTCTTTTTTTTTTTTTTCTTTTTTTTTTTTTTTAACACCGAGTCTCGCTCTTATCAACTCAGGCTGAGTGCTGTGGCGCGATCTTGGCTCACTGCAACCTCTGCCTCCTGGGTTCAAGCAATTCTCTTGCCTCGGCTTCGTGAGTAGCTGGGATTATAGGCGCCCGCCACCACGCCTGGCTAATTTTTTGTATTTTTAGTTGGGACGGCGTTTCACCGTGTTGGCCAGGCTGGTCTCAAATTCCTGATCCCCCGTGATGTGCCCCGCTCGGCCTCCCAAAGTGCTGGGATGACAAGCATGAGCCACCTCGCCCGACCATGTGTCATTTTTCTTGTATGTTACATAAGAGGTAGAATAGTATTTATACTATTATGCACCTTTTCATTTATATTTCTTGGATGACTTTCATGAAATGTAAAATGATTAAGTCACTAATTCAGTAAATCATTGATTTTATTACCGAATGATCGAATACATAAGGGCGATTGAGATTTTTTCCCATATCATTCTTTAAAAATTGCAGTGTGAGTGTGAGCTTATCTCATTTATCATTGCCAGCTTGCATTCACAAGAGATGGGCTCTGTGGTCTGTGGAATGAAATGGTTAAAGATGGAGAAATTGTATACACTGGAACAGAATCAACCCAGAACGGATAGCTCCCTCCTGGAAAAGGTAAGGGCCTTTAACTAGTGTTTTTTATTTGGTAAAGACCATTATAAAATGCATTTTATAGAAATTTTGTAATGTGCTATAGGAACAGGAGCTTTGAGCTTAACTCTTTGAAGTTTTGCTTTTTACTTTGGAGATTGTTGTCTAAAATGGTAGTTAATACAAGCTGCCCGGATTTTATTGTTTTACGTGAATTGAAGGCATTTTTATTGCAAAACCGTCTTGCCGCATTTGTGGTGTTCTTTGGGGGTGTATTAAACACTTATTGGAAGCCTTTGGCCTGCAAGGAAATGCCATTGAACAATCTTATTTAGCGTTGTAGTTTTGCATGCTCAATAGGACTATCATTAGGTTGTTCATAACAGTGGCTGTGTTTCAGAGTCCCCATTGAGGTTTAAAAAAATGGATGCTTGTATACACCCTAAACTTGTTGAATCTGAAAAGATCCTTGGTTGAGAACCACTGTTGAAGTTCGTTGGTCCCCCTGCTTGAGAGTCATCAACGTGGATAAAGCTACCACTTTAGAAAGTATTTATTCTAAGTTGAAATAGCTCAGTTGGGAGAGCATTAGTCTGAAGAAAGTATTTCTTCTTCTTTTTTTTTTTTTTGGGAAGGAGTCTTGCTCTGTCGCTGAGGCTGGAGTGCAGTGGCGCGATCTCAGCTCACTGCAAGCTCCACCTCCTGGGTTCATGCCATTCTCCTGCCTCAGCCTCCCAAGTAGCTGGGACTACAGGTGTCCACCACCACGCCCAGCTAATTTTTTGTATTTTTTAGTAGAGACAGGGTTTCACCGTGTTAGCCAGGATGGTCTCAATCTCCTGACCTCGTGATCCGCCCGCCTCAGCCTCCCAAAGTGCTGGGATTATAGGCGTGAGCCACCGTGCCTGGCAAGTATTTATTCTTCTTTTGTGGAATGAATTGGGATGGTGTCCACTTGAAAATACTTGGGGACCGGGCGCGGTGGATCGTGCCTGTAATTCCAGCACTTTGGGAGGCTGAGGCGGGCAGATCATTTGAGGTTGGGAGTTTGAGACCAGCCTGGCCAACATGGTGAAACCCCGTCTCTACTAAAAAATACAAAAATTAGCCAGGCATAGTGGCGGGCGCCTGTAATCCCAGCTACTTGGGAGGGCACGGCAGGAGAATTGCTTGGAGCCGGGAGGTGGAGGTTGCAGTGAGCAGATATTGTGCTACTGCACTCCAGCCTGGGTGACAGAGTGAGACTCCATCTCAAAAAAAAAAAACAAAAAACACAAAACAAACCATGGGAAAAAGTATTAGTCTCCCTCTTCAGTTTCAGTGTCAAGCAGAGTTACCTGTGTTTTTATTTTAATTTATTTTTTATATTTTTTTGAAAATATTCACACACACACACACACACACACACACACAATAACTGACAGACGTGTACAGTGAGTGGCTGCAGACCCACCTCCATGTCCTGCCACCGTATTTGGCTCCACATCCTGCTGTCTGTCCATCCACCGTTTGTCTCACCTAGCTCCTTAGACACTCATGTATGTAATTGATTCTAGTTCAACTTTGTTTTTGACTTTCAGGTAAAATTTATATATAATGAAATGTATCTATTTTGAGTTTACCATTTCACAAGTTTTGACAAATGTAACCCGTGTAACCCACATCTTTATCATGACTCTTGCTCAGAAAGTTCTCTGGTGTCCTGCCCCTTCTTCCCAGAGGCAATAGCTGGCCTGATGTTTCTCCAGCATTGACAAATTGCGCCTGTTCTAGAACTCCATACATGGAATCATGTAGTCGGGTTCTTCTGTGTCTTGGCTTCTTTCACTCTGTTTAGTGCTTTTGATTTTCATGTTTTTTTTTTTTAAACAACGTAATGGGTTTATATTTAATATAGCACTTCTCATCAGGAGGTGTTACTCAGTTAATATAAAGTTTTTATTAACATTAAATCTCTTTTCCATGTCAATGTCTATAGTGTTTTTTTTTCTTTAACATTAAGTCTTTTCTCCATTTCAGTATTAGATACACTGAACACATTTTTCTAAATGATTTTTTTTCTTTCCAGAGATAAAAGTTTCCCTTTTTGGCTGACTATTGGATATCTGAATTGGGGAGATGACAAAAGTCTAATAAAAATACAGAGAACAGACTCAGTGATTTAGGAGGCAGTGATTACGACTGAACAGTGGCGATTTCCTAGGATTCTGGGCAAAATCCATTTATGTACCAATTTGTTCCCATTTCATGGAATCAACTCAGAAAGTAAAACTCTCCTACTTACTAATTCTTGGAAACTTTCAGACACCAAAGCTTACATTTAGTTTCAGTAGCACAAAGGTTTTCAGGGTGAGGTTTCATTCATTAGGCCCTTCAAAGTCACATCTGTTCATTTTTATCTTTCGTGCGTATACCTGCAAGCAAGTACAAACACCTGTAATACTGAGAACCACACCTTTTAACGAGAGAGCAGTTGCATCACTGGCTTCCACTGCCTTGACAGCAGGCAGCACCAAAAGCAGTGACATAAGGACTAAGGACAATTGTGTTGAAACTGAGGTCATGATGTTGGGATTTTGAGGGCTGAATGTTCCAAGTAAGTGGTATATATAGAATTCTCTCTGACTTGAAATTTTCCCTTTCTGGACCTCTGGATGCTGAGGCTAAGAGTGTCCATATGACAGTGTCTTCCAAGACAGGAATCAGCAACCTTTTTTTGTTTTTCTGTATCAGTAATTCATTCTGTATATTTTAAAAAGTTTTAACCTCTTCTTCCTAGCCCTCCAGTATTTGTTTATAAATTAAAACGTTTCCCAAAGTGTTTTCTGTGAAACAATAGTTCTAAAAGGTGCTCTAAGAAAAGCTAAGTACATGGCAAAATCCAAAGTATATGTTTTATTCATTACATTTGATGAATTTTTTTTGTTTTTTCCTCTCGAGAGGGAGTCTTGTTCTGTCGCTCAGGCTGGGGTGCAGCGGCATGATTTTGGCTCACTGCAACCCCTTCCTCTCGGGTTCAAGCAGTTCTCTGCCTCAGCCTCCTGAGTACTCAGCTAGGATTACAGGCGCCCTCCACCATGCCCAGCTAATTGTTGAATTTTTAGTAAAGACGGAGTTTCACCATCTTGGTCAGGCTGGTCTTGAACTCCTGACCTCATAATCTGCCCACCTCGGCCTCCCAAAGTGCTGGGTTTACAGGTGTGAGCCACCATGCCCAGCCCACATTTGATGAATTTTTTTGTCTTTTGTTCTTTTAAAAATCATGGTTGGAAAGCAGAGCATAATTGTTCTTTATGTAGATCCCAACTGATTGGGATTGTTAGGGAGATGTTTTGGCATTCAGTAAATGTTTTTGTTTTCCATTATTAAGACTATGAATATTTTATTTTATTTTCTGAGACAGGGTCTCAGAATTTGTCAAATTTGTAAAATTTATAGCCAGATGTAGGGTAGGGGTGGCCTACTTTCTGTAAAGGGCCAGATAGTAAATATTTTAAGCTCTCAATGGACCCTATGGTCTCTGTCATAGCCATGGGACCTTGCAGCTGTAGTGCCAGAGTAGCCACAGACAATACTACGTCAGCGGGCTGGGGACGTTCATTCTGTAAACTTTATTTATGGACACGAAAAGATGAAGTCCACAGAATGTTTGCAAGTCACAAAATACTGTTTTTCTTTTGATTATTTTTCAATTATTAAAAACTATAAAATACGGTGGCTGGGCGTGGTGGCTCACACCTGTAATCCCAGCACTTTTGGAGGCCGAGGCAGGCGGATCACCTGAGGTCAGGAGTTCGAGACCAGCCTGGCCAACATGGTGAAACCCCATCTCTACTGAAAACAAAAAATTAGCCGGGCATGGTGATGCACCCCTGTAATCCCAGCTCCTCGGAGGTTGAGGCATGAGAATCACTTGAACCTGGGAGAATCGCTTGAGCCTGGGAGGCAGAGGTTGTGGTGAGCCAAGACTCCATCTCAAAAGAACAACAAAACTAAAATACTTTCTCTGTGTTCAGACCATACACAAAAAGGCTGTGGGCTGGGTTTGTCCTGTGGGCTGTGGTTAGTGACCACACACACACACACACACACACACACACACACACGGCAGAGTCTGGCATTCAGAGCCAGCACCTGTGTTCTCACCTGAGCCGTGTTCCTGGCTGGGTTCTACTCTGTATTCTGTGACTCGAGGTGTCTACCTTGGTAAACTGGAGGCTGTTTTAGTTTGCATTCCCGCTGACAATCTGTCACGTTTCTGTTGCTCTGTGTCTTTGTTAGCACTTGGTGTTATCAGTGATTTTTAGTTGAGCCATTCTAACAAGTCTAGTGGGATCTCATTGTGGTTTTAATTTGCAATTCTGTAATGGCTAACAATGCTGAATATCATGTTCTTTTTTGCCACTCTTGTATCCTCTGTGAGTTTCTGTTCAGATCTTTTGCACAGAAAAAGCTGTATCATGGAACCAGTAAAATAACCAAGGAGAGGTTGATTAAAGTTCTGTTTATAACCCTAGAAGATTCCTGCCCTAGGGATATGGGATGGCTGAACGTAGGACACCGACACTGGACAGATGAAATAGCAGTTTATTAGTCACGCATGCTCACAGCCCTGGGGTGGGGGACACCGCATGCCACACGGGGGCTGCACTTGGGAACAGAGCGAACCACGAGGGGCTGTGGGAGGCACATTTTGTAGTAACAGGAGGGTGAGATGACCTTGCTTCCATGGGAAGATGTGACTGGCTTGTTTGAATAACTCTGGGCCGGCAGGGATGAGCAGGCTGGGGTCGGGTTTCCGCGATAAGGAGGTTGTTTGGCTTTGGGATCTTATCCGTGAGAGCAGAGCTCAGGGGAGACCTTGTGGTTAGGCTATTTGAGGCCTTCTTGATTTTACCAATGTCAAGGCAGCACGTAATATTTAGTCTTAATTTCAGGCCACACGAGAAATTCTTCTGTATCTACTTTCCGTGGCACTTTTCAAAAGGTTTTGTCCTTAGTGTTTAGCAGTTGATTATGATGTGCCTCGTCATGGCTTCCTTTGGATTTATCTTGTGTGGGCTTTGTGCAGATTCTTCAGTCTGCCTGGGTTTATGTCATTTGCTGAACCTAGGAAGTTTTCAGCCATTAGTTCTTTGGATATTTTTTTCAGCATTCACCTTTTCTCTCTTGTTATTAACCTGTGGGGTCTGTGCTAATTCTAGGTAGTTAGTTTCAGAATTGAATTGCACTGTGGGACACAAAGCTGGGTGTCGCAGAGAACTGGAGAATTGCTTGGTGCAAAAGTCCATACATTTGGTGTCAGAAGTGTTGTAAACAGAGGAACTGTTTCCTTCGAGATTTTTAGATAGTCATTATTTGTAATCTGGATGGGATATCATGTCTTTCCCCGATTGAGATACATTTTTCTAATTATGTTGTTAGACATTTAGTCACAGCCTTCTGTGATGGAATGTGTTTACACTTCAAGGTTAAGGTTAGTTCTCTCTTCTCTTCGCTTACTGTGTAAGGAGTTTTATGACAGTTGTTTTTGACTGAAACTTGACATTGTCAGTGGCCTAAAGTGATTTTTCTCAGCTTTTCCTTTGTGTCCCAGTGCTCTTGAATTATGCCAGCAGTGACAGTGCCCCTGCATAGCAGTGCTTCCCAGTTGGCAGTGGAGTAGGGCCTTGTAAAGAGTTAAAAGATTTTTGAATCATACTCTTGTTCTACACCCTCCCTTTTCCCATGGATACACAAGCACTGGGACTCACTGGATAAAAGCAATTGGTGTGAAATTGAAGTAGGTAAATATGAAAGACTTAAGTTTCTCAGTTAAGAAATGTACTAGGAAGTAGATGGAATATCATTTTGGAAGACATCCTTTAAATAATTTGTTGTATTGGTTTCTTTTTTTTTTTTTTTGAGATGGAGTCTCGCTCTGTCACCCAGGCTGGAGTGCAGTGGCATGATCTCAGCACACTGCAAGCTCTGCCTCCCAGGTTCACACCATTCTCCTGCCTCAGCCTCCCGAGTAGCTGGGAATACAGGCGCCTGCCATCATGCTCAGCTAATTTTTTGTATTTTTAGTAGAGACGAGGTTTCACCGTGTTAGCCAGGATGGTGTCGATATCCTGACCTCCTGATCCACCCGCCATGGCTTCCCAAAGTGCTGGGATTACAGGCATGAGCCACCACGCCCGGCCAATATATTGGTTTCTTTATGAAAATTATACTGGATCTGTTACAGGTATGATTGATGTATTTTATTTTTAAGTTGTCAAGCATTCAGTTAATCATGTGTGTTGTAACTTTTCGGGGAGGGACATTTGCAGAGGCTAACGGTATGACATTCTGAAAAGCGGTGACAGATTAAAAAATTTTTAATTCTGCAGATGATAGTGTCGAACCAAGTGGGACAAAGAAAGATCTGAATGACAAAGAGAAAAAAGATGAAGAAGAAACTCCTGCACCTATATATAGGGCCAAGTCAATTCTGGACAGCTGGGTATGGGGCAAGCAACCAGGTGATCTTGCGAATTTTGGCACTTTGGAAAGGTTGATCTGACACTCCCTTTCTAAATAACTTGAATGGATTCTTAGTATTTTTTTGGTAACAATTTTTTAAAAACTAATTAAAAAATTTAAATATTGTGGTAAAATATACATACCATGTAACTTACCGTTTTAACCAGTTTTATGTGTACAGTTCATTGGCATTAAATATATTGACATTGTTGCCCAGCCATCACGCTTGACTAATTAGAGACAGAATCTCACTGTGTTGCCCAGGCCGGTCTTATACTCCTGGCTTCACGGGATCTTCCTGCCTCAGACTCCTGAGTTGCTGAGATTTCAGATGTGAGCCATCGCACCTGGCACTATGTGTAACTTTTTGAGGAAGCAGTAAACTGTTTTCCACAGTGGCTACATTGTTTTACATTCTTGCAGCAGTATACTAAGGTTCCAATTTCTCCACACCCTCACCAACACTTTTTGTTTTCTGATGATAGCCATCCTAATTTGTGTGAGTAGGTACAGCATCTCATTGTTTTGATTTGTATTTCCCTGTTGATTAGTCATGCTGAGCATCTTTTTACATGCTTATTGGCCATTTGTATACATTCACTGGAGAAATGTCTATTCAAATCCTTTGCCCGTTTTTTGTTTTTTTTTTTTTTTGGGGAGATGGAGTTTGGCTCTTGTTGCCCAGGCTGGAGTGCAGTGGTGCAATCTTGGCTCATTGCAACCTCCACCTCCCAGGTTCAAGTGATTCTCCTGCCTCATCCTCCCGAGTAGCTGGGATTACAGGTGTCCGCCACCGTGCCTGGCTAATTTTTTGTATTTTTAGTAGAGACGAAGTTTCACTATGTTAGCCAGGCTGGTCTTGAACTCCTGACTTCAGGTGATCCACCCACCTTGGCCTCCTAAAGTGCTGTATTACAGGTATGAGCCACTGTGCCTGGCCCTTTTGCCCTTTCTTTTTTTTTTTTTTTTTTTTGGAGACAGAGTCTTGTTCTGTCACCCAGGCTGGAGTACAGTGGCATGATCTTGGCTTACTGCAACCTCCACCTTCCGGGTTCACGCCATTCTCCTGCCTCAGCCTCCCGAGTAGCTGGGACTACAGGCGGGCACCACCACACCCAGCTAATTCCATTTTTTAATTGAGTTTTTTGTTTTGGGTTATAGGAGTTCCTTATCATGGATGGACTTTCATAATCTCTTCCCTTTCTCCAACCCAGTAAAACCCATATATTTATTCTTTGCTTACTTTTTTGTGTGTAATTGAATTTTTTAAAATGTCTGATGCATTTTCGTTCCAATTAAAAATATACATCAAATAAATGTTTTCTTATAAAAATGTATCGATTATAAAAGCAGAAATTTCACCTGGCTGCCCACCCCAATTTCAGTTTTCCTCTAAGAGTTAGCCACTATTATCCCTTCAGAGTGGATATTCAGGCTTTTCTTTCCTGGCATGGACATACATATGTAAATGTACATATATAAAAATAATTAGTGACACCATGCATGGTAGCTCACGCCTGTAATCCCAGCACTTTGGGACGCTGAGGTGAGAGAATTGCTTGAGGCCATCAGTTTGAAGCTGCAGTGATCTATGATTGTGCCTCTACACTCCAGCCTGGGTGACAGGGTGAGACCCTGTCTCTTAAAAAAAAATTCGTATTTGGGGTTAGTAGTAGTACCTACCTCATAGGTTATTATGGGATCAGTACAGTAGGCCAGACAAAGTGCGTATGCTATTATTTTGCATGTAGTAAGTACCAGCATATACTACCTGTTATCCAGAAATTTGCTGAAATGTGCCTTGTATTTTCTCTCTTTCGATTTTGATCAGTCTTCCTAGAAGTCATCAGTTTGAGTTTTTTCAAAGAACCAGTTGTTGGTTTTATTGATTTTGTTTGTTTTCTTTTTCATTGATTTCTGCTTTACTCTTTATTATTTCCTTTTTTCTGCTGGCTTTGGGTTCCATTTGTTCTTCTGTCTCTTCTAGTTTCTTAAGGTAAAGGCTTAGATCATTGACTTCAGATTTTTTGTCTTTTCTAACAAGTGTTCAAAACTATAATATAAATTTCCCTCTAAGCATTGTTTAGCCACATTTCACAAATTTGGAAATGTTTATTCATTTTCATCTTCATTCAGTTGAAAATATTTTCTAATTTCCCTTTTAATTTCTTCTTTTACTCACTTATTATTTGGAAATGTGTTATTTCATTTCCAAATATTTGGGGATTTTCAAATATCTCCTGTTAACAATTTCTAAATTAGTTGTAGTCAGAGAACATATTCTGTGATTTCAATGCTGAGGCTTGTCTGAAGCCCCAGAATATGGTGCATTCTGTGGAATGTTTCATGCACATGTAATAAGAATGTGGCTGGGTGCAGTGGCTCCTGCCTGTAATCTCAACACTTTGGGAGGCTGAGGTGGGTGGATTACTTGAGGTCAGGAGTTCGAGACCAGCCTGGCCAACATAGTGAAACCCTGTCTCTACGAAACATACAAAAATTAGCTGGGTGTGGTGGTGGGTGCCTGTAATCTCGATTGCACCCCTGCACTTTAGTCTGGGTGACAAAGCAAGACTACATCTCAAAAAAAAAAAAAAGTGTATTTTGCTGCTCTGTAAAGCTTAGTGAGATCAAGTTGATAGTGTTCAGGTATCCTTGACTTGAAATAGTTTTCTGCCTGCTTGTTCTAGTCACTGTTAGGAGAGGAGTTGAACTAACACACAAGGTTGGCTTACCACATTAGTTTGACATGAATCTCAGAGATGTTACCCGTAGCTGATTACTTAGTAACTTTAAAGATACAAGTAATATCCTCACTTGTGTGCTCAGGCAAAGTGGGGAGAGATGTGGGAGAGTCTGTGCAACCCCCGCAGGTCCATCCTCTTTGAGCCCGGCCTGCGAGATGAGACCTCTCACTGAGGCGTGTGGTCCTCTCACTGAGGTGTGTCGTCATCTCACTGCACAAGGAGCATTAAGGATGTGCAGTGTTCCCGTTTTGTAGTCAGATAGTTTATACACCTTAGGGAACCTTTTCCAGGGAGCCATGTCCCATAAGTCCATGGATTTTAGGTATGTTTACCAAACACAATCCTAAACTAACCACATCTTGCTAAAAACATTTCATAGATAAGGACACTTCTCCTAGCAAATACCAGTCATTTATTTACAGAGAAGCCAGTCTCAGTGTTCTGGGAGATCAGCCCCAGTGACTGGCTTTATTTCCCAGGAGTATCTCCATTGTGCTGGGGAGGCATGAAGAGCAATTTCACTGCTTAGTTCCTCTTTCTTCTGAGGAGAATTGAAATCTCTCATGCTAATTATGGATTATTTTCTTTCAGCTCTGCAGGTTTTGCTTCATGTATTTGAGAATGTTATAGGGTGCATGCACTTTTAGGATTTTTACGCCATATTCATAAATTTGACCCCCTTAATCTCCGGTGACATTCTTTGTTGTGAAGTCACCTTGGTCTGACTACTCTCCTTTCTTCTGATTTGGTGTTTGCGTGGTGTGTTTGCCAGGTTTAGCTTTTTTCACTTTCAAACTTTGTGTATGTGTAAAGTAGATTTCTTTCAGGTATCATTTAATTAGGTCTTGCTTCTTTATTCACCCTGACAACCTCTGTTTTTTATTTGGAATCTTTAGACTACTTGGGTTTAAATCTATCATCTCTGGCGTTTTCAGTTACATCTTTCACTTGTCACTGCCCACTCTCAAATGGTATTACACTGCCTGAGCTGCGGGGCAGTGCTCTGACTGTAGCTTCCTGCTTCTGACATGTTCTTGGTTGGTAGTGTTGCTGTGTCATGTCCAAGTGAAACATGGTATAAACCCCACAATATGATGTTTTTGTTTTTGCTTTAAATAGGCAATTACATTTTTTCCCCTCAAATTTGAAAAGAGAAAAAAAAGTCTTTTTTTTTTTGAGACGGAGTTTTGCTGTTGTTGCCCAGACTGGAGTGTAATGGCACAATCTCAGCTCACTGCAACCTCCGCCACCCAGGTTCAAGCGAGTCTCCTGCCTCAGCCTCCCTAGTAGCTGGGATTACAGACACACACCACCGTGCCTGGCTAACGTTTTTGTATTTTTAGTAGAGACAGGGTTTCACTATGTTTGCCAGGCTCGCCTCGAACTCCTGACCTTAGGTGATCCACGTGCCTCAGCCACCCTTAAGTGCTGGGATTATAGGATTATAGGTGTGAGCCACCACACCTGGCCTCTTTTTTTTTTTTTTTTTGAGGCGGAGTTTTGGTCTTGTTGCCCAGGCTGCCAGGATGGAGTGCAATGGCATGATCTTGGCTCACTGCAGCCTCTGCCTCCTGGGTTCAAACGATTCTGGCTCAGCCTCCCGAGTAGCTGGGATTACAGGCATACGCCACCACACCTGGCTAATTTTGTATTTTTGAGTAGAGACATGGTTTCGTCATGTTGGTCAGGCTGGTTTCGAACTCCTGACCTCAGGTGATCCACCCACCTCGGCCTCCCAAAGAGCCACCATGGCTGGCCAAAAAAAAGTTTTTTATGTTAACTTTCATTTTACCATTATGGGCCCTTAAGGTTTTGTTTCTGTCCCAGCTACCTTGTGTTATCATGTTCCTTCAGTTTGAAGATCTCCCTTTACCATTTCTAGATTTTCTGACAGAGAAGTTTTTCAGTCTGTCTGGGTATCAATTTTGGCTTTATCTCTGACTCTACACAAATCACTTTGTCTCACCTTGGGCCTCTCATGTATAAAATAGGAATAAGTGGCCGGGTGCAGAGGCTCATGCCTGTAATCCCAGCACTTTGGGAGGCTGAGACGGGCGGATCATGAGGTCAGGAGATCGAGACCATCCTGGCTAACGTGGTGAAACCCTGTCTCTACTAAAGATACAAAAAAATTAGCTGGGCGTGGTGGTGGGCACCTGTAGTCCCAGCTACTCGGGAAGCTCAGGCAGGAGAATGGCATGAACCCAGGAGGCGGAGCTTGCAGTGAGCCAAGATTGCACCACCACTCTAGCCTGGGTGACAGGGTGAGACTCCATCTCAAAACAAAAAAAACAAACAAAAAAAAGGAATAAGTATAATATAATGTAAATAATTAAAATTATATATAAAATAAGTGAAAGTACTTACTCAGAGAGTTGCTGTGCAAATGACATGAAATAATGCATTTGAAGCTCTTAAGTCAGTGCCTGGCACAAATGTTTGATAAAGATTTGTTGTGATTTTAAAAATCTGTTATTTTGCCTTTCTCCATGTTTCCCCTCACCTAGGTATCAAAGTACCTACAGTTATGGGTGGGTAACTAGACTAAAAATGTACCTTTCTTGCTCAGATTAAAGCCCGGCTTATTGACTCAGGGCAGCTTTAATCGGTTTATTTGGAAGCTCTGCTTGTTCACAGGTACAGAGCTTTTGCAGAACCGACTCTGTACCTGGCAGCCTTGAAGGGGCTTGGATTCAAAGCATATTCTTGAGCCACGCCATCTTTAATCAAACTGCAGGTGGAATTTGTAGCTGTTAGAATAGCTCCTATTCCTTTCATTTCTTTTTCTGTTTTTTTACTCTTCCATCTCAGCCTAAAAAGAAAAACACGTTAATTTGAGCCATAGGAATTTAGAATTTGTTTTTTCTTTTGCTTAGATATGTTTGACTAAAGCTTCCTTTTTCACAGGTTTATTTTTTCCAACATTTTATTATGAAAAAAATATATACAGAAAAGTTGAAAGAATTTTACAGCGCGCACCCACATATTCACCACCTAAGATTGTGCCGCTGGCATCATCCCACGTGCTTTATCACCGTTCTCTCCACCTTTTCATCCTTCTATTCATCCATCAGTCCCTCACATTTTTTTTGCAATGTTTCCAAGGAGACCTCTGGACACTTGCTTCTCAACATTGCAGCGTGTAGGCCCTCAGCAGGAGTTCAGAAGTGCACATTTCACAGTGAACCTTCTGAGAGTGTTGACAGATCACAGCTTTTCTTTTTGTCTAATGAAAAGGGCTTGCTGGCCATTGGGTGTTGTAATCTCTTAGGAGAGTAAACTCTTAGTAACTATCTAAATCATTCTTAATGATTCTCTCTGCTGTATAAATAGGTCTGGGAGGACCCTTTCTGACATTCTTGTTGGCATAGGTTTTAGCTTAAGGTGTTGTAAATGCTGTTTATCAAGATGATGAAGTTCCCATTTGTTGCTATTTTCTGAGAATTTTTATCATTCACGAGTATTGAATTTTGTCATTTGCTTTTTCTAAATCAATTGATATGTAATTATGTGATTTTTGTTCTTTAGTCTATTAATAGGGTGGGTTACATTGATATTTGACTGTTGAACCAGCTTTGCATTCCTGGAATGAAACTACTTGGCGATGATGTGGAATTCTTTTTATATATTGTTTACTTCTACTTGCTAATAATTCACTGAATATTTTTGTGTCTATATATATATTAAGGTATATTGTTCTGTAGTTTGTACTGTCTTTAGGTACGGTACCTGATATTAGCTTCTTAAAATGCTAATATTAGCTCTAATATTAGCTTCTTAAAATGCTAATATTAGCTCTAATATTAGCTTCTTAAAATGCTAATATTAGCTCTAATATTAGCTTCTTAAAATGCTAATATTAGCTCTAATATTAGCTTCTTAATATGAATTGGGAAGTTTTTCCTTTTCTAGTTTCCAGAAGAGATTGTTTTGAGTCTGTGTTAATTCTTTTTTAATGTTTGATGGAATTATCCAGTGAGTTCATTTGGATCTGGTAATTTCTTTTTTTTTTTTTGGGATTCTTTGAATTATGAATTCAGTTTTCTTGATAGTGGTAGAGCTATTCAAATGATCTATTTTATATTTGGTGAGTTGTGGTAATTTGCATTATTTGAGGAATAAGTCTATTTTGCCCAAGTTGTCAAAGTTATGTGTGTAGAGTTGTTCCTAGTAATTCCTAATTATCTTTTTTCATATCTTTAGAGCCTGTTTCATCACTAATGTTGGGTAATTTATGTCTTTTTTTTTTTTGTCAGTCTTGCTTAGAGAGGTGTGTCAGTTTTATTGATCTTTTCAAAGAACCAGCTTTTTGCTTTACTGTTTATTGTTTTTCTGTTTTCACTTTGTTTCTACTCTTACCTTAATTATTTCTTCCTTTCTGCTTACTTTTGGGTTGATTTTGCTATTTTTAATTTTCTTTTAGGTTGTCAACGTGGGCACTTATATTATTGATTTGTTTCCAAGTTTCTAATGTACCATTCATTTAGTGCTGTAAATTTGTCTCTCGTCACCCACTGTAGCTCTTTCCCATACATTTTGATGTATTGTACTTGCATTTTCTCTCAGTTCACAATATATTTTAAAATTTCCCTTGAGACTTTCTCTTTGATCCATGGGTTATGTAAAAGTTTATTGTTTAGTTTCTGAGAGTTAGGCAATTTTCCTGTAATTGTTCTCTTGTTGACTTCAGATTTGTTCCCATTGTTTGAGGGAACATATGCTGTGTGATTTTAATTTCAAAAAATTTGTTAGGTTTGTTTTATGCCTCAGAATATGTTCTAACTTAGTATTTGTTTTGTGGATACTTGAAAAGATTATGTATTCTGTTATTATTGGCTGGAGTGTTCTATAAATTTTGATTGGCTCTAGTTGATGGATGGTGATGTTGCGTTCTATATCCTGGCAGCTTTTCTGTCTCCTAATTTTATCAGCTGTAGAGAGAGATTTTGAGGTCTCCAACTATAAAAGTATAAATGTCTTTTTCTCCTTTCGGTTCTGTTCATTGTTTTTTTGTTTGTTTGGTGTCTGCACGTTTCGAATTGCTGTGTCTTAATGGTGGATTGACCAAGTTCTCATTTTGTAATGTTGCCGTTGGTTCCTGGTAATTATCTTTTTTTTTTTTTGAGACGGAGTTTCGCTCCTTTTGCCCAGGCAGGAGTGAAGTGGCATGATCTCAGCTCACTGCAACTTCCGACCCTACCAGGTTCAAGTGATTCTCCTGCCTCAGCCTCCTGAGAAGCTGGGATTATAGGCTTCTGCCATCACACCCAGCTAATTTTTGTATTTTTAGTAGAGATGGGGTTTTGCCATATTGGCCAGGCTGGTCTCAAACTCCTGAGATCCACCCACCTTGGCCTCCCAAAGTGCTAGGAGTACAGGCGTGAGCCACTGTGCCCGGCCCTCCTGGTAATTATCTTTGTTCTGAAGTTTACTTTATTTGATATAAATATAGCCAACTCCTGCTGTCCTTTCAGTAATGTTTGCATGATCTTTTTTTTTCTATACTTCTATTTTCAGTTTGCCTGTTTGAAGTCACTTTCTTATGGACAACATATAGTTGGATCATGTTCTCTAGTCTACTCTCCTAGTGTCTTTTAATTGATGTATTTAGATTGTTTACATTTAATTTAATGTCATTGATAAATTGAGGCTTAACACTGCCATTTTGTTTTGCATTTTCTATTTCTTCTGTTTTTCATTTTTTCGGTTTGGTTCTTCCTGGCTCTCTGTGGTTTACTTGACCATTTTTAGCATTCTATTTCATCTGTAGTGTTTTAGAGTGTATCTTTTTGTATAGCTTTTTTAGTGGCTTTTCTAGGTAATATATTACATACAGATTGAGCATCTGTAAACCCAAAATCCAAAATCTGAAATGCCCCAAAATTCGAAACTTTATGGCACTCCAGCATGACGCCCCCAAATTGAAAATTCCATTCATAAGTACTTAGCATGAACTTTGTTTCATGCACAAAATTACTAAGCATGCTATATAAAATTACCTTCAGGCTCTGTGTGTAAGTTATATATAAAACATAAATGAATGTATTTAGACTTGGGTCCTATCCCCAAAATATCTCATTATTTATATGCAGATATTCCTAAATCTGATAAAAATCTGAAATTTGGAACACTTGTGCTCCTGAGCATTTTATAAGGGACACTCAGCCTGTGTATGTATGAACACTTATCAGATTTTACCTGATGTTGTCATTTACCAGCTTCAGGGATATAGAAACTACCTCCTTTGATGTTCCTTTATGTTCTTCTGTTCATAATATACTTGCCTTAAATATTTCATTTACTTACATTGATAACCACATATGACAATGTTATAATTTTTGGTTGAACCTTCAGACATAATTTAGCAAAGTCAAGAGGTGAGGGAAAAGTCTATTGTATTTATGCGTTGGTGTGCTTGTCATCTCCTCCTTCCAGAAGTTCCAGGGTTTTCTTCTTTGATGGTTGCCATTCTGCTTAGAGAACTTCCATTAGCCTTTCTTTTGGTGTGGGTCTTCTGGTGACAAATTCTGTTTCACTTCCTCTGAGAATGTTTTGCTTTCCTTTTCATTCCTGAAGGACATTTTTGCTGGATATAAGAATTCTGGGTTAATGGTTCTTTTCATCGCTTGAAAAATATTTTGTACTTTCAGCTGGGCTCCATGGTTTCTGATGAGAAATTCGCTGTCATTTGACTTGTTAATCCACGATAGTTAAGGCACTGTTTTTGTTTAGTGGCTTTTGAAATGTTTTGTCTTTTGTTTTTTGGAGTTTGATTATTATATGTCTTAGTTTGGATTTCTTTGGGTTCATCCTGTTTAGGGTTTGCTTACCTTAGATCTGTAGATTTATGTCTCTTGCCAAATTTGGGAACTTGTAAGCCATCACTTCATAGAGTACAGTTTCAGCCCCACCTTCTTTCTCCTGTCCCTTCGTGAGTTCAGTGACCGGAGTTGTTATAGTCCCATAGGTCCCCGAGACTGTTTTTTTGTTTGTTTGTTTGTTTTGCGGGTACATTGCTTTCTTTCTCCCTTCCCGTCCCGTCCTATCCCATCCCGTCCTGTCCTATCCCGTCCCATCCCGTCCCTTCCCGTCTTCGGAGTCTCTGCCTGTTTCCCAGGCTGGAGTGCAGTGCACGTTCTCAGCTCACTGCAACTGCCGCCTCCCTAGTTCGAATGATTCTCCTGTCTGAGCCTCTCGAGTAGCTGGGATTATAGGTACCCGCCACCATGCCCAGCTCAGTTTTATATTTTTAATAGAGATGAGGTTTCACCATGTTGGCCAGGGTGGTCTCAAAGTCCTAACCTTGTGATCTGCCTGCCTCGGCCTCCCAAAGTGCTGGGATTACAGGTGTGAGCCACCATGCCCAGCCTATTATTTGGCAGTCTTTAAACTAATGATAATAGGGGTCTTCTGCCTTTAGAAGAATTAGAACTGTGATTTAATTTGCAAATGAAAGTAGGTGTTCTCCAGAGTGGATTAAAATAAAGGTTTTGGTTTTAGATTTCAAGGCCAGCTTGAGATGCTGTGCTGGGTTCCCACAGAGGTGGTTCTGCCTTTCTCCAGGGGTCCTAGGCTTGTAGAGTGGTTTGGTCATGTTAGTAATCTGTGTGGATTCAACTTACCTATGGTATCATAAATGTATACATGCACAGTCAATGTTGTGTACATGTATACAGCAGATTTAGAGATTTATACAGTTTATATGCTGCATAAATATATAGACGTATAGTATAACTGTATCATCAACATTGTCATTTGATGGGTCAAGTGAGTCAATACCAAAATATAAAGCGTGGGTAAAAAACTGTGTTACTTTAGTTTTTCCCACCAGTTCTGAATTTTTGTTTACTTTTCCTTTCTAGCTTTTGTGTGGTCCTCTGAGCCCCAGTGAGAGTTTCCTGAGGTACCTCACCCTTCCACAAGACAACAGGCTTGCCATTGATCTGCAACAAACGGCGGTTGTTGTCATGGCCCATTTAGACCGTCTGGCTACACCCTGTAGATGCCTCCTCTGTGTAGCTCTCCGACGTCTCATAAGGTGTGTGCAAGAACCGTGTTCTCCATGTGTTTTGTAGCTAGTACCACTTGTAGGTTCTCATCCTGGGCCCGTGTGGAGACTTGTTTTTTCTGGTATTGGTAGGGGGAGCTGGCCTGTGGTTTTTAAACGTGTTTGCAGTTGAAGGTGTTATCCGTGTTGAGAGTGAGTGATGAGCAAGCTGAGGCGCACAGGCCTGGCGACCCAACCTGGGGGCCCGGGTTCCAGGTTCAGGTGGCACAGCCCCAGAGAGCTCCCCTTTATCCACAGCCCCAGGCCCTCCCACCTTCTGCAGGGGGTTCCACAGCCTTCTTCATACTCTGAACGCAGGCTGTCTTAGTATGTCATGCTGGTTATAGTAGTGACAGTATAATTATGTATTATATCTCTTATGTAATAGTAATGGTAGTGATTTGCATGTGTGGAGCACCTGTAGGGTGCAGGCCCGCTGAGGACCTCATGCACGCTGTTGTATCTCATTATGTCAATGAGAAAACTGCCTTTGGGAATGGTAGTGAACTTTGCCAGTGCAGAACAGTAATCCTAGTTTTGAATCCAGATTTTTCTAACATTTTATTTCTAGTATAAAGAGTATTTATTTTGTTTTACAGTCATTAAAAAAAAAAATACAGTCACATGGTTCAAAAATCAAACCTAGGCAGAGACACACTGTCGCTTCCCCTGCCCACCCCTTCCACCCATTTTCCCACCTGCTCCCTCTGACTTTCCAGTCTCCTCTGTAACCTCCTTGTTCTCTGGCATGAGTACGTTCGTGGTAGCATGCTTCATTACTTGTGTTGCTTGTTTTTTGTTTTTTTTTTTTAACTAACCATATATACTGGAGTACCTTATCAGAGTGTCCCTCTTTGTTTTTATAAATCAGCTTAGTCTTCAGTGTGTGGATGTGTCTTTTATCTATCTTTCTTTAGTGAGTCTCTTATTGGTGGACACTTGGGCTTATTGCCACAATGTTGCTATACAAATAGTGCTGAGGGTCGGGTGTAGTGGCTCACGCCTGTAATCCCAGCACTTTGGGAGGTCGAGGTGGGTGGATCACCTGAGGTTGGGAGTTTGAGATCAGCCTGGCCAACTTGGAGAAACCCCGTCTCTACTAAAAAATACAAAAATTAGCGGGGCGTGGTGACGGATGCCTGTAATCCCAGCTACTTGGGAGGCTGAGGCAGGAGAATCGCTTGAACCTGGGAGGCAGAGGTTGCAGTGAGCCGAGATCGCGCCACTGCACTCCAGGCTGGGCAACAAGAGTGAAACTCCATCTCAAACAACAACAACAGAAAACACAAATAGTACTGCAAGGCCTGGCCTGGAACACGTGTCCTCCATGTGTGCACGCGTGTGTGCCTGTGCACATGCACAGGTGGGGATGGACCTCGTGTGGGCTGGTTGTCACCAGATTGCTCCTGTACATCTTGATTTCTCTCACCACCAATAGGGATGCTGGTCTCCCAGCCTTGTGTGTGGGCTTTTGGGATTTTGCCTGCTAAAGCACAAAGTGGTGACCCCGATATAGTTTGAGCATTTTAAAATATATTAGTATTTAAGGGCCATTTATACTACTTTTTAATGGGCTCTGTTGAAATGCAATGGAAATGGAAAAATAGCCTGTTCAGTTGCTTCATCATACCTGTTAAATGCAGTAATATGGCATGGTACGAGATGGGGTTTCACTGTGTTAGCCAGGATGGTCTCGATCTCCTGACTTCATGATCTGCCCGCCTCGGCCTCCCAAAGTGCTGGGATTATAGGCATGAGCCACCGCGCCCGGCTGATTGGATTATTTTAAAGCATAACTCTGTCTTTAAAACATTTTAAGGTATTTTACCTCTTAATGATAAGGATTTTAAAAAAACCCTACAATATCATTATCCTGTCTATAAGATTAACAGTGATTCCTTAATCTAACATGCAGTCCATGTTACATTTTCCTGGACTATCTCAAAAATGCCTTTTTTAGGTGGTAATTTTGAATTAAGACCTGAGCATGTTCTGCGTATTGGCATTGCTTGACATATGCTTCTAGTCTCTTTCCCCAAACAACATGGCTCCAGGCCCTCTTCTCCCTGTCTCTGATCATACCGTTTTCTTTTTCAAAGAAGCAGGTTGGTTATTTTGGAGAACTTCACATTTTCTGAACTTGGTTGATTGCATTCTCTTATTCTAGACCAACATGTTCTTCTGTTAGTTACATTAATCTGCTGGTTAGATCTAGAGGTTTGGTTGGATTTGAATTCAGTCTCGTTGGGGCGGTGTTATGTCTGGGGTCATGCTGCATGCTTTCTGTTGGCTCAGGAGGCCTGTAATGCTCGGTGGCTCCCCGCTTTAGTTCTGTGAAGCTAGACCAGGGAATTCATGTGTTGCGTATCCTCTATAAAATCCCCTACCAACCTTGCCCTCTGCTGTCTGGTTAGCAGGAGGTACAATTTGTACAGCAAGGACATAATCTAAGCTTGACTTCTTGAACTGCCACCTCCCTTTAACTATTTTTCATAATATTGAGTTGGTATCCTAGCACTTGCATAGGTGACCACCACTCAGGTTTTCTTTTTTTTGAGTATTTTTATGAACTAACAGACTTTTATTGATTTGGTGTTTCTTTTCTTTTTTAGCTTTTTCCCCCTTTAATGTGTAAATATATACATTTAAAGGCATAAATGCCCTCAAGCATGCATTTAGTTGTATGTCACCAATTTCGATCTGCAGTATTTTGATTATTAACTGAACACATTTTCTAATTTTCATAGTCATTTTTTCTTAGAATTTTGGGTTACTTATAAGTGTATCTTGTAATTTTCAAATATGTGGATGAATATTTTTATTTTCTGTGTATACAGAGTCATTTTTATTTTATTTTGAATGAATTTTTGAAAACCTATTTGTAATTTAACTGCATTGTAGTCAGCACACATGCTCTGTAAGTTTATTTCTTTGAAATCTGTTGAGATTTACTCTATGGCCTGGCATGGCCCGATTTGGTATTCATGCTGCCTAGACTTTTTTTTTAAAGCATTCTATATTTAACAGAATTTGTATGTGTGGTATTAGTTTCAGAGCTAGGTATGTATTTCTCCCATTGTGATTGTGGATTTGTTTATTTCTGCTTGTAGTTCTTTCACACAGTTTGTTCTTTTCATTTTACCTGTTGATTGATCAATGGACTGATTCTGGTTTCTGTATATACAGAGTCATTTTTTACAGGTCAGAACTGTAGAAATAATGAGAAAGTGACACTTGTACGCATAGCTGATTTGGAGAACCATAATAACGATGGAGGCTTCTGGACTGTGATTGACGGGAAAGTGTATGATATAAAGGACTTCCAGACACAGTCGTTAACAGAAAATAGTATTCTTGGTAAGATTACACTTGTTATTTCCTGGTTAAAAGTTACAGCCTGTATCATTTTAAGCAGAGTATTTGGCTTATAAATGATTCCTTTAGTTTTGTGCCAGCCCCCGCATATTTTAATGTATCTGTGGCTTTGGTGTCTGTCTTATCAACAAATTCAGCACATTCGAAGAATTTCCTTTCATTATGTATCTTTTGTTTTAATACTTGGAACTCATTTCAAGTTCCGAGTTGGCCCAGGCAACCCTGGGAGACAGTGGGAGGTCATTATATTCTGGTAACCCTCACTTTTGAGTTAAGAGCCTAACTTATTTCCTACTCACTATTTCTCCTGTAGCTCTTCAGGCAAGCTGAATTGAACTCATGTTGCTTTTTCCCTTTTTGTTTCAGCTCAGTTTGCAGGGGAAGACCCAGTGGTAGCTTTGGAAGCTGCTTTGCAGTTTGAAGACACCCGGGAATCCATGCACGCATTTTGTGTTGGCCAGTATTTGGAGGTGAGGCTGTATGCCTTGAGTGATGCAGAGGATGGCAGGGGATACCCTCTGTGTGTTTGTGATAGGAATATTTGGATCTAGAAGTACTGATATCTGGGTCTTTTGTGGGTTTATGTGGTATCTGCTGTTACTTGGGCACAGCAGCATCAACTCATTACAGGATGGAGGGGCAGAATGCCCAGAGCACCCCTGGGCTCACGTGCGGTTACAGCTGCAGGACAGAGCTGTCCTTTTGGTTTTATGTTTTTAATTAATTCTGTTTCCTCAGATTGATGATGAAATTTATTTTTCCAGCCTGACCAAGAAATCGTCACCATACCAGATCTGGGGAGTCTCTCTTCACCTCTGATAGACACAGAGAGGAATCTGGGCCTGCTTCTCGGATTACACGCTTCCTATTTGGCAATGAGCACACCGCTGTCTCCTGTCGAGATTGAATGTGCCAGTAAGAAAATCTTTGCTTTTTGCTGATCAGCAGATTATTTTTTTTTGAACTGTAAGTGCCATTAAGAGTGGGAGAGGGCCAGGCACAGTGGTTCATGCCTGTAATCCCAGCAGTTTGGGAGGTTGTGGCACGTGGATTGCTTGAGGTCAAGAGTTTGAGACCAGCCTGGGCAACATGGCAAAACCCCATCTCTACAAAAAACACAAAAATTAGCCAGGCATGTTGGCACGTATTTGTAGTCCCAGATACTCAGGAGGCTGAGGTAGGAGGATTGCTTGAGCCTGGGAGGTTGAGGCTGCAGTGAGTCATGATCATACCACTGCACTCCAGCCTGGGTGACAGAGCAAGACTCTCTCTTTAAAAAAGCAGGAGATGGCCAGGCAGTGGCTCATGCCTGTAATCCCAGCACTTTGGGAGGCTGAGGCGGGTGGATCACCTGAGGTCAGGAGTTCAAGACCAGCCTGGCCAATGTGGTGAAACCCCATGTCTACTAAAAATGCAAAAATTAGCTGGGTGTGGTGACGGGTGCCTGTAATCCCAGTTACTCGGGAGGCTGAGGTAGGAGAATTGCTTGAACCCAGGAGACGGAGGTTGCAGTGAGCTGAGATCATGCCACTGCACTCCAGCCTGGGTGACAAGAGCGAGACTCGGTCTCAAAAAAAAAAAAGGAGAGGAGGATTCAACACAGTTGATGATGATAAAAATAATAATAATAAGGATAGTGAGACTCAATCAGGTAGAAACAGCTGTGAGTGGTTGTCATTTGCCCTCATGGTCTGTTGCTGCAGAGGAAGCTAAAAAGTGTGCAGGAATGTCTACCCGTCTGCCCTTGGTGGTCTCACGTATTGCAGCCTCTGCCTGATGGGCCCAGCATGGCTTTTGTCTCCCTGCATGCCCAGAAATTGCACAGAATGTGGATCAGCTGTCCTCTCAGGGAAGAGCATACTATTTGAGCACTGCGTTTTTACCAGACCAGGCTCAAGTCAGTTATATTTCAGGATGGCAGCCTTTGTAACCACCTAAAATAATAAGCTTCTTTCTGTCTCCTAAGATGTGTTTCCATTTTCCTTCATGTAGTTGTGCATTTCCCATCTGTCTGTCTGTCCATCCATGTGAGCAGCTTCTGTTGAGCATTTGCCTGGTGCCGTTACCATACGAGGTGTTCAGGATACAGTGATAGATAGGACACACCTCTGCTTTCTGGTGCCGTTACCATGCGAGGTGTTCAGGATGCAGTGATGGGTAGGACACGCCTCTGCTTTCAGCTGCTGCTTGTTGATGAGCCACCATTCTAAGCAGGTCACATTACAAGGTGGTGAATGGTGAAATGGAGATGTTCATACATGGTTCTGGGAGAAGAAAGGCTTCACATTGGCAGCAGTCCTGAAATTGCGTGAGAGAGCATTCGGGGCAGAAAACACAGGAGTGTCAAGGGCACTGCTGAGAGGAGCAGGGCTTTCCTGCTGCTTGCAGGAGTGGGTGTGGCAGAGGCTTGCAGGGAAGGAGGATCTTGGTGTCCATACAGCCCCCCGTTGGGCGGACCTTTGTGCAGTGCTAGGTGCTGGGCTGCCTGTGGTGCCCTCTGAGGTGTCTGCTTCCTTCCCTCCTCCTCAAGGTTCATTGCTTGCCAGAAGATGGGCTTTGTTTAAATTGGCAAGGAGGGCAGGGCTGGCGAGCTCCAGGGCAGAGGGTGCCATGGGCCCTGGCAGGTGGGTCCGATCCACAGGAGGATCAGAGGCTTATCTTGGAGCAGTAAGGAGGGGCTGTCCTGTGCTTAAAGAGAGGGGGCCAGAGAGAGTCGGCATTGGATTAGTGTTTCAGAAGAACGAATGTGGTGTGTTGGGGAATGCTCCTGAGTGCTCTAAAATCTAAATGTCCAGTAAAAGAACACTAAGTGCATCCCGCTTTGATTGCTTGGATTTGGAGCAGTATTTGATAACACAGATTGTTAATAGAGATCTGTAGTGGTGCACTCCCTCAAGTTGCCATAAGCAGTTGTAATTAACATTCGCACTGGTTGATCCCATGCCTTGCACCACGCACAGGTCTCCTTTCCAGTCCATCGGCCCTCCCATCTCCAAGGATCTATCCTTCATTACAGATTGTGTGTTTCTTAAATATTTTCTCCTTTTCATTCCTTTATAAGTGCTCTAGGAATACATAGCCTACCCTGAGGATGTAATTCTTTGTAGAAACCCTTCAGATGTGCTGTTCCCTGCCTGGATACTCAGCGTCTGGGTCTTATTCCTCATCTTAGCTCAGTTGTTGCTTCCACAAGTCCCTCACTGACCCTCAGAATAGCGGTGGTCTGTCTTCCAGTCTCCCTGGTACCCCCATAGTCATCTGTTGCACAGTTTCGGACTTGAAATCCTGTGATTAATTGTGTCAGCGGTGCCCTTTGCTGCCTTCCCTGTTAGAATGTGCACCTCAGTCTTCACACGGTACCTGTGGAACCAGGCAGCTGCAGGCAGAGCACAGGTATCCAGAGAATGTTGGACTGGAACTACGATCCTGAGTTCTGATGCCATGCCTGAGGCGTGTGGAATCACCAGAAAGTGTGTTCACGTAGATAGAGGAATTATAAGTCAACCTGTGTAAACATGTTAGGTGGAGCTCTTTCATATGAATGATGCTGAATTTCACCTTCTAAATTGAGTGTTCAGTTGAGCATCTTTTTTTTTTTTTAGTATTTATTTTGAGTTGTGCACTTGAGTTTCTCTTTCATGTTTGCGTGTGCATTTTCTAGAATGGCTTCAGTCATCCATCTTCTCTGGAGGCCTGCAGACCAGCCAGATCCACTACAGCTACAACGAGGAGAAAGACGAGGACCACTGCAGCTCCCCAGGGGGCACACCTGCCAGCAAATCTCGACTCTGCTCCCACAGACGGGCCCTGGGGGACCATTCCCAGGCATTTCTGCAAGCCATTGCAGACAACAACATTCAGGATCACAACGTGAAGGTGAGCTAGGCCTGCCCCCACTGCCACCTCAGTGCTCTGTTTATCTGAGGACTTTGACATAGGAATACTTATGTGCTCTTTGGTTAACACAGCACAGACTTTGTTTCATGTATTATTTGGAGGGTTTTGAGGTGAGAACCTGATTGTGTTAACATGCTAGCGAGGCTTCAGAAGCATTAGTGATTGCAAGTGCGTCAGAAGCTGTGGCATGTTTAAGATTTGTGAAGACTCACTGGGTTTCCCTGAAGTTACTTCCAGCTGTTCCTGTTGCAGGACTTTTTGTGTCAAATAGAAAGGTACTGTAGGCAGTGCCATTTGACCACACCGATCATGTTTCCCCCCGAGCATCCCGTGGAAGAGGTCGGTCGCTTGCTGTTATGTTGCCTCTTAAAACATGAAGATTTAGGTAAGGAGCTCAATATCTTTGTACTTTAGCTACACTGCAGATTCCTCGACTAACCTGTGGTACGTATTCATTCCTTCACTGCCCTTCTTTTAAATGTCTTTTTACAGGTCATGTGGCATTATCTTTAGTTCATGCAGGTGCACTTGGTATTGAGCAAGTAAAGCACAGAACGTTGCCTAAGTCAGTGGTGGATGTTTGTAGAGTTGTCTACCAAGCAAAATGTTCGCTCATTAAGGTGATAGATTTTAATTCTTTTTATTCTGTGCTTTGCAGACAGTTGCTGAAATATTTGTTGTTAAAGTTGTCTTTTCCTGGTTAACTTTGCAGACTCATCAAGAACAGGACCGTTCTTACAAGGAGGTCTGCGCTCCTGTCATCGAACGTTTGAGATTCCTCTTTAATGAATTGAGACCTGCTGTTTGTAATGACCTCTCTATAATGTCTAAGTTTAAATTGTTAAGTTCTTTGCCCCATTGGAGGAGGATAGCTCAGAAGATAATTCGAGAACCAAGGAAAAAGAGAGGTAAGAATGTAAAAGGACAGAAGATACTATTAAAGCTTGTGCTTCACCCTGCCACGTTGGATCTGTGATTTCAGAGTGAAGTTTCTCTACTGTTGATTCCATGTAACATTTCTACCTGCTGCCATCATTTTTATTATAGTTAGGATTAAATACAGACATCTCGCTTATTTTTCCAAATGATCAGACAATGAGGCAGTTTAGGAATTGAGTGTGGTATGATTTGATTACTAGTAAATTGATGTTGAAAACGTAAATAATCTTTGCTAAATTGATGGGAACAAGGAAGTACTTTTATTAGTTATCCTGGTAATGAGATATAATGGGAACATTTAAACTTATTGCCATTCTTCTAAAGAAATGTTTTTTGTTTGGAAATATTGAGTATTCTGATACATGAAGAACTATAAAGGGAAGCTAAAAGAGTTACTGACATTTTCCTGGAAGTAGCTGTGTAAGGGTACAGAAAAGTCTTTTTGCATTAAATCCAAATTTGAATAAAAATGCTTAGAAATTATAAAATAGTTTAGAATTTAGTCACTTGTGATTATAAATAAACTACAGAAATTTCTGATTATATCCTTTTTTTTTTTTTTTTTGAGATGGAGTCTTGGTCTGTTGCCAGGCTGGAGTGCAGTGGTGCGATCTCAGCTCACTGCAACCTCCGCCTCCCAGGTTCAAACGATTCCCCTGCCTCAGCCTTCCAAGTAGCTGGGATTACAGGCACGCGCCACCACTCCTGGCTAATTTTTATATTTTAGTAGAGACGGAGTTTCACCATGTTGGCCAAGATGGTCTTGATCTCCTGACCTCGTGATCTGCCTGCCTCGGCCTCCCAAAGTGCTGGGATTACGGGCGTGAGCCACCGCGCCTGGCCTCTGATCATATTATGACTTATACTGATTTACTCACAAACCTGCTTATTGAACAGTATTGATTACTGACTTTCTGATGGGCATTTTGAACAATAAGCTTATGAAAGACTAAAGTGTGTTAGAAGCCATCCTAATTTGATTGTTCCTGAACAAACCCTACACCATAACAGCCTGTCTGAATGCGAGGGGTGCTCTGGATCAGGAAGTCACAGCAGTCACACTGCTGCGATTCCTTTAACCCAGGCATGCAGGAACTCAGCCTGGGCCCAGGAGACAGGCTGCCTCGGAATGAGGGAGAGAGACTCCACATTTGCCATCTCATATCCGTGGGTTCTGAGCCCACACTGTCACTTTTAGAGTTTCTTGTGGGTTTATAGATTTATCGTGTGGTGTTTCAAGCTGGTTTTCTTTTTTTTTTGGAAATTAAGTAACTTGAAAAGATTAAGTGATTAATATTCCTGTTGCTGTGTCAGGGATCCCCGAGCCTTCTCTCAGGCTTGATGATTCACTAAAAGGACTCAGAAGAGCTGTTATAGTCACAGCTGTGTTTTTACTGCAAAAAGGATACAGATTAAAATTAGCAGAGGGAAGGGTGCATGGAGGGAAGTCCAGAGGAAACTAGGCACACGCTTTGGTGTCTCTCCCCAGTGGCGTCACGTGGATGTGCTTAGCTCTCCCAGCAACAGTGTCACATCATGTGTGAAGAATTGTCAACCAGGCCAGCGCACCTGAGCCTCGAGTCTAGAGATTTTGTTGGGGGCCAGTCACATACGCAGGCAGTGCCCCTGTGACTGACCTCACTCAGGCTCCAGTGCCCCAGTGCAAAAACAAGTGGTCCCTCGCAAGTCCCATCATTAGCATAAACTACCTGGCCAGACCACTGCCACAAGGTCCTGGGTGTCAGGTATACCAAAAAACTTCTCAGGCAGGATGTTCCAAGGGCTCAGAGCTCAGCTCCTAGAAGAAGGACCAATCCTGAAGGGACAGACCTTCCTTGGGAATTTGCAGGGTTTGAGCAACCCCGGCCTGCTATGTTAGCTCTTTACTGCCCAGATGTATTATCATGTTGCTTATTTTTTATATTATATGCTGAGGAGATTTAGACCAAAAATTTTAAAAGAGATAAAGTATAGGGAGGAAATTCCACATATCACAGTGAATTCAGTTGATTCAGTTACACAGTAACAGAACCACTGAACTGGACCAGGGTGGACAAGCCAGGAACTATGGGCCAAATTCTACCTCTTGCTGGCTTTGGGTTGCCCATGGACTAAGACCTTTTTTTTTTTTCCAGTTTGAAATTGTTATTTAAAAATTAAAAGAAGTATATTATTTTGGCACATGAAAATTACATGAAGCTAAAATTGTAGCACCATAAATAAAGTTTTACAGGAGCACAGCCACACCTGTTGCTTTATCTGTGGTTACTTTTTGTGCTACAGCAGCAGAGTTGAGTATTTGCGACAGACAGCATGGCCTGAAAGACTCAAATGTTCACTCTCTGGCACTTGAGGAAGAGCTTGCTGGCTGCCGGGCTTCCCCTGCTTCGGGGCTTCTCCCCTCGTCGCACTCTCACTTTGTCTTTTTGTTCTGCCAGGGTGATCATTTCACTCTTGTTGAGCATTGCAATTTATAATGTTGTTCAGATGTTTATTTGAATGAAATATTTGTCCTTCATGTAAATCTAAATATGTCTTAATTTAAAATTAATATTTAAGTGTATGATTTTTATAGTGAATGATGTTTTAAAACACAGTTCCTAAGAAGCCAGAATCTACGGATGATGAAGAAAAAATTGGAAACGAAGAGAGTGATTTAGAAGAAGCTTGCATTTTGCCTCATAGTCCAATAAATGTGGACAAGAGACCCATTGCAATTAAATCACCCAAGGTGCAGTATTTTCTGTGATTCTGAGGTTGGCTGAATAGAATCGTAGCATGTAGCACAGGAATCCACAGTCTTGTACCTCTGTACCTGAGCATCTGGAGGGAGGGACGGGCGGTTGTTAGAAATACGGCCCCAGTGATGCTTCATGAACTTGACTTATGATGTCCTGGTCAGAGCTGTAGCTGGAGAAGGGTTTCCTTTTATTTTTGGTATTAGATTGTATCATTAATTATTCACCATTCATTCCTTAAATATATTCTTTGTTCCAGAAACAGTGCTGGGCCCTGTGGCTGTTAATATGAACCATAACTTAACTTAGTATGCCAAGCTAGCCTGTTCCAACATATAGTATAGAGATTATAAATTCACTTATATTTATAGCATAGTTTTAAAAACATGTATTACTAAATTTAACGTATTTTAACCAATTTAAACCCATAAGCATTATTTATATTTTACTTGAATAACTTTTAGAGCACAGTTTATTATTAAATAGGGTAGACTAATGATGAAAATTGTTTTCCTTTGTTAGGACAAATGGCAGCCGCTGTTGAGTACTGTTACAGGTGTTCACAAATACAAGTGGTTGAAGCAGAATGTGCAGGGTCTTTATCCGCAGTCTCCACTCCTCAGTACAATTGCTGAATTTGCCCTTAAAGAAGAGCCAGTGGATGTGGAAAAGAGAAAGTGCCTACTAAAACAGGTAACATTTGATGAGAAATGCTTCTCTGCATTGGGTAATATACATAACACTTAACTGTATGCATTGATATTTTGCAGTTGGAGAGAGCAGAGGTTCGCCTGGAAGGGATAGATACAATTTTAAAATTGTATCTGGTGAGCAAGAATTTCTTACTTCCATCTGTGCCATATGCAATGTTTTGTGGATGGCAAAGACTTATTCCTGAGGGAATCGATATAGGGTAAAACGTTAGCATATTTTTTTCTTAATTAAGGAAGCTGTGGCAACAGAATGTTTTTCTGTAACAGTTAGAAGTCTGGCAGTGTCCCATGTCAAATTCTTTATCTTTATTTGAAAGGGAACCTCTTACTGATTGTTTAAAGGATGTTGATTTGATCCCGCCTTTTAATCGGATGCTGCTGGAAGTCACCTTTGGCAAGCTGTACGCTTGGGCTGTTCAGAACATTCGAAATGTTTTGGTGGATGCCAGTGCCAAATTTAAAGAGCTTGGTGAGTCAATAATTGTATCAATGTTATTTTATAGTTTGCCTTTAATTATATGTTGTGGAAACTTGCAAATGCCAATTTTTGGTTTTGAGAAGACTTTAATAAGTTTGTACTTTGTACTTGTATAATCTATGCTGCTGTCAGCTTTCTCAGATTTTAAACAAAACTTTAAAATTTAGCAGGAGACACAATGTTGAAGTACTCTAGTATAACATTTTTACATTTTGACATTTTTATGTGTATCACCACATATCCTAAAGTGTCTGTGTCCTATATTGATATTTATTTCCTGGATAGTTTGAGCATCTACAGAGAGTTGATTGGATTGATTTTATGGAGGAAAAGTGAGACATAACTTTTATATTTGAAATGGAAGGAATGGAATAGGGCACCGGTGTATTCAGAGAGCAACATACTAAGTCCTGTAGACAGATGGAACGACCTGTGCATAGAATGCAGGGGGTAGGCCCATCGTGCAGCATGACAGAGCTGCCCACTCTGTGGAAACCACTGAAAAATAGTCAGATGTTTAGAGTAATCGCCCGTGCCTTCTGCGTTACGTTTATGCTTGTATCCATGCGAGAGAAATGTCAGTGGGTGTCAAAATAGTCAGATGATTAGAGTAATTGCCCATGCTTTCTGCGTTACGTTTATTCTTGTATCCACGCACAAGAAATGTCAGTGGGTGTCAGTGCTTATTAGTCAGATGTTTAGAGTAATTGCCCGTGCTTTCTGCATTACATTTATTCTTGTATCCATTACAAGAAATGTCAGTGGGTGCCAATGCTCATTAGGTATCCAGCCGGTTCCCCTGCAAACCATCACCAATGAGAACCCATCGGGACCGAGCCTGGGGACCATCCCGCAAGCCCACTTCCTCCTGGTGATGCTCAGCATGCTCACCCTGCAGCACAGCGCAAACAACCTTGACCTCCTGCTCAATTCCGGCACGCTGGCCCTCGCTCAGACGGCACTGCGCCTGATTGGTAGGTCTGCACTGGCTTGAGAGCCTTTGGGAAAACGTCAAGATTTTGCTTTGATTTATTTTCTTTCTTTTTTTTAAAAAAAGCTTTTTGTAAATTATGGTAAGACACAAATAGCAGAAAGTGTAGCATTTTAACGTCGCAATTCAGCGGTATTAAATACATTCACAATTTTCTAGAGTCATCACCACTGTCTAGTTGTAGAACTTTTTCATCACTATAAATGCACCCCATTTAGCCATCAGTCCTCACTCCCCTGCTCTCCAGCCCCTGGTAGTCACAAATCTGCTTTCTCTGTCTATGGATTTGCATATCCCGGATATTTCATATAAATGGAATCATACCATTTGTGGCCTTTGTGTCTGGGTTATTTCATTTGGTATATATCAGTACTTTATTTTTATGGCTGAAAAAGATTTCATTGTATGAATATATAACATTTTGTTTACTCATTTATCTGTTGATGGACATTTGGGTTGGTTTTGCCTTTTGACTTTTGTGAATAGTGCTGCTAGGAACATTTATATACAAGTACTTGTTTGAACACTTGTTTCTAGTTCTTTTGATTATACACCTAGGACTGGAATTACAGGGTCATATGGTACAACTATGTGTAACTTACTGAGAAACTACCAAAGTTTTCCACAGTGCCATATCATTTTTACATTCCCATCACCAGTGGGCAGGATTCCAGGGTTCCAGTTTCTCTGCTTCCCTGCCAACACTATTTTTTGTGGTTTTCTTTTTTTTTTTGGATTAAGGCCATCCTAGCGGGTGTGAAGTGGTATCTCATTGTGATTTTGGTTTGCATTTCACTAATGATGAATGACATTGAGCTTCTTTACATGTTTGTGCTTGTTGGCCATTTGTATATCTTCTTTGGAGAAGTGTCTATTCAAGTCCCTTTCTCTTTATTTTTTATTTTATTTTTTTGAGACGGAGTCTCACTCTGTCGCCCAAGCTGGAGCGCAGTGGCACGATCTCGGCTCACTGCAACCTCCGCCTCCCGGGTTCAAGCACTTCTTGTGCCTCAGCCTCCCAAGTAGCTGGGATTACAGTCACACACCACCACACCTGGCTAACTTTTGTATTTTTAGTAGAGATGGGATTTCGCCATGTTGGCCAGGCTGGTCTGGAACTCCTGACCTCAGGTGATCTGCCTGCCTTGGCCTCCCAGAGTGCTGGGATAACAGGCGTGAGCCACTGCGCCCAGCCCCTTTCTCCTTTTTAAATAGGGTTATTTGTCGTCATCTTGTTGTACCAATAAATGCACTATATAAGTGTATCAAACCTTTAAAGAAGAATTAACACCAGTCCTCAGACTCTTTAAAAAGTTCGTGTATACTAGACCTTCACAGATCTGTAGACCTTTATCAGGTATATCATTTGAGGGTATTTTCTCCTGTTCTCTGGATTGTATTCCCTTAGATAGAGAAGTTTTTTATTTTGATGAAGTTCAATTTATCTGTTTCTCTTTTGTCGTCTATGCTTTTGATATCATATCCAAAAAGCCATTTCCAAACACAAGGTTGATGAAGATTATCCTCATGTTTTCTTCTGTAAGTTTTATAGTTTCAGCTCTTATATTTAGATCTTTGGTCCATTTTTAGGTAATTTCTTTTACACAGTGTGAGGTAAGAGTCCAGCCTTTTTCTTTTGTTGATCTGATTGTTTCAATACCACTTGTTGAGGACTGTTCTTTCCCTGAAGTTCTGGGTACCCTTGGCAAAAATCAGTTGGCTGTGGATATTTAGGTTTATTTCTGGACTCTCAATTACATTATCACATTCTATATGTTGATAATTGTGCAGGTACCGCCCTGTTTTGAACATTGTAGTTTTGTACTGTTTTAAAATTGAGAAGTGTGTTTTCTTTCTCAAGATGATTTTGGCTACTTTGGGTCCCTTGCATTTTCACATGAACTTCAAGGCTGGCTTTTCCATATCTGCAAAAAAAGACCATTGGGATTTTTGCTAGGGATTGAATCTGTAGATTGTTTTGGGGAATAGTGCCATTTTAACAATGTTAACATCCATTCTCTGAATGTGGAATGTCTTTCCATTTATTTCTGTCCTCTTTAATTTCTTTCAGCAATATTTTATTGTTTTACAGTTATCAGGGTAATAATGGCCTCATAGAATGAACTAGGTAGTGTTCCCATATATTCTGTTTTTAGAAGAGTTTGAGGATTGGTGTCAGTTCAGCTTTAAATGTTTGGTAGAGTTGACCACCTAAGCTTTTCTTTGTTGAAAGATTTTTTTTTTTTTTTTCTTTGAGACGGAGTCTCACACTGTTGCCCAGGCTGGACTGCAGTGGCGTGATCTCGGCCCACTGCAAGCTCCGCCTCCCGGGTTCACGCCATTCTCCTTCCTTAGCCTCCTGAGTAGCTGGGATTATAGTCGCCAGCCACCACGCCCGGCTAATTTTTTGTATTTTTAGTAGAGACGGGGTTTCACTGTGTTAGCCAGGATGCTCTCGATTTCCTGACCTCGTGATCCACCCGCCTCGGCCTCCCAAAGTGCTGGGATTACAGGCGTGAGCCACGGCGCCTGGCCTGAAAGATTTTTAATTACCGATTCAATCTCTTTACTTGTTATGGCTCTATTCAGATTTTCTATTTCTTCTTGAGTCAGTTTGGGTAATTTATGTTTTTAGGAATGTGTCCATTTTATCTAGGCTATTTTATTTGTTGGCATACAGTTGTTCACAGTGTTCTTTTATAATCTTTTTTATTTTTATGTTGGTAGTACTGTCTCCACTTACATTTCTGATGTTAGTTATTTGCATCTTTTCTCTTTTTTTTCTTTTTTTTTTTTTTTTTTTGAGATGGAGTCTCACTCTGTTGCCAGGCCAGAGTGCAGTGACACAGTCTTGGCTCACTGCAACCTCCGCCTCCCGGATTCAAGTGATTCTCCTGCCTCAGCCTCCCAAGTAAGCTGGGAGTACAGGCGCCTGCCGCCAGGCCTGGCTAATTTTTTTTGTATTTTTAGTGGAGATGGGGTTTCACCATGTTGACCAGGATGATCTAAATCTCTTGACCTTGTGATCCGCCCACCTCAGCTTCCCAAAGTGCTGGGATTAGAGGCGTGAGCCACCTTGACTGGCCTCTTTTTTTCTTAATTTACCAAAAGTTTGTCAGATTTTTTGTTCTTGCCAGAAACCGAACTTTTGGTTTTGTAGATTATTTTTCTATTCTCTATTTAATTTATGGCTGCTCTAATCTCTATCGTTTCCTTCTTTCTGCTTTGTATTTTTTTGTTTTTGTTTTTGTCTTTGTTTTGAGACAGGGTCTTACTTTGTCCCTCAGGCCCAAGTACAGTGGCGCACTCATGGCTCACTGCAGCCTCAACCTCCTGGGCTCAAGTTATCTACCTGCCTCAGCCTCCCAAAGTTGCTGGGATTACAGGTGTGAGGCACGACACCTGGCCTAACTTTGGTTTTTATTGTGTTCTTATTTTTTTAGTTCTTCCAGATGTAGAGTTATTGATTTGAGATCATCTTTTGTAAATGCAGACTTTTATAGTATAATTGCCCCTTTTAGCCCTGCTTTTGGCCCAGCACAGAAGTTTTGGTGTGTTGTGTTTTCATTCATCTCATAGTATTTTCTAATTTCCCTTGTGATTTCTTCTTTGACCCACTGATTGTTTACCATGTGTTGTTTAATTTTCATATACTTGTGAATTTTCCACTTTTCCTTTTGTTATTAATTTCTCATCATTTCCTTTTGGTTGGAGAAGGTAACTTGTATGATTTTCGTCTGTTTAAATTTGAGACTTTGTGGCCTAACATATGGTCTGGTCAGTCTAAGAGAGTGTCCTGTGGTATACTTGAGAAGAACGTGTATTCTGCTCTTTTTGGTGAAATGTTCTGTATATGTCTATTAGATCTGATTGGTTTATGGTGGTGTTCTTTGGCTAAAACTGAGATGCTGCAGGGCCAGTTGTCAAAGTCACAGTGAAAAAGCAAGGTTTTCCCAAGCTCTTATAATCACATCAGTTTTAGAGTTCACATTAATCCATTCAAAAATATGTATCAGGCCAGGCTGTAATCGTAGTACTTTGGGAGGCTCAGGCGGGTGGATTGCTTGAGCTCAGGAGTTTGAGACCAACTTGGGCAACATAGCGAAACCCTCTCTCTACAAAAAATACGAAAATTAGCTGGGCATAGTTGTGTGTGCCTGTGGTCCCAGCTACCTGGGAGGCTGAGGTGGGAGGATTGCTTGAGCCAGGGATGCAGAGGTTGCAGTGAGCGGAGATCAAGCCACTGCACTCCAGCCTGGGCTCCAGCCTGGGTGACAGAGTGAAATCCTGTCTTGGGGGTGGGTGGAATCTTTCTATCTATCTGTCTGTCTGTCTGTCTCTCTCTCTCTCTCTCTATATATATATATAATTATTTTTTAATTTATATATTATGTTTATATGTTGTATTATGTTAAATATATATTTTAATATGTGTATTACAGCTGAAAAGAATTATCTAGTAAGGGTTATATCTGATTTCCTGAGGCCTCATTAGCAACCAAAAGTTGCATTTAAAAATTACAAAAGCATATCTCCATCGAGAAATGGCCTTTTTATGTTGTCTACTTTTCCCCCAGAGGTTCCCATAAGTAAAAATCACAGCACAAATCATTAAGTATGGGGACTTGTTCTGTTGATAATATTCATGTGTTTAAATTTCATCTGGCCCACTGGCTGCAAAAAGCAAGGAAGTTGTGTCTCATGAATATCCGTCTATATTTGCAGCTTGCCCTGATCAGGGTATCCTTCTTATCATTTAAGAAATTATAAACATATAATATTTTATACCAGCTTAATGTATACATCCACATGTAACAGCCACAAAACATAAAGCTATGTAAAATAAAAAAATTCCCCCCGGTTTTGGTTGCAAATTTATTCAAGCCCTTAGCAATAAATTCAGTCTTTACAGAGTTAACAGTATAGCTGCCCAGGGGATCCTGGGAGATCCACCTGGAATGCAACTCCTGTCCCTTCCTTGGGGCTCCTTCCTGGGGGCCCTAAAGTAGCGGCTAGGCTAAAGGAAAGGCTGTTTCTGCTGCTAGTTTATCTAAAGTTTTGCTCCAGCCCTGGGAATTGAATATCCTTTTTTGTTCTCTTGGAAGAGAGAGAAACACAAACTTTTTACATTTTTTGGTCCACCCCAGCCCACCTTTGGGACTGTTTGGATCTTTTTCCCTCCCACCTGGAGGAGAAAACTAAAATCAAGGGAGTTACCAGAACCACACTCCTACCCCCTCTCAGTTTAGCAAGTGGGAAAAGGGGGGTTAAAAATCTAGCCTACTCTCCTAGGGTTAGCGCTCCTATTTTCAGATCCATTGGGAAGTTTTACTTCTCTCAGGTGACAGCAGCTCGGCTTCTGTTTTGTGCTATGGATGACTCTGTAGCCACCCAGGGCACCAATTGTCAGGGGTCTCCGAGACCACCCCCAGGTTTGATGGTTGGCCAGGAGGACTCACAAGACTCAGCATGTAGTTGTACTCAGGGCTATAGTTTATTACAGTGAAGGGACACAGAGCAAAATCATGAAAAAGGACATGGGTAAAGTCCAGAGGAAAGCAGGTACAAGCTTCCACAGGATCCACACAGGACGAGCTTAACTGCCCTGGCACCGAGCCGTGTCAAGTGCTGTCTGCCGGGAAGCTGGGTAGAGACTCCAGGCCCACGGTTTCCATCAGGACTGATCACACGGGCACCCCCTGCCTGGCGTGTACCAAGTTCCAGACTAAGGAAAGCAGGTTTCAGCACAGACCCCATTGTTTGTACAGACAGTTCAGGCACAGGGAACCACACCTACCACCTAGGGAATGGGGGAGCCCTCCTGAGATCCAGACTCCAGCTGAGGGCCAGCCTGCAGCAACCCTGTCTGAGGTTGTATCTCGGGCCAGCTGTTAGCTGTCTTCTGCACAGAACCATGATTAAAGTTTGTTAGTTTCCCACTGTTAGATATTTAGGTAGTTATCTTTGTTTTTCTATTAATAAAAAATGTGATGAGGATCTTTCTAACTCAGTTATTTTGCTTTTTTCAGGGGAGTAATTCCTAGAAGTAGAGAAAGTAGCTTTACTGAGCATTTTAATATCTTTTATATCTTCCTAGGATATTTATGTATTTCATCCTTCCGTTTATCTTCTTTTTATCCTATATCAGTAAAATATTCATAATATTATATTGATAAAACATATAGTATGGATTGTTCAAAATTACGATCTTCATTAGTACTTTGTGAATGTTTTGTGTGTATTAAGGGGACACTGTAGCTACTTGTTGGCTCAGCTATTGTTTTTGACGCTCCGTCAGGCCCCAGTTGTGACAACGTTGAGGAAGATATGAATGCTTCTGCTCAAGGTGCTTCTGCCACAGTTTTGGAAGAAACAAGGAAGGAAACGGCTCCTGTGCAGCTCCCTGTTTCAGGGCCAGAACTGGCTGCCATGATGAAGATTGGAACAAGGGTCATGAGAGGTGTGGACTGGAAATGGGGCGATCAGGTACTCAGAGATTTGATGTGAACACATTAGCCACACATTAGTTATCTTCTGCATAGTTCTGTACGATATTGGTGGGTGGAAATTGGAATAATCCAGGATGTGTCAGTTGATCGATGACACAGGTGTTGGTTCCCGAGCAGCTGAAGGGAGTGAACACAAACAGGGAATCATAAGTAGGGCATCTGAGCAGAATCAAGTCTGGAAAGAGAGGCAGCTCTTTTCAGGAAACTCACTGGCATGAGGCTCAGTTTGATGGGTCACTGGAACAAGAGTGTGAGAGTGAGCAAGAGAGTAAATCTCATTCTGAAAGTTGGTGTAGTGAAGGCTCTGAGGCAGGAAGCCCAGATGCTGCCCCTGTGGGCTGATGGCCATGTGCTGCGAAGTGCCCTGAAGCCAGTAGTTAGGGATCTACTTCATGGGCCTGTGGCCACGTTTCCATCTTCCCTCATCGCAGGTCTCTTCTAAATCTCTGCCAGGTGCCCCCAGGTGGAAGTCACTTACCACAGCCCTAGCTAAGTTAGGGCAGTGTTCACCTTCCCATGGTCTGTCTGGCTTTTCTCAGCCACGCTGGTAAGCCCTGGCTTTGTCACAGTCATCTTAGAAATAGCAGTGTCTGGAGACAGCATCCATCCTAGAAACAGCTTTCTCCTGCAGAAGTGAGAGACAGAGCTTCCCCCTGGGGCCCAGGGGAAACTGAAGCAAAGGGAATGTGGAGGTGCTGGTGCTTGTTTCAGGTTTCCGCTCTTGCAAGGCCCGTGAGGGATTGTGGGGACAGGACTTGCTGCAAAGCCCTGTCTCTGCATTGACTCAGAGGATCCTCATTGAGATGAGATTTCCCCGACTTCCTTGGTAAAGCAGCATGAGCACGTTATTTTATGCCATTTAATTTAAAATGATGCAAGCACACATTTTGTAGGAGAGGTGAAATCTGTGTCTGGGGACAGCCCCTGACAGACAGGGTGGCATATGGCGACATCTGTGTGGCAGGTCTGGTGGGAGCCATGGAAGGACCAGGGCAGGGCACGCACCCTCCTAACTGAGGTCTGGTGGGAGCCATGGAAGGACCAGGGCAGGGCACGCACCCTCCTAACTGAGGTCTGGTGGGAGCCATGGAAGGACCAGGGCAGGGCAGGCACCCTCCTAACTGAGGTCTGCTGGGAGCCATGGAAGGACCAGGGCAGGGCACGCACCCTCCTAACTGAGGTCTGGTGGGAGCTATGGAAGGACCAGGGCAGGGCACACACCCTCCTAACTGAGGTCTGCTGGGAGCCATGGAAGGACCAGGGCAGGGCATGCACCCTCCTAACTGAGGTCTGCTGGGAGCCATGGAAGGACCAGGGCAGGGCACACACCCTCCTAACTGAGGTCTGCTGGGAGCCATGGAAGGACCAGGGCAGGTTACGCACCCTCCTAACTGATCTCTACTTTGGCTTTCTCAGGATGGGCCTCCTCCAGGCCTAGGCCGAGTGATTGGTGAGCTGGGAGAGGACGGGTGGATAAGAGTCCAGTGGGACACAGGCAGCACCAACTCCTACAGGATGGGGAAAGAAGGAAAATACGACCTCAAGCTGGCAGAGCTGCCAGCCCCTGCACAGCCCTCAGCAGAGGATTCGGACACAGAGGACGACTCTGGTGGGTGACTCAGGAAGGTGTTTAGTCCAAGGCAGCCTACAAACTGTCCAGTTGCTGGGTGCTGCCACTGCCATCTGGGCCTTAGAATGGGATGTCAGGACACACCTGCAGCTGGCGCTCTGTCCTCGGAACCTGTAATTTAAATAAGCTCCCAGGCACCTCCGATGCAGGTGTGTGGAGTGACTGTGGGATCCGGCGATCTGGCTGGAACTGACTTTCTGCATTTTCCTCTCATGTGTGCACCCGCCCCTCTTTGAGAATGTGGTGGCCAGGTGGGGGCAGCTGCATCACCAGTGAGTCTCATGTGGTTGGTGCTGAGCCTGCATCTGAGCGAGTGAGCCGAGGCCTGGTGGAATTGCCCTGCGGTCTCGGTCCATCGCGTCCTCCTCCAGTGAGAGCCCCTGCCCAAGCACACCCCACCTGCCACCTGCCTTTACCTTTCCTCTGTGGTCCCTGACTCTGAACTCTTCATGTAATGTGGAGTTAGTCAGCACTTTATCGCTTCTAGGGAAGCAGAGGTGAGAATTTAGGGGTGGACCAAGAAAGCTAGATCCTATCTGTGGAGATCCAGGTTGTGGGAGGAGGTTTCGTGACATTTCTTAGCTGTTCCTAAAACACGTGAAGCTTCACATGGTTGGGCTTGGTAAGACCATCCAAGAGGCTGGGGCTGCCAATATAATTTGTAATTTTGATTATTTTTTTTAGAAGCCGAACAAACTGAAAGGAACATTCACCCCACTGCAATGATGTTTACCAGCACTATTAACTTACTGCAGACTCTTTGTCTGTCTGCTGGAGTTCATGCTGAGATCATGCAGAGTGAAGCCACCAAGACTTTATGCGGACTGCTGCAAATGTTAGTGGAAAGCGGAATGACGGACAAGACATGTATGGAATGAGAGATCGAGGGCCCAGGGAGTCAGCGCTGGGGGCCGCACGCTTGTCGTGTCTGGGTGTGCATGTGGGTGGGTGTGGATGTGTGTGGATTCCTTTCCTGTGGCTGCTGTAACAAAGTATACAAACTTGGGGACTTACACAGTAGAAATTCTCACGGTTCTGGTGGCTGGAAGGCTGAGATCAAGGGTAGTTCCTTCTGGGGCTGTGAGGGAGAAGCTGCTTCAGGGCTCTGCCCCAGCTTCTGGAGTTTACTGGTCTCTTTAGCGTTCCTCGGCTTGTAGAGGTGTCACCCCTATCTCTGCCGTCATCTTCACATGGCATTCTCCCTGTGTGTGAGTCGCCTCCAAATCTCCCCTTTTCATGAGGACATCATTCAACCTCATCAAACTGATTACATCTGCAGCGACCCTATTTCCAAACAAGGTCACCTGCCGAGGTACGATAGGGGTTAGGGCTTCAACATACGAATTTTGCAATTCTGAATTCAACCCGTAACACTGGCTTCAAACAACAAATTTGTTCTCTCAGAGTTCTGGAGACCAGAAGTCCCAAATCCAGGTGCGGGCAGGGCCATGCTTCTTCCACAGGCTCTAGGGGAAGGTCCTTCCTTACTTTGTCCAGCTTCTGGGAGCTCCAGGCTTCCTTGGTGTTGGGACGCATTGTGCCAGTCTCTGCCTGCGTCTTCACATGGCCCCTGCCCCTGTGTTCTGCATGTCCTTTTCTGTCTCTGAAAGGACTCTTTCATTGAGTTTCTTTGACTCTAATCCAACATGATGTCACCTAAATTCTTACCTTAATGACGTCTACAGAGACCTCATTAAATAAGATCATATTCTGAGGTTCCGAATGTATGTGAAGTTGGAGGACAGGCACAGTTTAATCCATAAAGTGTTTGTGTGTGTGGAGAGTAAGTATGAGAAATGTGAGCTGAGGGAGTGGGGTGAGTGTGCATGTGACTGCGAGTGAGCACATGTGAGTGTGGGTGGGTATGTGGGCGTCCTCCAGTGTGTGTGTGAGAGCATGCGTGTATTAGTGGTGTGCTGGAGCGTCCGCACATATTGATGAGAGTGAGTGTGTTAGTGGTCGATGGGCAAGTGGCTGAGCGTTTGTGTTGCAAGTGTGATGGTGTGTTTGTAGCATGTGGTTGTGTGGGTGTGTGTCCATGAGAGCATGTGAGTGGGCAGGTGACTACATTCAGGTGAAGTGGGAGTGAAAGCGTCAGTGCATTGAGCCAGTGTGTGTGTGAGGGTGAGCACGAGGGAGGCATGAGTGTGAGTGTGAGGGGATTACTGGGTGTGCGAATGAGACACCCAGTGTAAGTGTAAGTCAGTGAGGGTTGGTGAGTGTGAGGAAGTATGAGTGGGTGGCAGGCACAAGTGTAAGTGTGCGATTGAGTGCGAGCATTTGTGTAAATGTGTATGAGTGCCTTGTGTCAGTGTGAGCACGAGTGATGTTATTGTGAATGCGTGTGAGTGAATGTGAGCATTTTGCTTGTGTCAGTGAATGGGAGGTTATAACAGTATAGGTGTGAGTGTAAAGTGAGAAAGTGTGTGGGTAAAGGTGTGAGTGGGTGAGTAATCGGTCGTTACTAGTGTTGAGGAGTGTGAGTGCATATGTGAGTTTTTGTATGCATTGGGAGGGGTAAGTGTATGTGAGAGTGCATGGGAGTGTGTGTCAGCTTGCATCTGTTTGTGCATACGTGTGACTGGGATTGTGTGTGTGTTAGTGATTGCGACAGTGGTGTGAGTGCACCTGAAAGTGTGAGGGTGGGTGTATGAGTGCCCATGAGTGTGTCTGAATAACTTAGTATCAGTGTGAGTGTGAGGATGCATATGAGGGTGTGAGAGTGAGTGTGTGTGTGTGTGAGCGCATGTGAGTGTGCTGAAGGAAGGCAGGTGTCCTCATAAGCTTGGATAGCTGAGGGCAGGGTGGGGGAGGTGGGAGGGAGAGCAGGTCCTGTGGGGCTGTGGGCGGGGTCCCTCAGGGGGCCCAGCCTCCAAGCCTCAGCCTCCATTCAGGGAGTAGTGGAGTCCTGGAGCCAGGCGGAGCAGAGGTGGGCCCACTGGTGCTAGAATCCAGTGGTGTAAACCTAGTGAAAAACTCATTTTGTTAATGCAGATGCATTAAACTTGGATTGGAAACTGTCTCTACTAAAATTACAAAAAGAGTATTTAAGTGGTGCAGATTAAATATAAGCAAGATTGTGGAGATATTTAAAACACGAAATTAAAAATATAATAGATGCACTGTTGCAAATTACTATTTGAATTATAGATCATTTTCCTATTGCCTAGAAACAATACATAGCTAAAATTCCCTAACTACTTTTACGACACATATTTAGAAGGTTTTAAAAATGCCTGTAGTCCCAGCTATTCGGCAGGGCAAGGCAGGAGAATCACTTGAGCCCAGGAGTTTTAGACCAGCCTGGGAAACACAGTGAGGGCCCATCTCTAAAAAAAACAAAAAAAAAAGAAAACTTCGGAAATGTTTCTTGAACTAACTTAAAAGCCGCCTTCCACTTCTCACTTTGAATTAGTTTGAATTAATTTACAAACTGCAATATATTTTAAAGGAGCTTATTGTAGAAAATAAGTTGATAAAAAAATAAGGATATATCTTTAGGGATTTGTCTTTAGGGACTTGTTACCAAGCATGTCTATTTTCCCTCCTGCAGCTTCTCCAAACAGGCTGGTGTACAGGGAGCAACACCGGAGCTGGTGCACGCTGGGGTTTGTGCAGAGCATCGCTCTCACGCTGCAGGTGTGCGGCGCCCTCAGCTCCCTGCAGTGGATCACGCTGCTCATGAAGGTCGTGGAAGGGCACGCACCCTTCACTGCCACCTCGCTGCAGAGGCAGGTAATGTGCTGCCAGGCAAAACCAGTTCCCTGAGAGAGGCCTCCATGTACTGAAGTTCCCTGCCCTCAGAGTCAGGGGCCTTTATTCAGTAACGAGTGCAGAAAGGGTCTAGAAGTGACAGGGTAGATTTTCTGGAGGCAAGGGGCAGAGGTCCTTGATAATTGGTAAGTTGCTAACCTTCAGTTTACCTGCTTTTCTCTTAAGTGGTAAATCCTGCAACTACTTACTCATCTGCTTCACAGAATTTGTAGTGTAATTGTCTTAAGAATTAAACTAAAAATAATTCTTTTTTAATTAAACACATGCATCTGTAATGTTGCTTTTTTCTAAAGTCCCTGACAATCCTAATCACTAATCAACTTGAGTGTAATTACCTGGCTGTAAAATAATGAATCTCAAAATTTTCACATGATTACTTGCATTATGAGAACAGAAAATAAAGAGAGGCTGGGCGCAGTGGCTCATGCCTGTAATCCCAGCACTTTGGGAGGCAGAGGCAGGTGTATCATGAGGTCAGGAGTTTGAGACCAGCCTGGCCAACATAGTGAAATCCTGTCTCTACTGAAAATCCAAAAAAAATGAGCCGGGCTTGGTGGTGAGTGCCTATAATCCCAGCTACTCAGGAAGCTGAAGCAAGGAGAATCGCTTGAACCTGGGAGGTGGTGGTTGTAGTGAGCCAAGACCGTGCCACTGCACTCCAGCCTGGGCGACAGTGCGAGACTCTGTCTCAAAAAAAAAAAAAAAAAGAAAATAACAATCTGTAGTTTCCTCATCAGATTTTTTTTAATGCTTGTCATTGTAAATTTTCTTTTATCAGATCTTAGCTGTGCATTTGTTGCAAGCAGTCCTTCCGTCATGGGACAAGACCGAAAGGGCGAGGGACATGAAATGCCTCGTGGAGAAGCTGTTTGACTTCTTGGGGAGCTTGCTCACTATGTGCTCCTCTGACGTGCCGTTACTCAGAGGTGAGTGGCCGTCTCCTTTCCCTGTGCCCTGGTGAAGAGCGGTGCAGCAGCTTCTCCCCTGGTTTCCTCCTCAGAGTCCATGCTGAGGTGGCGCAGGGTGTGCCCGCAGGCCTCGCTGACTGCCACCCACAGCAGCACACTGGTGGAGGAGGTGGTGGCACTGCTGCACACGCTGCACTCCCTGACTCAGTGGAATGGGCTCATCAACAAGTACATCAACTCCCAGCTCCGCTCCATCACCCACAGCTTTGCGGGAAGGCCTTCCGAAGGGGTGGGTTTGTGTTCTCAGAATTAATTTAGTTGAACAGTAAACCTGTAGGGATTGGGCAGCTCCGTGAGTGTCCCCGGTCGAGCTCGCTGTTTGGTCTGCACTAGGCCCAGTTAGAGGACTACTTCCCCGACTCCGAGAACCCTGAAGTGGGGGGCCTCATGGCGGTCCTGGCTGTGGTTGGAGGCATCGATGGTCGCCTGCGCCTGGGTGGCCAAGTTGTGCACGATGACTTTGGAGAAGTCACCATGACTCGCATCACCCTGAAGGGCAAAATCACCGTGCAGTTCTCTGACATGCGGACGTGTCGCGTTTGCCCATTGAATCAGCTGAAACCAGTAGGTGAACTTGTGCTTAGTTACTGCATGATAAGGGAAATTGACTTTACACTAGAACCGAGCACCAACATCAGCACTTGAAAGAACTTGATTCTGGTACTTGAAGTTTGCCTTCCAGGAAGCTGTGTGAGCTTGTGCTTCTGTGGTAAGCAGGGCCTGTCTCACAGGGCACTTAAAGCAGTGGTTCGTGTGTATTTCAGCCTCAGAGACACGAAGAGGGCTTTAGCAACCTAGAAGGTACCGTGCATCTATGAGGTAGTTCTAATTATTTTAAAATGTGAATTTATGAAGTTTACTTTTTATTCAACAACTCAAGTTTTAAAAAAACAAACATGTTTAAACACCTTTAAAAAAACAGCCTTTCTTCATGTAGAAAATGCTTAGTAGTTTTGAGTGACGTGACTTAATGTAGCAGCTACTGTCATCTTAATCTGTGAATCAAGGATGCACAGGGAGAAGGAGCCATTTACATTATTCTGATGTAACCCAAGTGCAATCTTACTATATATTCTTTTTCTTTTTTGTTTTGAGATGGAGTCTTGCTCTTGTCACCCAGGCTGGAGTGCAATGGCACAATGTTGTCGGCCCTCTGCAACCTTTGCCTCCCGGGTTCAAGCGATTCTCCTGCCTCAGCCTCCTGAGTGGCTGGGATTACGGTGTGTGCCACCACGCCTGGCTAATTTTGTATTTTTAGTAGAGATGGGGGTTTCACTATGTTGGCCGGGCTGGTCTCAAACTCCTGACCTCAGGTGATCCGCCCGCCTCGGCCTCCCAAAGTGCTGGGATTACAGGCATGAGCCACCGTGCCCGGCCTGACTATATTTTCTATAAAGCACTCTTTTTTATTATTATAGGAATATATACATGTTGTAGAAAACTTGAAGTATATAGAAAATATCTGAGAAGATAGTAACCACCACACTGATGTAATTATTGTTGACAGGTTTGTAAAGAAAAATTAATATAGATTATACTTATTATATGTGTAAATCTCTATCCTGCCTTTAATGTCATTTTAAAAAATGATTATTCTCAGCTATAAAAAGGCTTACGGGTATGTGTGGCATTTCAGGATTAAGCCCATGGTTTTGATGACTTTCAGAACGTTTCATTTGTTAGTCATATTGGCCACACTCTGACAGCTTCTGTGTCCTCTCCAGCTCCCTGCCGTGGCCTTTAATGTGAACAACCTGCCCTTCACAGAGCCCATGCTGTCTGTCTGGGCTCAGTTGGTGAACCTCGCTGGAAGCAAGTTAGAAAAGCACAAAATAAAGAAATCGACTAAACAGGCCTTTGCAGGTCAGTACATGGCGCTTCTTGATGAAATAGCTGCCATCTTAAACTCGTGTCGTTTGTACAGTGTTCTTTTATGAGTGAATTCACGGACATACCAAAGTCCTGGGGTTCACGTGGGCTCACCATTTGTTGAGTTGCGGTTGGGAATGTAACCCTGTGTTCGTGGTAATGAGTATTTTCGAGTCAGCCTTTGTCGCCATGTTCGGAGCCACACTTGAAGAACCCCATGGCTCACACCCTCTTCTCCGTGTCACCCTTTATCCCGGAAGAGAAGTCTGTTCACCTCTTCCCTCCTCCCCTCCATCCCAGGGCCCTGTGGCCCCGTCACCCTGTTGGACCATGGCTCACAGCCTGTTCTCTGCCGGATCCAGGGGCCTCTGTCCCGGAAGCGCCTGGCTTGCCTGTGACATTCAGGATGGCTAAGACTGTGACTGTAGCCTGGCTTGGCTTTGCCTTCCTTCGGGTCTAGAATGCGGCTCTCCTGAGTTTGTTTCCATGTTTCTAGGGAGCTCTTCTCTCTGCTCATTCTTTATGTCCTGGAAGTCTGTGTGGCTTCACCCATAACTATGGCATATTCTGCCCAGTCTTCTTGAGTTTTCTCCCCTCTTGCTCCCACAGACCTACGATTGCTGCTTCAGCATATATGATGTAAGCACTTTCAACTCTGGATCTCCCATTCACATCTCTGGTTGGAGGTGCAGTGCATGCAAATCACCACATGTCCGAAATTCAGCTGGCTTTCTCTAGTAGCTGCCGTTTCCCATCGTGGTGAATAAACCTGTCTGCCAGTTAGTTGAGCCAGTGTCCGAGCGGCACCTGCGGCCCTCCTTCCTTCCCACCCCATGCTCTCTGTGCTGCTTCTGCGGCCTCTGCTATCAGATAAGCCTTGGGCATTGCTGCGATCTTCATCAGTTAAAGAGCTAGTGGGGCTGACAGATTCTCTCAGAGGAGTCTTAGAAGAAGAGTGGAAGCGGCTGAAACTTCAGCAACTTGGGGAACATTTGATCATATTAATAGTAGCTAACATGGTTCTAACCGTGTTAAACCCATTGAATCCTGCGTCCTATCAAGTTAGGTGCCTGGAGAGCAGGGAAGGAAGACCCAGGAGGCAGAAGATGCTTACCCAGAAGCACCGAGTGTAACTCTGGGAAAGGCAAGCCCTTCGTCACGGACAGTGTGTGCGGTCGGCAGATTCCTGAAGGGCAGAGCGTTACTCGTCGCCATGTGGCGGAGGCTTGCTGCTGGCGAGGAGGGAGTCTGAGCAGGGCACGCCCTTCTCACTGAGTCTTTCCTTCCGCAGGACAAGTGGACCTGGACCTGCTGCGGTGCCAGCAGTTGAAGCTATACATCCTGAAAGCAGGTCGGGCGCTGTTCTCCCACCAGGATAAACTGCGGCAGATCCTGTCTCAGCCAGCTGTTCAGGAGACTGGAAGTGTTCACACAGGTGTCTTTTTAAAAAGTTCTTAAATCTTTATAAGAAGGGCAGTAGAAAGTAGACAAAGGAAGTGAATAATCAGTTCATAAAAATGGACATAGGTGGCTTATAAATGTACAAAACAGACACGTGGCCTGCCCAGCAACCACCAACTGTGAATAAAATTGTCATCGTCATCTTATAAGACAAGACTGAGGGCATCTGGTGGGTGGGGAGGGAAAAAGGTATTTTCATGCCTTCCCATTTAAAGTGTGCTGCATGGGTCAGCAAGACTGGTGGCACACAGGTATGTGTTAGAAATGCAGACTCCCAGGCCGCACCCCAGACCAAAGAAATAGAGCCTGTATTGTAACAAGATGAACCTAAGCTGATTCTTCAAATGCGCGTAAAGCCGCACTCCATGAACACGCTGCTGCTGGGAATTTCAGTTGGTGTAGCCATCTAATGGGCATCTGAGGAAATGAGTTGGACTTTGAAATGCATAGATGTATGTATGTATTTATATACTTTGGCCCAGCAAGTCATTCTGTGGGACTTTATCACACGAAAAGGCATGTAAAGATAATGTATTCACCACCTGGGCACAGTGGCTCATGCCTGTAATCCCAGCACTTTGGGAGGCCGAGGCGGGCGGATCACGAGGTCAGGAGATAGAGACCATCCTGGCTAACACGGTGAAACCCCATCTCTGCTAAAAATACAAAACATTAGCTGGGCAAGGTGGCAGACGCCTGCAGTTCTAGCTACTCGGGAGGGTGAGGCAGGAGAATGGCATGAATCTGTGAGGCGGAGCTTGCAGTGAGCCGAGATGGCGCCACTGCACTCCAGCCTGGGCAACAGAGCAAGACTCTGTCTCAAAAAAAAAAAAAAAAAAAATTGGCGGGGCATAGTGGTGGCTGCATGTAATGCCAGCTACTTGGGAGGCTGAGGCAGGAGAATCACTTGAACCGGGGGTTGCGGAGGTTGCCGTGTGTGCGGATTGCAGGGTGCAGATTGTGCCACTGCACTCCAGCCTGGGTGACAGAGTGAGACTTCGTCTCAAAAAAAATAATAAATAAAAATAATGTATTCAACAGTGTCGTTATGGCCTCCTTTTTGGTATTGTTTTTGTATTGAAAAACTGTAGACACCAAAATACCCATTCTTATGTTGTGTATCCGTACAGTGTGATATCATGGTGCCATTCAAAATGATGGTACATGTATAGTCTTCCCTCAATATCCATGGGGATGAGTTCCAAGACCCCCAGTTATACCAGAATTCACTAATGCTTAAGGCCCTTCTATAAAATGGTGTAGTATTTGCATATAACCTATGCACATCCTCCGAAATACTTTAAAAATATAAATGATATATAGGCTGGGTGCGGTGGCTCACGCCTGTAATCCCAGCACTTTGGGAGGCTGAGGTGGGCAGATCACGAGGTCAGGAGATTGAGACCATCCTGGCTAACACGGTGAAACTCCATCTCTACTAAAAATACAAAAAATTAGCTGGGCGTGGTGACGGGTGCCAGTAGTCCCAGCTACTTGGGAGGCTGAGGCAGGAGAATGGCATGAACCCAGGAGGCGGAGCTTGCAGTGAGCCGAGATCATGCCACTGCACTCCAGCCTGGGTGACAGAGCGAGACTCTGTCTCAAAAAAATAAATAAATAAATAAAAATAAAATAAAATAAATGATATGTAAATAGTTGTTATTGCTATTCTTTTTAAAATTATATTTTAAAAAATTGTTTTATTCTGAATATTTTTGATGTGTGGTTTGTTGAATCTTTGGATGCAGAACCCATGGATACGGAGGGCTAGCTGTATATGTTTATTGCTGTGGAAACATGAAAACAATAAGTGAACAGAAAAGCACACTGCTATGTATATCCGTTTATAGATATGCCATAGTTATCTGTTTAGCAAAACAGTGACCCAGTAATCTTTGGTGGAATTTTGGCTGTCTTTATTTTCTTTATATTTCTCTATATTTAGTTTTCTAGAATGAGCTTGTGTTACTTTTAATAGAAAAAAACATTTTTTGATCTCCAACTATTGAAAGACATTATGCTAAGTCTTTTGCGGAGAAGTCCTTTTCTATGATCATTGCTCTCTAGGGTTTGGATGAGGAGAGGAAGTGAATGCAGATGGCTCTCTTTGTTCTCTGGGGCCAGGGGGCGGTGAGGCATGTGAGTGGTTCCACAGGCGTCTGGAGCCAGTGGCAGCTGAGCACTGGACGGGCAGCCTTTGAAGGCTGTGGCAGACAGATGCCAGCAGACAAGCACTCTGCTGGTGGTGGAGGCAGGAGGAGAGGAGTGAACGTGGTGAGTCTTTGGAAGCACGTTGAGCAGCTCTCCTCTTCTTGGAGCTCAGGGTTTTTCGATGAGTGGTGGGGCTGAAGCTAGATGGGCAGCTGACATCCTGTTACAGAGTACCTGGGAGACCAGGGTGAAACTTGAGGCCCACTTGGAAAGCTGTGGTAGGGGCCACATGGTAAGCATTGACCTTCGGGTGATACACCTGCTAGGAAGGTATAGGAGTATCTGAAACAGGAGATGACAGAGATGGAGAATTGCTCCTGCGTCAGGTGATGAGGGGGAAGGCATGAAAAGGGAAAGAAGGTTCTGGTGGAAGGAAGGTGCCATCCACTGTGATGGTGTAGTCTTGTAGATGATAACTTTATGGGGAACCAGCAAAAAGTGGAAGGTGACTGCTGTTTCAAGCTTGAGTTGAGGGAGGAATATTGAGTAGTGTGTTTGAAACAAATAAGTCCAGTAGAATGTGGAGTGTGTGCGTTTGCTTCTTAAGAGGAGAGGATGCTATGAAATTAATTTTAAACCTGCTGAGGATGAAAGAAATCAATTGAAAGTATAGAATCAATTAATAGTAGAGGTCGTAGGGAACATGAAGATTTCCCAGTTGTAGAGATTGGGAGATTGGAGCCTGGGAATTGGATTGGCTGTTCTGTTCTGCACTCAGCCCGATGAGCAATTACAGCAGACCTGAATCAGGATGATCAAGTCTGTGCTTTGGGCCGAGCAGGGACTCCGAACAGAGCTAGATTGACAAAACTGCCGTGCACCTGTTTTTGTAAGTTTTTATGGGAACACAGGCACACCACTTGTTTACAGATCGTCTCTGGATGCTTTTGCTCTGCAATGGCAGAGCTGAGTAGTTGGGACAGAGACTGTACAGCCCATCAGCCTAAACTATTTACTCTCTGGCCCTTTAAGAGAAAGATTTCCAGCTCCTGGTCTAGTTAGTTGAAATTGTCACTGAAGAAAACCAGCACATGCAAATGCTGTGAGTACCTGGATGAGTACCTAGATGTGTGAAGTGGGCTTGAGCGCAGTGGATCTCCCTGGGGCTGTGTCAAACAGAGTCCTAAAGGCTGCACCTAAAGCTACTCATAACAGACAAAAAGCCATCACCCTGAGCACATGACACATTTGGAATTGGGGTCACTTAATGATCTCAACAAGGCTTAGCTGGAAAAGCTACAGCTAGAAATATGCACATGGGATGTGTCTGTGTCAGGGGTTACTGAAGCCGTGAGTGAACATGAAAGAGAGTGTGTAGGTCAGGCATGGTGGCTTACGCCTGTAATCCCAACACTTTGGGATGCCGAGGCGGGTGGATCAGGAGTTGGAGACCAGCCTGGCCAACATGGTGAAATCTAATCAACAGCCTGGCCCCATCTATACTAAAAATACAAAAATTAGCTAGGCGTGGTAGCATGTGCCTGTAGTCCCAGCTACAGGGAAGGCTGATGCAGGAGAATCGCTTGAGCCAGGAGGCAGAGGTTGCAGTTTGCCAAGATTGTGCCACTGCACTCCAGCCTGGGCAACAGAGTGAGACTCCATCTCAAGAAAAAGAGAAAGAATCAGACCAAGTGCAGAAATCTGGGAAGGAGCATTTGCTGGCTCTAAGAGACAGATGCACTAATGAAGGACAGAGACCAAAAGCAGGCAGTGAAAGTGGTTTAGAGTCTAGTTCCTTTTTTTTTTTTTTTTGAGATGGAGTCTCGCTCTGTTGCCAGGCTGGAGTGCAGTGGCGTGATCTTGGCTCACTGCAACCTCCAACTCCCTGGTTCAAGCAATTCTCCTGCCTTAGCCTTGCGAGTAGCTGGGATTACAGGCACGCACCACCATGCCCAGCTAATTTTTTTTTTTTTTTTTTTTTTGAGACCGAGTCTTGGTCTGTCGCCCAGGCTGGAGTGCAGTGGCGTGATCTCGGCTCACTGCAAGCTACGCCTCCCAGGTTCATGCCATTCTTCTGTGTCAGCCTCCCAAGTAGCTGGGACTACAGGTGCCCACCACCATGCCCGGCTAATTTTTTTGTGTTTTTAATAAAGATGAGGTTTCACTGTGTTAGCCAGGATGGTCTCGATCTCCTGACCTCGTGATCCACCCGCCTTGGCCTCCCAAAGTGCAGGGATTACACGCGTGAGCCACCGCACCCAACCTAGAGTCTAGTTTTTGTTCGATGTCTGAACCTTGAAGATTTTGGTTTTCTATCACATAATGAGGCAGAAGTCATACCTGATTTAACATGCTTAATGCATTTTCTTTAATAGTAAAGTGGTGTTCGCAGTTGAAAATAGAATCTTACACATATTTTGTTTTTAAATTCAGATGATGGAGCAGTGGTATCACCTGACCTTGGGGACATGTCTCCTGAAGGGCCGCAGCCCCCCATGATCCTCTTGCAGCAGCTGCTGGCCTCGGCCACCCAGCCGTCTCCTGTGAAGGCCATATTTGATAAACAGGAACTTGAGGTACAGCCATGCAGCCTTGACAGTTTTTAATCCACAGCACTAAATTGTGAACACTTTTTTTCTAGATGTATATTTTCTTAAGGATCTATTCTGAATGTTAAATGATAGTACGCAAATAATTCTAATGATTCATTGGGGTTTAACCATGTTTGTGCATAGTCTGCAGAACATTATAATACTAAAGACTGAGAGGGTTGAAGTTTAACCTTATTTTGGGTTTGTGTAAATTGTGAAAAAATATTAACTAGATGCAGCATGGGTTAAACGCTCACATCTTCATGAAGGGATCTTTTTCCAGGAAGTAGAATTATTCAAAGAGGCTCGTCAGGACTCTGGCAGCCGTTTGTCTGTTTCATTCACTCAGGAGCCTCTTGGGGGTGCTCTGGTGCCGCCAGCCTCTCCGCTCTCTCCATGCTGTGGAGCAGGTGAGGGCAGCAGCGAGGCACAGGGTCAGGGCTACGGGACGTTCGCATAGAGGAGGCGACGTGATTGAGTGTAAGAGGGATGGGAGCTTTCATGGCTGGCAACATAGAGGATTAGAGATGTTCATTCCAAAATCTTTCTTGCTGTGTAATACATTAAAAATCTGGACAAAATATCAGAGACAAAAATAAAACTATCAGTACTCAGTTTGGCAATCAGAAATTACCCTAACAGAAACCCTCAGATAGCAGGGCCCTTCTGGGAGCAAGGGTCCAGATGAGGCAGCCACTGCCTTGGACAGGTGGGAGGCCTCCCCCAGTCCTAGAACGAGCTGGAAAGATGGTGGGGGTGCAAAGGGAGAAAGCAAGAAACGGGTGTGGGCAGGAAGGGAGGAGGTTGGCCATGAGCTCTTCTGAACTCCAGCTTCTTCTCAGGTCTGGGAACCTCCGAGGTGAAGGTTCATTTTAAAGGGCCTGGTTGTGTTTCCAGTCTCCCTGGCAGAGATCAAAAGACGCTGAGCAACTTGAGAGCACGTGGGGCGGTGCACGTGCTCCCTGCAGTCATGCTGGGAGATGCCGAGTGTGAACACCTAGAAGGCCGTGTAGAGTTGTTCTTCAGGAACTGAGAAGGACTGTTGTACAAAAAAAGACCTTCCGCTGTTTTGTCTCCATGGATTCCGATGGAGAGTCGTTGTTCTTATCTCTTCTTTTGTATGAAATGTCTGTTTTCTCTGGTTGCTTTTCGTATTTTGTGTTATCTTTGGTTTTCTGCAGTTTCCCTAAGCTGGGCTCATGTATACAATGGTGGCACACCCCGCCCACCCCACCGTCCTCCTTGAAATTTATTTAAGCTGCTTGCATCTTTGGCTTGATTTTTGTTCCCCTACCAAATTTGGAAACTTTTGACTGCTGTTTTTTCCCCCTGCCTTGCTCTTTTTGTTCTTTTCTGGAAATACTATTATACATCTGTTACACTGTTAGTGAGTTTCCTTTTATGACTTTAATAGAAAGTCTTTCTTCTCCTTGTTAGTAGCTTGGTTAGTTTGTCTTGATCTGTTTGAAAGGTCAAGATGCTTTGCTTTGTTGGGCCTAATCTGTTGTTATATCCATCCAAGACATACTTTATTTTATATTTCTCACATCTCTTATTTCCATTTGGCTCTCATTTAATAGTTTTATATCTCTTCTGACAGTTCCTTTCTTCATCCTTTAAGTCTATCTTTTTTTTTTTTTTTTTTTTTTTTTTTTTTTGGATGGAGTCTTGCTCTGTCACCAGGCTGGAGTGCAGTGGCGTGATCTCAGCTCACTGCAACCTCTGACTCCTGGGTTCAGGTGATTCTCCTGCCTCAGCCTCCCGAGTAGCTAGGACTACAGGTGCCTGCCACCATGCCTGGCTAATTTTTGTATATTTAGTAGAGATGGGGTTTTACCATGTTGGCCAGGCTGGTCTCGAACTCCTGACCTCATGATCTGCCCGCCTCAGCCTCCCAAAGTGCTGGGATTACAGGTGTGAGCCACCGTGCCTGGCCAAATCTATCTTTTGCTGTACATTTTAAAACATATTTCTGATAGTTATGTTGAATTTCTTGTTTGCTAATTCTAACATCTGCCCACCTGTTGGTCTGCTGCTCTTTGCAGTTTTTTTCCCTTGATTATAGTCAGTTATTGGTTGTTGTCCTTCACATATGAGAATTTTTATTTCATTCTGGATTCTTTGGACGCTACATTGTATTGGCTCTGGGTTCTGCCTCCTCTGGAGAATGGGGAGTTTTCTTCTCACAGGCAGTTCAGTACCTGGCAGTCCTCCTTGATCCTGAGGTGGCTTGGTGCCAGGCTTTCTAATGATTTTTTATTTGCCCTTAGCCCTGGTTGTGGATCCTTAATTCTCAAGGATTTAGAATCTCTTCTGGGCGTCACTGGAAGCCTTGACATTCTCCTCCCCACCTCTAGTTGGTTGAGCTTGAGCCTCAGATGCTGTCCTGGCCCTGGGCAGCTGGGGAGCCCCTGCAGCCTTCCAGCGGTCCCTTTGTGCCGAGCGCAGGCTCTTCAGTGGTGCTTCAGTTTAGATTCAGCTGTAGATTTGCGGGTAGTCCGTCCGCATATTTCGTGGTTTTCCCTCTGTGGTTTCTTTCTCAGGCGGGCTTTCCCTCACATTCTGGTTGCTCTGGCAGGCCGGGACCCCAGCCCCTGCAGTGCAGGAAGGTGCGCCGTCTGTGGTTAAATGCGCGTCTTACCTGCAGGCTTCTCGGTGTCAGGGGTTGTGCTTGTTTTATTGCTGATTGCGTCAGCTGTTCTCCAGTGCCCTCAAGCAGTTTTAAAAAATATTTTATCCAGAGTTCATGATTATTATCAGCCAAGGGTTAGTCCAATGCACCCTAACTCCCCATTATCAGAACCAGAACTCTTGGCTCAATCTGGCTCTGAATTTTAAACTTTTAGGATGAAACCTGTCACTTCCAAGTTACCCAGACTTCGCTGCAAAACCCTAGGCTTTGATACTTCCTGAGCACCGGGGGGCTCCACAGTGTCCTCGGTTTCTTCCTGATTCCTTCCTCACATGCTCCGTTTAACAAAATAGCAAGTCAGTGCTATGAGAGCAGCTGGGGAGGAGGACCAGGGAGTTACAGACAGATCAGGGAAGTGCTATTTGTGCTGTAGGTGGGGAGTTCCCAGCTGCAGAGACTGGCAGTTTAGATGTTCACTGATTCATTGCAGTGTGTTTCCCAACTAATACTCTTTTATTTCTCTTACTTTTTAATACCTTGTTTAACCTCACTGTGGTTATTTAACCCTTGAATAGTTGAGGGTTGTTTTAATGGTACATGAGAGTCCTGTGTCATTTCTGGCCTGTCTAAAACACAGGTGCCTGTGGCCGCCACCACAGTGCCTGGTTAAGGCAGGGGGAATGCCTTTCTCCCTGCTCCTTCAAGCCCCTGTGACTGTTCGCTTGGGGCTGTAATGAAGTTTTCCTTAATGGACATTGATACTTGGCTAATTTAGTAGGCTCTCTGTCTGCTGAAACAGGCAAGTTATTTTACCCCCACGTATTTTCTCTGCATTAAACCGTGAAACTTGGCTTTGTCATTTTCTAACATGTTTTAGGAACTCATTGAAAAACACACATGTGAATGCGGGCTTTCTAGACTTGCATACTGCAGTTCACAGTAGAAGGCCATCACCCCTGTGTTCCTAGACTGTGTAAGCTAGCTGAGGGCACTTCCCAAATCTCCCAGGACCCTCTTGTCTGCCCAGGCTGCTGCACTGGCCGTTTGCCAGTGCTTGGCTGTGGAGTCCACTCACCCTTCGAGCCCAGGATTTGAAGACTGCAGCTCCAGTGAGGCCACCACGCCTGTCGCCGTGCAGCACATCCGCCCTGCCAGAGTGAAGAGGCGCAAGCAGTCGCCCGTTCCCGCTCTGCCGATCGTGGTGCAGCTCATGGAGATGGGATTTTCCAGAAGGAACATCGAGTTTGCCCTGAAGTCTCTCACTGGTGCTTCCGGGAATGCGTCCGGCTTGCCTGGTACTTCGTTTTCCTGGCCTCTGCTTGTACGTGTGTGGGTTCCCGCTTCAGGGCTGTTGACTCACAGTGGCTGCTGTGCTGTGTGTGCCTCTCTTAGGTGTGGAAGCCTTGGTCGGGTGGCTGCTGGACCACTCCGACATACAGGTCACGGAGCTCTCAGATGCAGACACGGTGTCCGACGAGTATTCTGACGAGGAGGTGGTGGAGGACGTGGATGATGCCGCCTACTCCATGGTCAGTGCCTCCCATGTGACCGCCCGCACCTGGGCCGCTGTCCGTCTAGCGCTCTAACAGTCTTACACCTTGGCTTTCTCTGTCCCTTGAAAGAATTAACTATATCTACTGTGGACTGTTTCATAAAACCAACCTATGGTGTTGCCGGGCACAGAACAAAGCTGTGTTTCACTACTGAAGGGATGATTGGGTTTCTATATCATAATTACTTTTAGCTTCAGAACAGACCCTTGTTCAAACATCTCATGATCTTCGCTAGCCATTAGAGGATATTTTATTAAAATACCATGTTTTGACACATCAGTTTCTGACCTGAGTAAATTGTTCATAGGATTAATTTGGAAGTGCCTTGGAAATTTTGTATACTTGTAGCTTTTGAGATTCATTTCTGCCTACTATGCTACTGCTATTAGTCTTTTTTAAATGAAGATTTTTATAGAGAAAATAAAGGATTTCATCCTTTACTTTTTAATATTATAGATTTCACAGACATTTCTTTTTGAGTAGATTTATTGAGTTCTCCTTTTTTTTTTTCTTTGAATGTATTTATTTCTTGTAGTCTACTGGTGCTGTTGTGACGGAGAGCCAGACGTACAAAAACCGAGCTGGTTTCTTGGGTAATGATGATTATGCTGTATATGTGAGAGAGAATATTCAGGTGAGTAATTGTCTTAAGCTGGAGCCTCGATCCGTTTTTCACTCAGCAAATATCTGGGTATGTCCTATATGCCAAACATCAGTGGACAGAGGCCCCTGCCCTCAGGGAGCCTGCCTTCTGGTGCTGGAAGACATACCTGACCAGTGAGCTCATGGTACACTAGAAGGTGCTGTGTACCCTGGAATGAGAGAGAGCAGACTACAGTAAAGGGGTAGGAGTGAGGGCACAGTCCAGGGATCGGGATCTGCAATGAGAAGGTGACATGGGTGCAAAGCCTACAGGGTGTGAAGGGTGGCTGAGCAGGATGGGCACCCAGACAGAGGCTGCTGTGGCTGCCCCGGTGTAGCCAGAGGACAGAGGGGCAGATGGGCTCAGGGGCAGCCGGAGAGCACAAGTGGCCTGTCCACGGTGGACATGGCGCAGAGATGGCTGTTTTCTACTAGCCCCACTTGTGACACTTCCTACATACCTTTCCTTGTTTTTCTTATGTAATTCTCATTGCCATCAAACTTTAAAAATCTAATTATGTTTTATATAGTCCTTTATCTACTTTAAATCATTTCTTGTCCTAATTCTCTTGTTTTAGTATATTTTAGAGAAAATCCCCCAAATCATCTCATTTCACCTGTATATATGTCAGTGAGTATCACTAATAAAGAATCTTAACATAATGACATTTCTGTTTACCAGCATTACCTAACAAAATAAATAATAATTCCTTAATATCATCTCATATCTAACGCTTGCTTGTAGTTTTCCAGTTTTCTCAGAAATGGCTTTAATGGTTAGTTTTTGAACTTGGATAAACCAAGATTGTATGCCTTATCTACATTTGGTTGATGGATCTTTGAAGTCTATTCCAAGCTAGAGTGGTTCCCCCTTGTCTTAGCTCAGTTGGCTATAACACAGTACCATAGACTGGCAGCTTCAACAACAGACATTTATTTCTCATGGTTCTGGAGGCTGGAAATCCAAGATCAAGGTACCAGCTTGGCTGGATTCTGGTGATGGCCCTCTTCCTGGCTTGTAGGTGGCTACCTTTTTTTTTTTTTTTTTTTTTTTTGAGACAGAGTCTCGCTCTGTCACCCAGGCTGGAGTGCAGTGGCGTGATCTCAGCTCACTACAAGCTCCGCCTCCCGGGTTCCTGCCATTCTCCTGCCTCAGCCTCCTGAGTAGCTGGGACTACAGGTGCCCGCCACCATGCTCAGCTAATTTTTTTGTATTTTTAGTAGAGACGGGGTTTCACCATGTTAGCCAGGATGGTCTCGATCTCCTGACCTCGTGATCTGCCCGCCTTGGCCTCCCAAAGTGTTGGAATTATAGGCATGAGCCACCGTGCCCGGCCAGGTGGCTGCCTTCTTGCTGTGTCCTCCTGTGGACGTGGGGCTGGGGATGGGGGGAGCTGGAGCTAGCAGGGGAGCACTGGTGTCTTTTTTTTTTTTTTTTTTTTTTTTTGAGACGGTGTTTCGCTCTTGTTGCCTAGGCTGGAACGCAGTGGCACGATCTTGGCTCACCACAACCTCTGCCTCCCGGGTTCAAGCGATTCTCCTGTCTCAGCCTCCCAAGTATCTGGGATTACAGACATGCACCACATGCCTGGTTAATTTTATATTTTTAGTAGAGACAGGGTTTATTCATGTTGGTCAGGCTGGTCTCGAACTCTTGACCTCAGGTGATCCACCTGCCTTGGCCTCCCAAAGTGCTGGGATTATAGGCGTGAGCCACCATGCCCATCCTGGAGTCTCTTCTTATAAAGACCCTAATCCTGTTGTGTCAGAGCCCCACTCTTATGACCTGATTTTACCTTAATGACTTCCTTAGAGGCCCCATCTCCTAATACTGCCACATTAGGAGTCGGGACTTCATGAATTTTGCGGGGGGGATACAAACATTCATTTCATAGTAACCCTCCTTCTCCCTTCCTCTCCTTTCATGCTATTTATTTGTGGCTGAAACCATGTCCTCCAAATGTCTTACAGTCTGCATTTGGAGGTGGCTTCCTTGTGGCTAACATCTTCCTCTCTCCCTGTTTCTCCAATGCAGTAGGAGTTAGGGTTGGAGGGTGATTGGACCAGGCTGAATCTCAGGCAGGAAGCTTCATAGGCATGTACTCCCTCCGGCCCCATCTCAACAGGCAAGCAGGTTTGGGTGGGTTAGGTCTTGTCAGCCTGCTCCTTCCTTGATGACATTCTGTATTAATTGTCCATCTCATAGCTCCAGCAGGCATTAGTGTCATCACCTAGACCTATCATTAGGGGCTGCACCATAGTGATTTTCTAACTTCATCTTCTCTGAGTTCATTAGCTGGAATTCTCTTCTGTGAAAAAAAGCTTTGTTATTAATCTTGGTTGCTCTTGATAATACAGGGAGACTTCACCAGTTTTCACAATGATGCATTGGTGTTCTGATATGTATAAAGATGACCAGGAAGCTTTGTTTTCCTTATTATCATGATGACCAATCCATTGGCTTTTAGGGTGTGATGTCTCCACTGTTATATTTTTGATGATCAGGGAATCCTTTTGAGTAATCTTTGAAAGCTCCCTTCCTTTATGATACAAGTTGATCCAGCCTCTTCCTGTATATTTCCTGCCTGAGACACAAAGCCAGACAGTGTTCTAAAGAGTTTCTCTTCCCTTTATCATTAAATAATACTTAGAATGCACTCTGGGTGCTAGATGAAATTCTTTTTTTTTTTTTTTTTTTTTTTTTTTTTTTTTTTTTTTTGAGATAGGGTCTTACTTTGTCACTCAGGCTGGAGTGCAGTGGTATGATCTTGGCTCATTGTAACCTCCACCTTCCAGGCTCAAGCAATCCTCTCAACTCAAGTCTCCCAAGTAGCTGGGACCACAGGCATGTGCCATCACATCTGGCTAATTTTTGTATTTTTGGTAGAGGTGGGTTTCGCCATGTTGCCCAGGTTTGTCTCAAACACCTGAGCTCAAGTGATCCTCCCACCTCAGCCTCCCAAAGTGCTAGGATTACAGATGTGAGCCACCGTGCCCAGTTGAAATTCTTTATTAAGAGTAGAGTAATACTACTTATCATGGCTCATTTCACCTGTGTACATGATGGACTGGATCTCCAATTTCATTTTAATTCTAGGTGGGAATGATGGTTAGATGCTGCCGAACATACGAAGAAGTGTGCGAAGGTGATGTGATGTTGGCAAAGTCATCAAGCTGGACAGAGATGGATTGCATGATCTCAATGTGCAGTGTGACTGGCAGCAGAAAGGGGGCATCTACTGGTTTAGGTACATTCATGTGGAACTTATAGGTGAGCACATTCTTTGTTTAGTGCTTTTACTTTTTCTTAGAGACAGAATTCCCATAAATGAATACTGATTATAATGATTTGTTATTGAAATCTGTAGGCTATCCTCCACCAAGAAGTTCTTCTCACATCAAGATTGGTGATAAAGTGCGGGTCAAAGCCTCTGTCACCACACCAAAATACAAATGGGGATCTGTGACTCATCAGAGTGTGGGGGTTGTGAAAGGTAATATCATCTGGGTAATTAAATTCCTGATGTTAACTTTTCATTAATGCATATGTACTTAGTATTTCTTTTTGTTCAAGCACACAAAACAGAAAACAAGTGTGAAGAAAGAGATAGAGTGTTCCTTTGCTTGTCAGTGCCTTCTGCCAAAGGCCACAAAGGAACTCACCTGCAGTGAAACAATCAGATTTATTAATATTAACTCATTGCAGTACAGGAGAACACACACCTTGGGGAATGGGTGTCTCCATCAGAGGGAGTGAGCGAGGACTAATGAAGTTTATGTTGGGTATTTGGGGGAGGGGTCGAGAAAGCAGGGGTAATCCTAAAACAGGATGTCTTAATAAATTTACCTAGCAGGCAGAAAGAATGGAGCCATGCTAACGTCATGATTGGTAAGGAAGCAGTCATTCATATCACCAGGATAGGGGACTGTGTGGTTGTTTGTGGTTTGGATTAGACTCAACTTTAATCACACATGGTTAAGGAGGGGTTTTGGTTGTGCCTTGATTCATCAGTCACAGAGTGGCCTTATCTGATGTTCGTGTTCTGTAAACTTGTCCTGTCATTTGTTCTGTGAAATGGCCTAACATTGACATTAACAGGCCAGCTCCTGACTGTCAGGACTGCTTTTTCTTTCTCCTCCCCTGATCCTCAGGCTGGAGTGCAGTGGCGCCATCTTGGCTCACTGCAACCTCCGCCCCCGGGTTTAAGCAGTTCTCCAGTCTCAGCCTCCAGAGTAGCTGGGATTACAGGTGCCCACCACCGTGCCTGGCTAATTTTTGTATTTTTCATAGAGATGGCGTTTCCCCATGTTGGCCAGGCTGGTCTCGAACTCCTTACCTATTGATCCGCCCACCTCGGCCTCCCAAAGTGTTGGGATTACAGGCGTGAGCCACCATGCCTGGCTCTTTTTCATGCTGTATAAAAATTTAGGACTGAATTTAAGAAATGGAAATGTGCTAATGATGGAAATTAGGAACTGGAAACAATTCTCAGATTATATTTAATATGATACTGTTGAGATTCCAAATCAAATCCGTGGCACACTTTGAAAGGCACACTATGTCCGTTTTAACAGTTGCATGAGAAATAAGTATGTGTATAGTTTTATAAACTCTTGATGCATAAAGAGATTATTTGTTTGTTCGTTTGAACCTTGTGGAAGCCTCTCTTTTCATCAGATCGCTTAGAAAATGGCCACAGTTGGTGGTTCCCCAGTGGTGAGAGGTTCCTAGAGCTTCTCATGTTACATAAGAACAAGTGGATTATTTAATATTTTACTTTAAACATTTTTCTTTGCTTAAGAGATTGTTAAAATATTTGCAAATCAAAACAAGACAAATTTTAAAAATAAGAATTTGGTTTCTTTGTTTTGAGTGACACGTTGCTCTTATCAAAGGATGAAAGAAGTCTTCATGTTATTAATGTGGTTTTTATTCCCTGAGATACCAAAGGTATTGTATGGAATTGTTGACTTGGTGTAATTAGAAACCAAAATGTCCTATTTTAAACCTAATGCAAAAGTAAGGAATGTAGTTTACAATGAACCTCCATGTGCTCATTACCTGGCTTTAACGATTGTCGCCTCATGGCCAAAATTATTCATGCTCCCTTCTTGTGATTATTTTGAAACCAGGCGCTGACATCATGTATTAGTTCATCCATAAGCATTTTAGTACCTATCTCTAAAAGATAGACTCTTTGTAAAAAACAAATAACTACAATGTAGTATGACATGGCTAGGTGCAGTTTTAAGTTCAGGTTTTTATTGGTGAAGAGGAAGATGGATCAGGTGATTTTTGTTGTGTCCTGGCTTTCAGTGCCAATGGAAAAGATATCATTGTTGACTTTCCCCAGCAGTCTCACTGGACTGGGTTGCTATCAGAAATGGAGTTGGTGCCCAGTATTCATCCTGGGGTTACGTGAGTTATTTTTATGATTGCTAGATTTGCTTTGGGACGAATGGTTTTCTGTTGAATTAAGTTTAATAAATGACCTTTCTTAACTCAGTTGCTATTTTACAAATAGGTGTGATGGATGTCAGATGTTTCCTATCAATGGATCCAGATTCAAATGCAGAAACTGTGATGACTTTGATTTTTGTGAAACGTGTTTCAAGACCAAAAAACACAATACCAGGCATACATTTGGCAGAATAAATGAACCAGGTATGGCAGAATGTTTATATTCTCTCTTCCACCAAATATTAATGAAATACTTATTGTGGACCACAGTGTACTGGAATTTGTTATTTTAAGGTTCCTTTGCATATGGTAATTCTGTAGAGTGAGTACAGTGAGACGGAAGTGACGGTCCTACCCGCTGATGACTGGCTGGCTTTTTAAAAAAATCAGGATGGGGTATCGGGGAAGAATTAGAATAACTAGGCTTGTTTGCTTGTTTTTCCATAAAGAAACATTAAAAGAATCTCAAGAAACTAGTAAGTGTTTAGTTGCGTGGCATGTGGAATTGGTTAGATGGAGAGTGAGTGTTTTAATTTGTATACCTTTTATTATATTTTTCATTGTGGCAAAATATATTTAACTTAAAATTAGCCACTTAGTCATTTTCTAAGTTTATAATTCAGGGTATTAAGTACCTTAAGTACAGTGTTGCACAACCATCACAACTTTCTCTTACCAAAACTTTTCACCACTCCGATCAGAAACTCTGTACCCATTAAGCAATTTAACTGCCCTACTTCCCCTTACCCCAACCCTGGTAACCTTGAATCTAACTTTGGTCTCTACGAATATGACCACTCCAGACATCTCATCTAGATGGAACCATGTAAGATTTATCCTTTTGTGTTTAGCATAATGTCTTCAAGCTTCATCCGTATTGTAGCATGTGTCAGAACGTCATCCTTTTTAATGGCTGAATAATATTCCACTGTATGCATATATCACTTTTCTTCTTTGTGAGATAGAGTCTCACTCTGTTGCCCAGGCTGGAGTGCAGTGGCGCAATCTTGGCTCACTGCAACCTCCGCCTCCTGGGTTCAAGCAGTTCTCCTGTCTCAGCCTGCTGAGCAGCTGGGATTACAGGCCGGTGCCACCATGCTCAGCTAACTTTTCTACTTTTTTTTTTTAATTATTATTTTTTTGAGACAGAGTCTCACTCTGTCTATAAGGAGTGTATGTGTTATATACATTTTTAGTTTTAGTAGTTACTGAAGATATTAATTATAACATCTATTTTTGACTGATTTAAATCTATTATTATTTAGTAAAGTCTCCTCCTAAACAATGCAAAGACCTTAGTTCTCTTTAACATCATTTATCTTCATTCTGATTTATATGTTCTTAACATATTTTAATTTTTAATTTTTTTTTTTTTGAGACGGAGTCTCACTCTGTCGCCCCGGCTGGAGTGCAGTGGCGCGATCCTGGCTCACTGCAACTGACACCTCCCGGGCTCAAGCGATTCTCCTGCATCAGCCTCCTGAGTAGCTGGGATTATAGGCTCCTGCCACCACGCCTGGCTAATTTTTGTATTTTTAGTGGAGGTGAGATTTCACCATGCTGGCCAGGCTGCTCTTGAACTCCTGACCTCAGGCGATCCACCCACCTCAGTCTCCCAAAGTGCTGGGGTTATGTGCATGAGCCACCACGTCCAGCCAAAATTTTATACATTTTATACAAATATATATCTAACAGAACTATCGAAGACATTCTTTTATGCACATAGAAAATGTTCATAAAATCCAGTCATATGCTAAGTGGGTCATATGCTCAAACAAAATTTCAAAAAAAGTCAAAGGATCAGCCAGGCGCAGTGACTCATGCCTGTTTTTGTTTTTGTTTTTGTTTTTGTTTTTTGAGACAGAGTCTCGCTCTGTCACCCAGGCTGGAGTGCAGTGGCACGTGATCTCAGCTCACTGCAAGCTCCGCCTCCTGGGTTCTCGCCATTCCTCCCGCCTCAGCCTCCCGAGTAGCTGGGACTACAGACGCATGCCACCATGCCAAGCTAATTTTTCGTATTTTTAATAGAGATGGGGCTTCACCGTGTTAGCCAAGATGGTCTCGATCTCCTGACCTCATGATCCATGCCTGTAATCCCAGCACTTTGGGAGGCCGAGGCAGGTGAATCAGGAGTTCAGGAGATCGAGACCATCCTGGCTAACGCGGTGAAACCCTGTCTCTACTAAAAGTACAAAAAATTAGCCGGTGTGTTGGCGGGCACCTGTAGTCCCAACTACTTGGGAGGCTGAGGCGGGAGAATGGCGTGAACCCAGGAGGCGGAGCTTGCAGTGAGCCGAGATCGTGCCACTGCACTCCAGCCTGGGCGACAGAACAAGACTACGTCTCAAAAAACAAAAAAAGCAAAAAAACAAGTCAAAGGATCAAACAATACATGCAGGGCATATGACGATTTTATGTAGTCAATATTCATTTAGATTTTTCTGCATACTTTGTAATTTCTCTCCACTTTTTTCTTCCTCTTTAATTTTCCATCTGTACTGTTTTTCTCCTGCCTGAAAATCCCCTTAATATTTTTAAAAATGTGTCTTTGTTGGTTACAAATTATCTATTTTTGTATGTCTGAAAATGTCTTTATTTCTCCTTTATTTTTGAAAAGTCTTTTTGCTAGGTGTTTTCTTTCAGCACTTTAAAAATAGTATTCCATTGCAATTTGGTTTATATTATTTCTCCTGAAGTTGGATGGAAGTCTAATTGTGGTTCATTTTATTTTTCCTTCGTCTGCTTTTCAGAGAGTCTTTTTGTTTTCATCTTGCACAGGTTTTACATGTGCATGGAGATGTTTATCTTTCTTGGGGTTGGTAGGGCTTCTGGGGCATGATATCTGTTGTCTGTTTTGGAAAATTCTGTCTTTCAGTATTTCTTCACATTTTGCCTCTGCTCTATTCTCTTTTCTATCTTTTTGGGGGGACTCTTCTTCCACTTGTGTTAGGCCTAACCTCTGTCCTGCAGATCTTTTACCTTCTTGTTATGTTTTCTAAACTTTTGCTCCTCAGTTCTTCATTCCAGATATTTTTACTTTCTCTTCAGCTGAGTTCAGTGTGTTCTAAACTTACTCATTAAGTTCTTAATTTTAAATATTGGATTTATCAGTTCTAGTCTTTCTATTTTATTTTCAGTAGTTTTTGGTTCTCTGCTGAAATATTATCTTTTTGAACACAGTAAGCATATTTATTATACTAAAGTCTGTGTCTTCTGACTCCAATATATGGAGCCCTTGTGGGTCTGTTTCTCTCCTATCATTTCTGGTCATTTTTAGTCACTTTTTTTGCCTCTTCATGTGTCATTATGTACTGGACACCTAACAAATAAAGAGAAACACTATGTTCATGGGTTAGAAGACTGAATACTGTGAATCCATCCTTGCACATTGACTTACAGAATTAATGCAATCCACATCAAAATCCCAAGCAAGCGGTTTTATAAAAACTGACAAGCTCATTTTAAGTCATATGGAAATGCAAAGGGCCTGCAACAGCCAAAATATATTTGAAAAAGAACAAAGCTAAAAAACTGTTGCAACCTGAGTTCAGGCCTTTTATAAAGCTGTAGTAATCAAGACAATGTGGCATTGCCACCAAAATACACAAATAAATCAATGAAACAGTACTGGGAGTCCAGAAATAGATCCATACATCCATAGACAACTGATTTCTGACAAAGGCAAAAGGCAATTCAGTAGGAAAAGCGTAGTTTTTCAACAAATACAACTGAAACAACTGGACAATCATGCCCAAAAAAGCCTTTCAATCTGAACCTCCCACTATATATAAAATTTAATCAACTGGTCATAGATATACCTGTCTAAAACTATAAAACTTCTATAACAGAACATAGAAAGACAAACTTTATAATCTTGAGGCAAAGGTTTTGTAGTCACAACATCAAAAGTACACTCTACAAAAGAATAAAATGAATAAACTAGGCTTCATCAAAATTAAAAACTTCTAATCTTTAAGATTCACCTGTGAAGAGAATAAAATGACAAGCCACACTGACAGAAAATACTAGCAAATTCTATATTAGGCAAAGGACTTGTAACTCAGAATATATAAGGAACTCTCAAACCAGTAAGAAAACAACCTATTTAAATATGGGAAAAGACTTGAACAGACATTCACCAAAAAAGGTATGTGATTTGTAAATAAGCAAGATGCTTGAGATCATTAGTTATTAGGGAAATGCAGATTAAAACCACAACGAGATACCACTATACATCTGTCAGTATAACTAAAATTAAAGACTGAATGTATCAAGGGTTGACAAAAATGTGGAGGATGTGGACCTCTGGAACATCCACTTTGCAAAACAGTATGTAGCGATCTTAAGAAGCTAGACATACACCTACCATATGATCCAACCACTCCTCTCTTAGAAGTTTACCCAAGAGAATTTCAAGTGGATGTCCATACACAAACTTGTATGGAAATGTCCATTAGCAATTTCACTTGCATAGTCAAAAACTGGAAACAGCCCAAACATTCATCAACAGAAAAATGGATGAACAAATTGCATTTGTTTATCTTAAGATACTATTCAACAATTTAAAAGAATAAACTATTGATACATGCAACGTAAGTGAATCTCAAAATTATTATGCTGAGTGGAAAAAGTAAGATTTTTAAAAAGAGTATATGCTGTATGATTCTACTTATAGTAAGCTGTAAAACATGCAAACTGGCCTGCCACAGTGGCTCCTGCCCATAATCCCAGCACTTTGGGAGGCCGAGGTGGGAGGATCACTTGAGCTCAGGAGTTCCAGACCAACCTGAGCAACATGGCAAAACCATGTCTCCACCAAACAAACAAAAATTAGCCAGGCATGGTGACATGTGCCTGTAGTCCCAGCTATTTGGGAGGCTAAGGTGGGAGGATCACTTGAGCCCAGGAGGTGGAAGCTGCAGTGAGCCAAGATCGTGCCACTGCACTCCAGCCTGGGCAACAGAGTGAGACCCGGTCTACAAAAAAAAAGAAAACAAACAAATAAAACACCCACGAAACAACAACAACAAAAAGCAGACATGCAAACTGATCTCTAGTGACAGAAATTAAATTGGTGCATACGGCAGGAAGGAGGGAGGTAAAAGCAAAAGGGAGGGGTACAGAGGGCCAGAGAGGAACGCTGGGGTAGTGTATGAGTTCATTATCTTTGATTGTGCTGATGCTTTCATGGATCATACGTATTCCAAAGTCGATCAAAATGCATACTTTAAATAGGTGCAGTTTATTATATGTCAATTATAACTGAATAAAGCTGTTAAAAAATACAAAAGAGCCCAGTACAGTGCCTGTAGCTCTCAGGCAGTTATTAGGAGTCCTGTTCACACACAAGGACAGCGCTGTGAGTTTACCTGATCATAAACACAAGAATCAGCAACATACTTTCTTCTAAAACTTTCATTCCAGCAGCATAAATCGCATGAGAGCACACCATAATTCTTCTGTGTCTTTAGATTCATAATGTAGTTAACGCAGCACTACAACCTCTAATGTGTTGGCACAATTAAATAAATGTAAAGTTGCTGTAACCTACAGAAAAATCTCAGGATACAAATCTGTGTTACCTAAATAGGAAGCACCTAAAGGGTCTCTTGCAGTCTGGAAGAGGACGGGCTCGTGGACAGAGGGCGTGGCCACATCCACAGTTGTCCACGCCACACTGTGGGACGACCCGCAAGCCACACACATGATCTTCTGGCCTTCTAAGCCTTGCACGAGCGTGGGCTTCCTGTTAACCGTGGTCGTGCCATTGCCCTGCTGGCCGTGGTCATTGTCACCCCAAGCATACACCTGTTTACGAGGAGAAAAAAGCTTATAATTTTTCAACATTTCAGGACATTTTCTTTAATGTAATTTTTACTTCAAAATGCTTAACGTGTATGCCATGGTATTTGAAAGAATTGAGTTCTTAAAAGTAAAAGCAAACCATTTCACAATCTTACAAAATGGCATCGGTGTACTATAATTCTGAAGAAAATCTAACCATGAAAATGCCAATAACCATAAAAGGAGTATTTTCTTAATATTAATCAAATTAATTCTGCTTTGTTGCAAGTCACACAGAAGGTCCTCTCTTCAACTAAGTGCAATAATTTTTTCCCTTTTACTTTGCAAAGAAAAATGACCAAAAACAATATGCTCATTTTTCAAGTAAGTAGCTCCTTGGCCTTATAGAATTATAAAGTATAATTCATTTTGACTAAAAAACAGTAATGGTAATTTTGTTTTCATAAATAAAATTTTAAATTGAATATCCACAAGCCGGTCATAGCATATGCTTCTCCAAGCAGAAGAGAGTGTAACACTTGTCAGGCACTAGCTCTGTCTCTAAAATGAGGCATGGGTGCCTCCTCACCAGTTAGCAATTTCCTAAAGCAAAGTCTTGTTAATACCTTGCAGTAGGAGCATCTTCAAGAATAACAATCTTTTGGCCGGGTGCGGTGGCTCACGCCTGTAATCCCAGCACTTTGGGAGGCCGAGGCAGGTGGATCACGAGGTCAGGAGATCGAGACCACGGTGAAACCCCGTCTCTACTAAAAATACAAAAAATTAGCCGGGCGTAGTGGCGGGCGCCTGTAGTCCCAGCTACTCGGGAGGCTGAGGCAGGAGAATGGCATGAACCCAGGAGGCAGAACTTGCAGTGAGCCGAGATTGCGCCACTGCACTCCAGCCTGGGCGACAGAGCGAGACTCTGTCTCAAAAAAAAAAAAAAAGGATAACAATCTTTCCACACACTTTTCACGTGGACTTCAGAGTGGGAACGCCTCTTTTCTGAGGACCCCACCCCCAACCCCTGCTGCTGAGCAGGCAGATACACCAGCGGGCAAAACGGATGGGTCCCGGCCTCATGGTTCTTCAAGCAGTAAGACTCGGCTGAGTTCATCAACAGCTGTGATTTCAACAGGACGAGGGCCATGTCGTGACCCCCACGTCCCCCAAGTCAGGATGGCACGCCACCCCCAGGCCACCTGCAGCCTTACCTGCCCCGAGTCCGTGACCGCCAGGCAGTGCAGGGCCCCGACAGCCACATGCACGATCTTCTTCCCTCTCAGCCCTTCCACCACCTACAGTTTCCACACGTGCACGTCAGAGCCCTGGCGCAACCTGAAGTAATCCCCCTTTCCCCTGAGAAGGAGGCCCGTGGTGGAGTGTTACAATATAGTTGTGGTCTGACAATGCTATACAAGAAGACACTCATTGTCTCACATCTTTCACAGCCAGCTCAATGACATCACACACAGCACCCAAGGTCTTCGAACTTGTATTCAAAATCATACACCATTAATTCAAATTAACTTATTAAGTCAGCTGGGAAAAACCTTAATACCTTAATACATGTTCTACAATATTTAAGTTACTGTTGTAGGTTTTCATATAGACTGAAAATAAGACACATTACTGCAAACACCTATCCAAAGTCCTATCTGGTATACATCTTTCTCAGAGTGCCAATGTCGGCCAGTAGCAGTGGTTCACGCCTGTAATCCCAGCACTTTGGGAGGCCGAGGCGGGTGGATCACAAGGTCAGGAGATCGAGACCATCCTGGCTAACATGGTGAAACCCTATCTCTACTAAAAACACAAAAAAATTAGCCGGGCATGGTGGCAGACGCCTGTAGTCCCAGCTACTCGGGAGGCTGAGGCAGGAGAATGGCGTGAACCCGGGAGACGGAGCTTGCAGTGAGCTGAGATTGTGCCACTGCATTCCAGCCTGGGCGACAGAGCGAGACTCCATCTCAAATAAATAAATAAATAAATAAATAAATAAATAAATAAATAAATAAATAGTGCCAATGTTATGACCAGAGGCAGCAAGGCCTGACACAGCATCCAAGGCCAGTCTGGGCACCTGCTCATTTGCACATTAATATAATAAGCTTTTACAAGAAATACATGTTAACTTTCTCAGGATCAAAGGATTCAGAAGGCTATTTTGCTCTCATTTTATCCTTAGGCTTCAGCAGAAGAAACACTTCCTATAAATCTCGCCCAAACAGGAAAGGTAAGTGGCCTAAAATTTTTCTAGTATTTTCAAAATGACCCAGTTACAATAGGAAATTTCTTCTTGTACTATTGTCACTAATCCCGACTCAATATCCTTTAAAGGACAAAGATGCATGCATAAGTAAAAATATGACAGGTCACAATCACGCCGGGGTGGTCCTGGGGCGAGGCCCAAGTTCCCTGCACGCGCCGGCACAAGCACACACACTGTGACGGGGAGGACGTTTACGTACCATGTCCACACCACTCCAGACTTGGTGAGCGCCAGTAGGAACTGAGCTCCACACTCAATCTGGCACACCCCCTGTCCATTTAGTCTCTCAATGTTCTGGGGAATGTTGCAGCCTTCACTTCCGCCCCGGCCCAATTTTCCAAAGTCACCATCACCCCAGGAAAATACCAAACCTAGGTTTAAAAATAGGGAAGGGAAGGGAAGGGAAGGGAAGGGAGAGAAGAAAGGAAAGATAAAGAAAGCCCAACCTCCTTCCAAAATGTCATGAGAATCTTGAGCACATATGGTCCTTGGCATGACCACATGACCTGCAGAGCCCCTGTTATAGAACTCATTTTTATATTTTCCTTAGTATAACAGTTAATATAATATGTCATTTTTGTTAATAGTGTCTTTTTGTCATTTTACTTTTTAAAAGATTTTATTGAAATATACATACAGGAAAGTGCATCTATCATAAGTGTGCAAATTGATGAATTCTAAAATCTTTATTGTACCTGTTTAGCACCTAGATTGACACTGAACATAACTAACAACCAGAAATCTCCGTGTACTCCCTTCCTGTAACTACCCCTGCGCCCGACCAAATCACTCTCTTCTAACAGCATAACTTTGTGTGACTAGCTTTTTTAATGTAAAAGAATGAAATCTACAGCATGTATTCATTTGCATCTGGCTTCTGCCACCCAACATTATATTTGTGGGATTCGTTTGTACAGTTGCATATTAGTTTGCAGATCCCTCACTCTCATTTCTATATGGTATTATATTGCATAAACGTACCACACTTTATCCAACTACTGTTAAATATTTGTGCATTTTCTACTTGGGGGTGATTTCAAATAGTGCTGCTATGAACATTCTTGTAAATGTCTTTTGGTGAACATATGCAACACATATATGCGTTGTTGTTGGTTCCCAGGAGGGGCATTCCTGGGTCATAAACAATGCGTGTGTTCAGGTTTAGTACAGTATAATGCCAAACAGGTTTCCAAAGTGTTTGTGCCACTTTACATACCTGCCATTATTGAAAAAGAGTTCTGTTTGCTCCACATTGTCACCAATACTTGATATTTTCTGTTTTTTTTTTCTTTTAAACCGTACTAGTGGGTGTGCAGTGATATTGCAATGTGGTTTTAATTTGCATCTTCCTTGTGACAACCTTGATTACTGTAAGCCACTTGGAAATGTGATTTAAATTCATATAAAGATATAGTAGCAAAACGCATACTAGGTTACTTTCGTATCCAGAAAGTTTAGATAGAATGATTTCTATGTAAGCTTTTACTGTGTAGTCTGAGTCCATGAATATTGATTACAAAAAACACATCTGTAGGTGAGTTACAATACCTCACTTATAATTCAAAATTCATGTGTTAGCTCAATATTTTTCAAATAATTTTTGCATGCAATTTTCACCTTCTTTCTGAGTAGTTTCAGGTATTTTGTATGGTTCCAGCAGTCAGTTAGGTTGCCATTGTTTGGAAGCACACATCCACGTATCTGCACCATGATGATATGGCACGCCCATACCCCTCATTTCACATTTTGTCAGAAGTGCATAGTTATCACTAACTTTGCCAGTAGAAATGTACTCCCAATTTCCCACGGACTTATCTTGAATAATCTCTCCACTGAAGCATAACAGGTTTTGAATTCTGTTAGAATAGTTGTTTTTACTATCTTTTAATTTTATACAAATTTCAAAGTTACGTAATACTTTTATTTAAAAAGTGAAACAAAGCTTTTCCTCTCCCTTACCCACATGTTAGTCCAGCAGAAGGGGAAAGCATTGGCCCCAGGCCAAAATCATAAACGCTTTCAATTAACTAATAATAATTGCTGGCATGTTGCCATTAAATATCCTTGTCTCATTATCTCTGGTTGCTTTATCAAACCCATAGGTCACTGAAGCCCACTTTTGAGACAAAGACTATTTCTCCCCCAAAAGTCAAGGGAAATATAAAAAATGAAATTAGTGATTAAGAATAGAAGTCAATTAATACAATCATTTTGTCTTAATTATTTAAAGTCCAGTTTTTTTCCTGCAGCAAACCTGAAAATACACTATCCTCCAGCTATCAGAATTATATTGAGATCTACTCACATTTATGATGATGTTCAGAGATTCTCATTGGGAAGGAAAAGGCACACGCTGCGGTGGTCTTGCATGACTCTGTTGTTGTGGAAATTCAATTTGTTCATTGTGTTTTGGGCTCCCTGGGTGGTCAGGGCTGGGCTCTGGGTCCTTGGCAATTCCTCAGGTTCCCAGCACTCCAAAGCCAAGCTCACCTCCTCATCACACGCCCTGCAGGAGAAGCATTAGGGTGTCCGACTACGTGGGTTTCATAGCTGTGGAAAAGCCAAAGGGGAGACTCCTGAAGAAAGGCGGTGAAGACTGTGAAGAGCGGGTCAGGAAGATGAGCACAGCACTGCTACTCCTGTGGGCACAGGGACAGCATGTCTCCAGCCAGTGCCACCTTGTTTAATACATGGGAACTCACTGAAATTCATTCTGTATTTTGCCCGCAAAGTTTTAAAGATTTCATCCACAGTCAGGAATTAAACTTATACCAATGAGAGCCTCACACATTCAAGGATGTACTAAGCACTACAGGCCTCACAGAAACAGAGATCCCATCTTGGAGTTTTCAGTCCCACATGGGAGATAAAGGGTTTTGAACATGAAATGACAAAAACAACAGCAAGAAGAAAATTCTCGTCCTTTTTCATTACTATCAGACTCAAATAAATGTCTTGGCTCTTACATTACATTCATTCTTCAACCATTGTGGTCTGGCTTCCACTTCCTTCACTTCACCAACATGGCTCTGCCAAAGGAAGCCCGTGATCTCTAGGCCATCACTTTAATTGATCTCTCTACAACATTTATCCTGGTCGTTAAGCCCTCCTTACAACATTCTTTTCTCTGTTTTTATAGCTCCATCTCTCCTGCTTCTTTAACTTGATAATGCATACTTGATTTTTCTATTTGTTATTTCATAAACCAATTAATATACAGATAAAATGACTGTATATCAAACCATGTTTGTATAGAAAAAATGGATTTTGGATGCCTCTCATATGTAATTAGTTCTATTAAACATATTAATTGTATTGTTTAATTTGTCAGGTTTTTGACAGAATTTTGTTTACAAGTAATAAAAATTTTATCTCCAATTTTCAATAATTACACCCATTATTTCTGTTTTATGTCTCATTGCATTGATGAGATCTTGCAGAATAATTTTAAAACAGTAGTGGGTATTTTCTACTTTTAATGGGTATGTCTAGTATTTCATATATTGTTGCTTATAGAACACTATTCAACCAAGACATGTCAAGACTAGTTGTCTCTCAAACCATTAGTATTTATATTATTCCTTTCCAGCTACACTTGTAGGATGTAAAAGACCATTTCCAGGAATATGGAACTGTTTTACTAGGTGGAGGGTATATATAACCATACAATAGTCACAGAAACTACATTAATACTCACATAAATCAAAGCATAAATGACATAGAATCTTGGCAGATTTGCTTAAGGTTAAATGTATAACTCTTATCAGCAGGAGGTGAAAGAATATATTCTTAGATACTTGGCACATTTAGAAAATATAATCTAATATTCTTTTTAAAGAATAGGCCGGGCACGGTGGCTCACACCTGTAATCCCAGCACTTTGGGAGGCCAAGGCGGACGGATCACGAGGTCAGGAGATCGAGACCATCCTGGATAACACAGTGAAACCCCGTCTCTACCAAAAATACAAAAAATTAGCTGGGCGCGGTGGCGGGCGCCTGTAGTCCCAGCTACTCAGGAGGCTGAGGCAGGAGAACGGCGTGAACCCAGGAGGTGGAGCTTGCAGTGAGCCGAGATCGCGCCACTGCACTCCAGCCTGGGCGAAAGAGCGAGACTCTGTCTCAAAAAAAAAAAAGAATAAATAAAACATCATCTACAAGGGAATTACTTGAAATTAAAACAAATGGTAGTCATATATATGGTACTTCATTATTAGGAAGGTGACTAAAAGCCCATTTAGACATATTCTGCTTTTCTTAAGGAATAATGATCGTTTCATGTTAGGTTATAGCCAGCACAGCACCTCGTGGGGTCATCAGAGGCCTGTGCTATCATTCTCACTAGGAGGGATGGTTAACCCATGTGTTCTAGGACCACAAACTATGCCCCAATCTACTCATCCATCTAGAAAAAAAGGCATGCTTTTAGTTCAACAATTCCAAAGCATCAGTTGGAGGACCAGTGTTGGCTGCATCAGAATCACCTGGGTGTTTGTAATAAATACAGAATCCTGAGCAGGTATTCTGGCATTTCTGTTCATACAGAATCTCCAGGGTCAGGGCCAAGTATGTCTGATGTGTAGCAACAGACGGAAACCATCACTTTAGTTAGCAGAAGGAAGGCACTGAGCAGAGGGTTGAATATAATACATTGGAAAAATATCTTAAAGAATTGGGAAAAAGTAATATATGTGAATATCACATCATCATTATAATAGGAAAAGACAAGGTCCTCAACATTGTCAAAGGTATAAATTCCTAAAACAGGTCAAATTCGTGTTCTCAAAACATTTTCCTGAAAAATGTTACTAGGTGGTATAGGGATAAATAGGTTTGCAAAGTACTGTACCCTCTATATATCTTGTCTCAGAAATTCAGAAAGTGTTAAAGACTCTGAGAAGTCCTGCAGGCAACTTCTTATATTTAATGCAGTATATCTCAAACTCACTTGAGCACACAATACTTTTTTCCCCCGAGGCATATCTATTAAGGTCCTATAGAACAATATTCTTAGGCATACCATTTAGAGATACAATTCTAAAATGATTTTATCAAATATTCTATTTCATGGCAAAGTTTTTCCCTATATATTGACATATTCCAACACTTAGTGTTCCTTTTTGCAATATAAATCTTTTCAAGAGGAAATTATAAGCATTGATTAAATGCATCTTAAATTCAAAACCTTAAATAATATTCATCCCAGTATAATTCTTATTGAAATCTATACTTCAAATTGAGTTAGTCCTATAATTTTTCACTTCTAATTAAACCAATTAAAGCAGGGTATGTCTACTGACCTACTTTCCAGAATTTAAAAAATAAACTAGGAAAAAACATCTTCTGAGCTGTGGGATGTTTCCAGAGCTTCATTAAAATAACTTGAAATTTTCATTTGGGTACAATTTTTGCTTATTTTATGGTTCAAATATGCAGCACAAAAGATGACTGGAAGAGGATTATTGAAGCAAATTTAATAAAAGCAGAGTCTATATGAGGCAGTGCTGCTTCATTGCTGCTTTTTCTGCTTTGAGGATGGCAAACTAGAAAAGCCCTTAGATTAAGTTTTTACTTTACCTAAGACAGCATTAAAGCTGATTAAAAGGTTCCACTGAAATGGCAAAATGGCCATATCTCTAATAAGCGCCAGTATAAAACTTAATCTTAAATTGGGCAGTCCTGGGGAAAAGAATTAGATTTAATTTATACCAATTTGAATTATAGAAGTCAGACTCATAGCAGCCATTGGCTACTTATTCTGTGTGCTAAACTAAATCTCAACTCAGTCCCAGGAGGACACATTTCCTACTACAGGGCAACCCTTTTCTGCCCAGTGATCTTAGGTTCGATTATCTATGAAGGGTAGACCATGTGGTAGTAACATATTTTCCAGGGAACAAAACAAATCAGTTTTAATAGTGATCAAACCCCACCCAGCCTCTTTATGTGTTAATACCCAACTTACAAAACCGTATGTTAAGCTGTACAATTCCTCCACTGGAAATTTAAGCGCACATTATTATGAGTTCCTTATTTCCTGATAAGTCCCAATGGTTACAAAATTACTCAGTTTCTTTGAAGAATCAGTAAGCCACCACCCATGGGCACTCAATACTGATTGTCATTTTTAACAAATTGTGGGAAATAAGCTTTAAAACTGGGTCACTACCCCTAAAAGTATGCAGTTTAGTTATAATATATCAATACTGATTTGTTAGTTGTGACAAATATACCATAATCATGTAAGATGTTAGCAACAAGGGAAACTGGGTGCCTGTGTGGTACACAGAAACTCTCTATACCACCTTTGCAACTGTTTTCTAAATATAAAACTATGCTAATATTTTTTTAAATTTAAAAATTAAAAGTAGGTCACCAGAAATTTCCTACCCACATAATATAGTCTCATTTTGAATGTAGGCAAAGGAGGATTCTCAATTCTAGGACTGTCTCTCTAAAAAAGTAAAAAGCTGGTAATTTGATAAGATTACTGCAAGAGAAGCATGACTAAGTAGGCATATATCAACAGTCAATATGGTACCTTTATTACCTAAGAAAAACAAGGCAAAAATTTATCTTGGAAAACTGGATTGCAGAGAACCCTATCTTCTAATTTAATCATCACACACTTATATAGCTCATGTTACACACACAGTACGGTAATATTTATTTGCTGAAAAGCAGAATACAAAAGCATTAGATACTCCCCATCCACCTATGAGTTCACCATCTAGTTAAGTACACGTCACTGCCAAGAAGCTTAAAATGATAGTATTGTCCCTGATTTCTAAGAGCACACATACGCTGACGGGCAACTCTCATGCCAACCTCAAAGGAAGGTAGAATGGATAACAGCATTAAGTCTACAAATACTGTGCTGTGAACACTGTAGCTAAGACCATTCTGGAATAAACAGTGTATCATCTTTAATGTATAGTATCCTATCCCAAAAGTGATATCAAAATGTCTTTAGTAAAATAAGTTCTGTTCTTCTTCATTCTTTCATTCAGCACCTACTGTCTGCCAAGTGTTGCTGTATATGCTGAGCACACTAACAGCACTAACAAAAATACCCTGCTCTAATAGAAACAGACAATAAGCATATGACGTAGATGGTGTTATGTACTATGAAGAGAAATAAGCCCAGAGCAGATGAGAGTTGATGGAGTTGTGTCTTAATTTGCCTTATTTTACATATATTTAATGTATTAAAATCGTGCTGACATCCTATGTGGAAAGGTTTACTGAAAATTTGAGAGACAGAGAATGGCTGATCTGTAGAACATGGGTACTGTCTAAAAGAACCTTCACTGATTCTTTCAAACTTTTCCAGAGATAAACTTAGACTCATTTTGAAAGTTGCTTTATTACCAAAAAATTGCCACTCCATGAAAAGTTCAGCACTTGATGCCAATAGATGTGACAACAAAAAAGCAACTTTGGCATCACATATATGGTCAGGAAAACCATCAGAAACTAAGAGATTTTTTTTTTTTTTTTTTTTTTTTTTTTTTTTGGTAATGGAGTCTTGCTCTGTCACCCAGGCTGGAGTATAGTGTTGCAATCTGGGCTCACTGCAACCTCCGCCTCCCCGGTTCGAGTGATTATCCTGCCTCAGCCTACCGAGTAGCTGGGATTACAGGCATGCACCACCACACCCCAAAATGAGGTTTCACCATGTTGGCCAGGCTGGTCTCAAACTCCTGACCTCAGGTGATCCACCCACCTCTGTTGCAGGAAGTCAGGGACCCCAAACGGAGGGACCAGCTGAAGCCATGGCAGAAGAACATAAATTGTGAAGATTTCATGGAGATTCATTAGTTCCCCAAATTAATACTTTTATAATTTCTTACGCCTGTCTTTACTGCAGTCTCTGAACATAAATTGTGAAGATTTCATGGACACTTATCACTTCCCCAATCAATACCCTTGTGATTTCCTATGCCTGTCTTTAATCTCTTAATCCCGTCATCTTCATAAGCTGAGTAGGATGTATGTCGCCTCAGGACCCTGTGATGATTGCGTTAACTGCACAAATTGTTTGTAGAACATGTGTGTTTGAACAATATGAAATCTGGGCACCTTGAAAAAACAACAGGATAACAGCAATGTTCAGGGAACAAGAGAGATAATCTTAAACTCTGACTGCCGGTGAGCCGGGCGGAACAGAGCCATATTTCTCTTCTTTGAAAAGCAAATGGGAGAAATATCGTTGAGTTCTTTTTCTCAGCAAGGAACATCCCTGAGAAAGAGAATGTATCCCTGAGGGGAGGCCTCTGAAATGGCCACTTTGGGGACGGCTGTCTTTTACAGTCACAGCAGAGGGATGAAATAAGCCCCGGTCTCCCATAGCGCTCCCAGTCTTATTAGGACGAGGAAATTCCTGCCTAATAAATTTTGGTCAGACCAGTTGTCTGCTCTCAAACCCTGTTTCCTGATAAGATGTTATCAATGACAATGCGTGTCTGAAACTTCATTAGCAATTTTAATTTTGCCCCGGTCCTGTGGTCTTGTGATCTCGCCCTGCCTCCACTTGCCTTGTGATATTCTATTACCTTGTGAAGCATGTGATCTCTGTGACCCACACCCTATTCGTACACTCCCTCCCCTTTTGAAAATTGCTAATAAAAACTTGCTGGTTTTATGGCTCAGGGGGCATCACGGAACCTGCCAACATGTGACGTCTCCCCCAGACACCCAGCTTTAAAATTTCTCTTTTGTACTCTGTTCCTTTATTTCTCAGACCGGCCAACACTTAGGGAAAATAGAAAAGAAACTATGTGAAATATCGGGGGTGAATTTTGCCCGATACACCTCAGCCTCCCAAAGTGCCAGGATTACAGGTGTGAGCCTTCGTGCCTGGCCGATAACTCCTTTGAAACAACATAAATATGGAAATGAACTACTCACATATGTTATTATATTGCCCATATCCTTCTGCAGCTTGCCTTTTTCACCCAAAGTTTTCTTCATGAGATTTACCCATGTTAATTCTTTTCAATCTAGTATGTTCATGTTTAATTGCTGTATAATATTCCACCACATGGATATGAGTTTATCCAATCTCTTGTTGGTTAACTTACATTCTGCATCATCTTATGTTACTGCAAATACTACCGTGATAAACAGGTTTTCCAAATTTCTTTGTACACATGTGTTTTTTTGCTCAGGTATGTGCATCTTCAACTTCATTAGAGATTATAAAATTGCACTCCACTTTACCTAGCTGAGTTTCCACTGGCCCATATCTCTGCCAGCAATTCTGTCAGACTTACATTTTCGCCAATCTGAAGATGACAGAATAGTCATTTTAACTTTCAATTTATCCATGAGTTTCTAGTTCAAGTATCTTTTCCCATGTTTACTGACCATTCCAGTTTCTTCCTCTATAAAGTAACTCTTCACATCCTATGCCCATTTTGTCTTAAGTTTTTCTTTTCATTATTAGGCTATTTTTCATATCCTGGATACTAACCATTACAAAAAGTTTCCCTACAACAAGATCACAAAGACAGGTAAATTTTCTTTGAAATTTTTTCTAGTTTTTCTTTTCATATTTTAGTCTTATAATGTCAGAAAAAAAGACCTAACACTCAAATGTCAAAAAAAAACCTAACTGAATAAAAAAGTGGTACATCCACACTACAAAGTACTAATTTTAAAAAAGATGAAGAACATTTCTATAAACAGATATGAAGTGATCTCTAAGAGAAGTTTAAAAAGGTGCAAAATGGGCCGGATGCAGTGGCTCACACCTGTAATTCCCAGCACTTTGAAAACACTCTGGGAGGCTGAGGCAGGTGGATCGCCTGAGCCCGATATCAGCCTGGGCAGCATGGCAAAACCCAGTCACTACCAAAAATACAAAAAAAATAGCCGGGTGTGGTGGCACACACCTGTGGTTCCAGCTACCCTGGAGGCTGGGGTGGGAAGACAGCTTGAGTCTAGGAGGCAGAGGTTTCAGTGAGCCAAGATCACCCCACTGTACTCCAGCCTCAGTGACAGAGTGAGACCCCACCCCAGGTCAAAAAACAAAGTGCACAATGGTATATGCTATCTTTTATCTAAGGGAGGGAGAAAATATTCCTGCCTCAGCCTCCCGAGTGGCTGGGATTGCAGGCTGAGCCACCATGCCCGGCTAATTTATTTATTTATTTTTTTTGGTGGAGATGGGGCTTCATGTTCGTGGGGCTGGTCTCAAACTCCCGACCTCAGGTTATCTGCCTGCCTCGTCCTCTCAGGGTGCTGGGATGGGAACAGGAATTAAAAGAAATTTAAAAATGTGTAAACAAAAACTCAGTTGTATGTAAAAAAACCCAATTCCCCCTGAGAAAGAGAAGAGCTAGAGTCCTTCAAAAAAAACTACTACCTCCTGTTTTTCTATGGCAGTGAGCCTTATCTCTCCTCCCTTCCCGGGCATTATAAAAACCCTAATTCCCTAACTGTACAACTGCAAGGTCACTAAACAAACTCAAGTTACAAAACATATTTTTCCTAAAAAAGGAAAAAATAATATAATGCATGATTCAATTGAACAATTATCTTTGTTTCTCACTTCTATCATATGCTTCACCCTGCACAGATCTACCCCCACCCCATAAAATGCTTAAAAGGTAAGTCTTGTTCAGAACTCAGTGCTTTAAATGTTAATCCGACTGGGTCAATGCACGTAAATAATTAATTAATAACCTCCTAAACCCCATCAGTCTCTCTAATTCCTTAAAAATCCTGCTTCAGGATTGTAAGCATGAGCCACCAGGGTGCTGGGATTGCAGGTGTGAGCCACCGCACCCAGCCCAATTTCTTAATCAGAAAAGAATAGATCGGCCTGGTGTGGTGGCTCACGCTTGTGATCCCAAGAATTTGGACAGCCGAGCGTGTTGGATCCCTTGAGCCTAGGAGTTCCAGACCAGCCTGGGCAACATGGTGAAACCGGGTCACTTTTTTTGTTTTTTGTTTTTGTTTTTTTTTGAGGCGGAGTTCCGCTCTTGTTGCCCAGGCTGGAGTGCAGTGGTGTGGACTCAGCTCGCCGGGCCTCTGCCTCCCCGGTTTGGGTGGTTCTCCTGCCACAGCCTCCCTAGTGGCTGGGATTGCAGGCGTGAGCCATCATGCTCGGCTCTTTTTTTTTTTTTTTTTTTTTTTTTTTTTTGGTGGAGATGGGGTTTCTCCATGTTGGTCAGGCTGGTCTCAAACTCCCGACCTCAGGTTATCTGCCCGCCTCGGCCTCTAGGGGTGCTGGGATTTCAGGCGTGAGCCACTGCGCAAGTCCCAATTTATTAATCATAAAGGAACTGATCGGCCTGGCGTGGTGGCTCACGATTGATCCCAGGACTTTGTAGGGCTGAGCGCGGGGGATCACTTGAGACTAGGAGTTCCAGACTGGCCTGGGCAACATGATGAAACTTGTTCTCTTTTTTTTTTTTTTTTTTTTTTTTTGAGACAGAATTTCGCTCTTGCTGACTGGCTGGAGTGCAGTGGCGTGGTCTCGGCTGCCTGTGGCCTCCCTCTCCGGGTTTGGTTGGTTCTCCTGCCTCAGCTTCCCAAGTGGCTGGGATTGCAGGTGTGAGCCACTATGCCCGGCTTTTTTTTTTTTTTTTTTGGTAGAGACGGGGTTTCTTCATGTTTGTCAGGCTGATCTCAGACTCCCGACCTCAGGTGATCCGCCCGCCTCGGCCTCCCTGGGTGCTGGGATTGCAGGCTTGAGTCACCGTTCCTGGCCCAATTTATTAATTAGAAAGGAATAGATTGGCCTGGAGTGGTGGCTCATGCTTGTGATCCCAGGAATTTGGACGGCCGAGAGCGGCAGATCGCTTGAGCCTAGGAGTTCCAGACCAGCCTGGGCAACACGGTGAAACCCGGTCGCTTTGTTTTTTGTTTTTGTTTTGTTTTTTTTTTTTTGAGGTGGAGTTACGCTCTTGTTGCCCAGGCTGGAGTGCAGTGGCGTGGACTCAGCTCACTGGGCCTCCGCCTCCTGGGTTTGGGTGGTTCTCCTGCCTCAGCCTCCCGAGTGGCTGGAATTGCAGGTGTGAACCACCATGCCTGCTAACTTTGTATTTTTTGTTTTTTTTTTTTTAGTATAGACGAGTATTCTCCACATTGGTCAGGCTGGTCTCAAACTCCCGACTGCAGGTTATCCACCCGCCTCGGCCTCTCGGGGTGGTGCGATTCCAGGCATAAGCCACTGTGACCGGCCCAATTTATTAATCAGAAAGGAACAGATTGGCCTGGCGTGGTGGCTCACGCTGGTGATCCCAGCTGGGACTTTGGACGGCCGAGCACTGAGGATCGATTGAGCCTAGGAGATCCAGACCGGCCTGGGCAACGTGGTGAAACCGGTCTTTTTTTTTTTTTTTTGAGGCAGAGTTTCGCTCTTGTTGCCCAGGCTGGAGTGCAGTGGCCCGGTCTCAGCTCCCCGTGGCCTCCACCTCCCGGGTTTGGGTGGTCCTCCTGCCTTAGCCTCCTGAGTGGCTGGGATTGCAGGCGTGAGCCACCATGCCAAGTTAGTTTTTTATTTTTTTATTTTTTTGGTAGAGACTGGGTTTCTCCATGTTGGTCAGGCTGGTCTCCAGCTCCTCACCTCAGGTGATCTGCCGGACTCCACCTTCTGGGGTGCTGGGATTGCAGGCGTGAGTCACTGCGCCTGACCTGACACCAGGTCTCTTAACAGAAAAACAAAACAAAAACCATAAAGATTAGCCTGGCCTGGTGGGCCCGGCGGGCAGTCCCAGCTACTCTGAAGGCTGATGTAGGAGGATTGCTTGAGCCAGGGGGTGGAGGTGGCAGTGAGCCATGTTGGCGCTGCTGCAGTCCAGACTGGGCGACAGAGCGGGACAGTGTCTCAGGAAAAGGGAAAGGAAAAAAAAATAAAGAAAAAGAAAGTATATAAAATTGCTAAATCAGGGAACAGCTTAAGAGTATATTATTGAGAGAAATAGAGGCAAAGGTGAGCAGACACCAATGTTCACTTAGTGGAACTGCAGGTGTCCCCAGACAGGAGGCTGCTATTTTTCCAAAAGAAATCTACTATTGACTTAAAAAAAAAAAAAAAAGTTGGTTTGTTACAATATACAAATAGCTACACTTTATATAGCCACCACCCTCTTCTAGCACTGCTCTAAGCCTTTTCCTGCTCTGAAAGAGCTACTGTTACCTCCATTGTAGAAAAAACAGATGCCAGAGGTTGTTGTGGAAGGACCAGGGAAACTGAAATTTACTTGTACTTTTCAGACTTAAAGGTTCTTCCTGCTCTGCTCCATACACTGCAACATTGTAGTTAACATACCTCTTAAAATACTGGTCCTTTCTGTATTTGGAGGGACTCATCTTGCAGTGTGAAGTTTTTTCTTGCACTAAGCATTTGGTCATAAGCTCATTTGCGTTTTATGTCAGGTTTAAGTACCTCTTCAGACATTGTTCAGTTAGGAATGTAAATATGAGCAAACAGGTATCTGATTGAAATAGATAACCTAGAAAAAATCACTTATGAGAAAGTCAAGAAAATGTGAACTCTGGATTTGTGGCTATTTTCAGAATGTATTAATTTTTTGATATTTAATGGCGTTATGAGTATATTTATTTTTAAAAATTCCTTGTCTTCTACAGATACATATAAGGTAATTTTAAAAATGATATGATATATAGGTTTTACTTAAAAATAATTCAGAGGAAGAAGGAATGTATATAAATGAAGTGGGAATACAAATGGAACAAAACAGGATGTGGCCAGGTGCGGTGGCTCACGCCTGTAATCCCAGCACTTTGGGAGGCCGAGGCAGGCAAATCACCTGATGTCAGGAGTTCAAGACCAGCCTGGCCAACGTGGTGACACCCCATCTCTACTAAAAATACAAAAATTAGCCGGATGTTGTGACGGGTGCCTGTAATCCCAGCTACTCAGGAGGCTGAGGCAGGAGAATTGCTTGAACCTGGGAGGCAGAAGTTTCAGTAAGTCAAGATCATGCCACTGCACTCCAGCCTGGGCAACCACAGCAAAAGCCCACCTTTAAAAAAAAAAACAAAACAAAAACTGGCCATGCCATGAATGAAAAATTGTTGATGATGTATGTATGTAGGGCAGTTATATTATTTTTCTTAACTTTTTTTAGGTTTGAAACTTTTTATTGAACACATGCAAACATCCCTTGATAACTGGGGCTGCTTCCCCATTATTCTCATAGTAGCCCTTCTGATTTTCACTTCATCTTCATTCTTAGAGATTCTGGATTTTTTTTTTTTTTTGGCAAGATCAAATATGTCTTTGCAAGGACCATCCAGAATGTCTATTTTATGACAGAGGCTTTGCAGAGTACCTACTCAGCCATATTATCAGAAACAGAAATATTTTCCATATTCTTGTCTTGTCCTGTTTAGATTTTTTAAATTCCAAGAACAGTCACCTTCTACCACACACTCTGATGTTGGAAGACAAAGCATATTTTGTAAGTGGCATGATTTCTGGGCTCAAATTTAGAACAGAGCCACAGCTTTCAACAACCAAAAAATAACTTACTGTGACTCACCAAATTTAGAAAGATGGGGATTATTATAAAAAGAAAACCTTAATTTACTATGTGACCTCTAAGTATCTGGGCTGAAAATTGTAAAGATAGAAAGGTAAATCAAAAGATATAGAGACTGTAATCATGCACTTAATGAAGCACTAAATCAAAATATATTTGGCATACGTGAAAGAGTTTAATTTTATCACATTTTTTACTGGCACTATAGCTATTTGCAAGTACATATAAAACTACAGTGTTACATATAAACTACCAAAAAAGAACTTTTTAAGAAATGAGACTCATCTAGCAACTTTATTTAAAAGTTTATCTTAGGGGAATAATTAAGGATGGCCATACAAAAGGATTTAGCCATGACACGAGAATGTTCTCCCTGGCAAACCAATGGAAATTATTAAATGTGCAAAATGGAACTGTTGGAATAAATTCTAATGCCTTCATATGATCGTATATTTAACCTTTTAAAATGATATTGAAGAGTTGCATACATTGACTTAAACACACATTTGTAACACATCACTGAATAGGAGAAATATGGGCCAGCAAAGAACATAGAGTTGGTCCAATTTCTACAAAAAAAAGAAGACTCTAATAGCATGACAGCAGGGAAGGGGGACTATGTCAACGTATGTGTGTATATGTATGTATATGCATAGCAAGCATGAACTTGAAAAGATATATTTCAAATTGTTTACACAGATTACCTCAGAGAGGTAAATAACTTTGGACTTTGGTGTTCTGTATTCCACATGCTCTGAATTTTCTTTTTTTATTTAAATAGAGATGGGATCTTAGCCAGGAGCAGTGGCTCACCCCTGTAATCCCAGCACTTTGGGAGGCTGAGGAGGGCGGATTGTTTGAGGCAGGAGTTCAAGACCAATCTGGCCAACACGGCAAAACTCTGTCTCAACTAAAAATTCAAAAATTAGCCAGGGGCGCAGTGGCTCATGCCTGTAACCCCAGACACTCGAGAGACTGAGGCATGAGAATTGCTTGAACCAGGAGGCAGAGGTTGCCGTGAGCCGAGATCACACCACGGCACTCCAGCCTGGGCAACAGACCAAGACTCTGTCAAAAAACAAAACAAAACAAAACAAAACAACAACCACAACAACAAAACAGTAATAAAGAGAAAACCTAATGGACAGGAGCAATGTCTCGTGCCTGTAATCCCAGTGCTTTCGGAGGCCAAGATGGGAGAATTGCTTGAGGCCAGGAGTTCAAGACTAGCATTGGCAACATAGTAAGACCTTTTCTCTACAAAAAAATTTAAAAATTAGCCAGGCATAGTAGTGCATGCTTATACTCCCAGCTACCTGGGAGGCTGAGGTGGGAGGATCACTTGAGCCTAAGAGTTGGAGGTTGCAGTAAGCTGTGATCATACCACCAGAGAGCCACGACCCCATCCCCGCCTCCTTCCTCTGTCCTACGCTAGCAATAAATAAGTTTCCCAGCCACAAATAATTATTAGAACCTCCTCCCCATGTGACAGCTCCAACCTCTGCTAGGTATGATACAGGGGCAGCCCTACCCTCTGGAATATACAAAATGTTACACAGACACAGTATGTACACCGGGGAAGGTGGGCCACCCCAGCAGCCCATGCCCTCGCTGGTCCACAGTTAGCCCCACTTTCTGGCCTCAGCTACCTCTCTGAATAAGAAGATGGGAGCCCCCCTGAGGGAAAAGTTGCTATGGTGAGAGTAAGGGGGACATCAGGCCTCCTCCAAACAAACCAACTCCACCAGCCTCTGGCTCTTAAATAACAATCATCATCATCCAGAAATTTAGGGACTCAGCCCTGGTCAGGGTGGCAAAGGGTCTGTTTGTCTTTCCCCATTAGACAGAGGTCTTGTCCTGCTACCCTAATTGTAAAGGGGTGCCTGGGAAGGGGTGGTAGGGACATGGTGGCGGTGGAGACTCCGGCCCCACTTCTCCAGGCTTTGCTGACAGGGGCCTGCTTTTAATTTTTATTTTTATTCCATGACTTTTTAAAAAAGAATCCCGTAACTTCTTTTTCATAACTTTTTTTGTAACTTTTCATAATACTGTTTTCTACTTTGTTCCCACAAGTTTTTTTGCCACAACGTTTTTACATTTTTTATCCCATAACTTTTTCACCCCATAACTTTTTTAAATAAAGTTATTTAATAAAATAACTTTTTATAAAACTTTAATAAAAGTTTTTTAATTAACCCATAACTTTTTTATTTTGGTTTTTAATAAACACTTGCATAGTTATATTACAACTTTGTAAAAATGAAACACATTATCTCATGCCAAGCATGCCCAGCATTTGCACAGTATCAATACCTTTAATACTATAGTTTTCAAGAAACGCAAAATAAAATTTTAAGGCAAAAACAACACATTCAAACAACTTAATAATTTATTACATTACAGTGGCATCACACCAGCAGTCAATAAGGCCACTCTAGGGAAAAATCTTTCAGTATTTCCATTACACATTCTGTTTATAATAATTCATAAACTGGTAAAATTCATTCTAAGAAAACTTGGCAAATAAAACTTTGGACTGGAATTGGCATTTCTTTCTCTGCTTTTCGTTCCCACTGTTTCTTTCTTTTATACTACAGTATTCATATTTTAAAATGTTTTAAATTATTTCAGAACATTAAGATAGCAGTTACATATTTTAATAGTTATATTATTTTAAAACAACTCTTTAAAGTTTTAGAGAAACTATATTATGGATAGGGCTGATTTACATTTTCAAATTTTCTAAAATCAGCTTTGGTTTTAGAGCTGATTTTTTTTTTCATTTCTGGAAAATTATCAGGTTGAATCAAATACTTTTAAAATGATTATTATATATTGCCATCTTTAAATAGGTATTTTGATTCTTCCTACAGAAATTAAAATGTATTCAGTGGAACTCACAGTTTAAAATTCTGTGTTTCTGATGAACTCTAACATTCCAATGTTGCCTTCTAAGCAAACTGAAAGCTGCCTTATACAGAATGAGGAAGAGCACAAATACTCGGCTGAATGAGGTATCGCAAAAGACTGCATGCACTTTGGAGAAAGACTTGAGTTATTGTCATACAATTTCCATTCTTTTTAGCTTTTTCTTAAATATATGACAAATACCTATACAAAGAGTGGTATTTCAGTCAATATAGTAAATTTATTTTCCAGACTGACCTTCAGCTTAAATATGCCAGTGTGTGATTTAATCCATAGGCACCTCATGAACACATTATTGTCAGATTGGTTACAGATGCTAAACGCTATCCGAAGGTCATTCCTAGTCACTGATATTTATCAGGGTAAAAGTGAAGTGATTTCAACGATAAAAGTACCTTTGCAATAATTTATCAATGTATTAGATAAACCCAGTTTCAGAATGATAAAAGAAAAAACGTTAGACCAAATAATGTGGCTGATTAACAGTGGTCCGATTTCTAGCCCGAGGGTTTAAAATGCTCTTAAAGTAACTGTCTTTAAACTGAACTCAAAGAATGCAAAAGCGGCAAGTTCAGAAAATAAAAGGCGAGAACAGGACTTTAAGTGCATTTTAAACCCACGGGCTACAAATCGTACCACTGTTAATTAGCCGCATTATTTGGTCTAAGATTTTTTCTTTATCATTCTGAAACTGGGTTTATCTAATACATTGATACATTCATAAAATTTGGAAGAGTCAGTGGAAGTCACAAGGACCGAATATTTGCACTCTTTCAGTGAATGCCAGCAAATCTGTTATTCCATCGGTAAAATCGTACTGTTGCTCTCCTGTTAATGTCATATTTATAGAAGTATCATGAGGATGCCAAATGCTAAAAATGGAGATGATCTAGTAACTAGAAATCCCCACCGCAGGGAGCACACACACCTATCTCCCTGCATCCTAACAATGTGATGTGTTTTGGAACACAGACATTAGAACTTCATGAAGTTTTAACTGTTGAGTCTTTCCCAAGCATCATCAAGTTACGATTTAGGCAATATATAACTGAAATGCATTCATTCATCATGCATAGGCACAATCACATAAATATTGCACAAAATATGTCCCGAACAGAAACCCAGAGGTACAAAAACATATTTCACTTTGTAAAGAAGTCTGTGAGAAAATATAACTCTGTGATTGTATAGACACGTTTCCTGATAATACATTGACATTCACGAACAGTAGATTGCACTGCAGTTTGTACACATTTTAAGTTTCATAAACTTCTCCTTGATTTTCAAAGATAGTATAATACCGTCTACTAAAACTCCTTTTTGTTTCAACTAAGTATCTCACATATATTAGTTTATAATAATGTTTCTATTATTTTTTAAAGTGTTTTCCATTCAAGGAAAAAGAAGTAAATTCCTATGTCAGAGTAACCAAGGTGGTTGAAGAATAGGTATTAGCCAAAGAGGTCTAGATGGTAAAATCAATCTTCAAGCCTCAAAGAATACGTGAACAGAGAGGAATGCCAGGTGTCACACAGCTTTCCTTCACTCTAATTCATTCTTGACTAGAGCCTGTATGCCTGTTCCAGGGACGTTTGAACTCATAAAGGATTTCTTATGATCTTCACTAAATACATTAAGAAGAATGCCAACCAGTGTCCTTTTGTGTACTGGGACATGTAGTCATGCGATTAAAACAGGTAACATGAACTCTGACTTTAAAATGTATTGTAGATACAAATGCTCTAAGCTAGGAAAGGTTTTCCACATCCACAGTCAACGATGGGAACCTTTCATTCCTCAGAAATAAGCCCTTTTTAGGTCATCGAAAAAGAGTACAACTGCTGCAGCTCATGATGCAGTATCTTCATGAGCCCAGAGCACATACAAATCCTAAGGGCACCACCATAATACACCGCTAATTCCTGGCACCGGAACAGATGAAACACACTCTATCCTGCACATACCTGCCAGAGGAAGCCACTTTCCTCTTCTGTGAGATTTAAAAAGCTCCCCCAAAAGGTTTCACTCCCATCACCAATACACAGAAAATGGAGGAAAGGCTGTTTCCAGTTCTTGGCCTTTAAACAACTCTAAATGTCAGTACTCATAGTGGCATATTACAAAGTAATAAACAGTGCACACTTGGGGGCAAACTACATATTGAGCTAACGAAGAGCTCACTGTGATTAAGATTAGATCAAACAACAGCAGAACATAGGCAAATTTTGTCTGAATTCTGTAGTGAATATACATGCTGCAATAACATTAAAAAAGCATGGCAGCCTATTCCAAACCAGCGAGAACAGTTTTGGGCAAAGAGTGGGTCTTTGTGTGTTTGAACTTCCACCACGTAAGGGCAAACTCGATATGCATGCTAATGACCTACAATTATGAAATTAAAAAAGAAAAATGCTAAAGGATGCCAGAGTGAACATCAGTGAGAGCCACAGACACCCACTCTCTTTTAACTTTTTACAAATAAACTTAAAACTATAAATTAGAAACACAAATAATCATGAGTGACTCTAACATTCAAAGGAAGTAAATGAATTGTGTAGGAGATTAACCCCATAACTTGGTTTCTTATTTAAAAATTTCTTGAGCAGCTCTTTGAGGATGGTGATGTTTATCTCCTTCTTCTTGGCAGCCAAGCCCAGCAAAAGAATGGCACACAGCAGTTGCTGCCCAAGCCTGGGTGCTCCTGGTGGTCCTGCACGATCGGCTGTGCAGTAGGCTTGTCAAGGAGAGGATCCTCCCTGGCCTCTCCTTGGGCAGAGGAGGTGAGGCTCACCTCACAAAGATCTTTGGAGAGAGGGAGGCAGGGATCTGAGCACAGTGGGAGCCCCCTCTTCCTGCCTGCCCACACCACCTGAGGGCTGTACTCACCACCATGCTTGTCTGCAGCCCCAAGCTCCTGGGGAGCTGGGGCTCCTGGACCGGGCTCATCAGCAGAGTTGTGGGCAGCGGCCAGGAATTTTCTGTGCCCATTGTTGTAGTTGCTGTAAGCCGCAATACCATCTGCTGCAGCTCCAGCAGCTTCACCTGGAGGGAGGGGTGCTCAGCTGCCATGCCGCTGCCTGCGCCCACCCTCACACCCACCCCCACCCCCACCCCCACAGAGATGTTGCACACCCTACCTTCATCTCCTCCCTGAGCTCCAGCCTGATGGTGTCCTCCTCCCAGTGCCGCATCTTTGGCACGGCCCCCTGGTTCTGATAAAAGGTGATGGATTTTCCTGCGGGAGGACGGGGCTCAGACGCTGGGGCCCCTCCGACGGTCCTGCAGCTCCCCCTGCCGTGCCCTGGCCTCCCACTCACTGATGGCATCTCTCTTGCCAGTATTGAATGAAGCGAAGTTCTTGTTTCTTCACAAGCTCACTCAGGTCTGCCTTCTCCTCCAGGTGGTCCATAAAGCTGCTCTGGAGCCAAAATATTGCAGTCACATCTCGGCAGCGACCTGCCCTCAGGTGGCATTTTCAAGTCATGGAGAAGGTGGAGGTGAGTCCTGGCATGGGCCAGCTTCTCCGTGACTTCCTGCAGGGCCCAGTGGGTCTCCCCACTCACAGACTCGCCCCCAGGCCCTGGGGCTGCAGGGCCTCTGGCTGCCTCTGGCTCCTTCTGGGCCGAGGCCACCGGGTGAGCCAGGCGCTGGCAGCCACCCTCTGCTCTTTCACCTGCTCTTGTAACTGTGCCTGCTTCTCCTGGGCACTAGCTCCAGCGGACTTGAGAAATGCCACCTGAGGGCAAGATGTGAGCATTCTTCTAGGGGCATACACAGAAGAAATGGGGCAGAGAGGTGGAGCGCAACCCCTTCCCTTGGGCCCCCAGAGACTGCACATGTTGGTCACAGGTGAAATGTTGTCTGACCACTGGCTCTCAGAAGGGGTGAGGGTCCAGAGAAATCAGAAGGCAGGGAAACGAAGAGCATAAAGGGGTCTTGGAGGGACCACAGAGAAAGGTGGCAAAATGGGTGCAGGGGGAGTCAGGCTCACCATGGCCTCCCTGCTCTCCGGGTCCTCTGGGACACTCGGCATGGGCCGAGGTGCCTCCTCCCCCTCACTGTCCAGATGTTCTCCTCCGTGTCCTGTGGGGGGTGGCCAGAGGGGTCTTCAGACAACCCAACAAGGGAGGTACTGTGGGCCCACCTCTACCTCCACCCTCACTGTGTAACCCTGAGCCAGCCCCTCCCCAGAGAGGAATGAGCTGTTGTTCTTTATTTTTACTTTTAAGAATCAAGATCTTGCTATTCCGCCCAGGCACACTCCCACTACTGGTCGATGTGGGAGTTCTGACCTGCTCCCTTTCTGACCTTGGCCAGTTCAGCCATCCTTAGGCAACTTGGTGACCCCCCGCTCACAGGAGGTCACCACACTGATGCCGAACTTAGTGCAGGCACCCGGTCGGCATAATGACCAGCTGTTCTAAAGGTCTCTTCCAACTCCTCAATCCTATGCTGCTAGCAGTCCCCCCTTCCTCCTGGGGCTCTCTCCTCTTCCTCTGAGCGGTCTCCCGTACCTTCCCCAGGGAGAGCCATGAGGCTCAGCTGGGCCGTTAGCTGCTGGTTCTGCTGGCTGGCAGCTTCCAGGTGCTCCTAAGGGGCCAGGAAAGAGTGAGAAGGGATGGAGTTTGCCAGGTCGTCCCCCTCACAGCCCCATCCTCGGCAGCTCCCTCCCCTGGGTCTCCTGCAACTTTTGGCAGGCCATATCGGCCACCGCTTTGCCTCAAGCTTCCTGCTACTGCAGCTGGTTCATTAGCTGGGTCTGCTGCAGTCACTGCCTGTACAGCGCCTCCTTCTCACAGGTCAACTGCTGATAGGCGGCCACCTGCTGCTGATAGGTGGCCACGGACTGCTGCAGGTGACCCAGGTAATGGTCTGGCTGCTGCTGCAGACTCTGAGCCTCTTGGCTCTTCAGCTCCACCTGCAGGAAGACCCTGGGTGTGAGGGCACGTGGTGGCTGGTTTCCAGATTCTGGGCCCATTAATAGGGTAGCGAGGGCACTGTGGGGCTCTGTCAGCTGCCCAGGCCCCTGTCCCCTTACTCCAGGCCTAAGTGACTGCCTCCCTTTCCTAGAACCCCATGCCTCCTTCCCCAGCCTCAAATCTCATACCCTCTTCTCATTTAATCCGCAGCACCTCTGTAAGGAAAATGCTAACTTCCCTTTGAAGTTAAAGAAACAGAGACTTAGAGATGCAAAGTACTTGAACGGTGACCAGTGGAACCGAGGCTGGAATCCAGTTTTAATCTAAGGAGTCTTTTTGTTTTGTTTTCAGACAAGAGTGTCACTCTGTGGCCCAGGCTGGAGTGCAGTGGTGCAATCTCAGCTCACTGCAACCTCCACCTCCTGGGTTGAAGCAATTCTCATGCCTCAGCCTCCCGAGTAGGTGGAATTACAGGCATGCACCACAATGTCCTGCTAATTTTTTTTTTTTTTGTAATTTTAGTAGAGATGAGGTTTTACCACATTGGCCAGGCTGATCTCAAACTCCCGACCTCAAGTGATTCTCCTGCCTCAGCCTCCCAAAGTGCTGGGATTATAGGCATGAGCCACTGCACCTGGCATAAGGAGCCTGTTATAGCACTGTCTCTTCCCCTGTGATTGGGGGCTCCATGCCTCTAGCTAGGATGATGATGTCCAGACCTGAGAGGAGCCCAGGGCTACCCACCTTTAAAAGTCAGAGGCAGGAAGCAAGAAACAGGACTGCCCTGGGGGGTGCTGTGGTCACCAGCCCCCAGGCTGGAAGCTGCCTCTGGCCTGGTACCTCCCCTCCCCAGAGGCTGCTGCCCGCCTCCCAGCCCTTCTTGGATGGGGTGGAGGTTTCCGACTCCTTCACCTCGCCAAGCTTCTCCTGTAGCTCCTTTACTTGCTGCTCCAACTGCAGTGTGCTCTTGTTCTCATTGTTCTGGACAGAGAGAAGCAATCAGCAGCCACCCACTGCAGCTGGAGACCCCAGAACTTGGTGTCTGCCTCCCATGGCACTGGGAAGGCTGGAGGCAGGTTAGAAAAATCACCCCCTCTCTCCCACAGCCACCTGGCTCACAGGTGCCTTTAGAAGTAACATTTCATGTGAGGGCTACACTGCCCCATTTTAGAGGTGGGGAAACAAAGGCCCGGAGGGCTAGGGAGGAGGGCAAGCTCCCCAGTTTGGGCAACGCACCGGCTCCTCGAAGACGCTCTGTGGCTTGGCCAGCTGCTGAAGGCTCTTGTGCTGCTCCTGAATCCTCTCCTCCTGCTTCCGAAGCCTCTCTTCCTGCTCCCGAATCCTCTCTTCTTGTCGCTGGTTCAGGAGACTTATGCGCTGATTGTTTTTGACCTGGGCCTGGAGCTCTCCTGCCACTCTCTCTAGTTCCTTCCTCAGGTGCTGCAGCTCCACCTCAGAGGGCACTGCTGGGGGCTCCGGGGGCAAGGGTTCAGCTGAGAAAGGAAGCAGACAATAAGGGCCTCTGGATTCTCGGAAAAGAAAAACCCTCCTCTTGGCGCACAGCTCCTCTCAGGCTCCTCAAACTTGGCCTCACTGCTAATGATTCCTCGCACCCAGATGGTAGCCAGTCTTCCAAAGCACTTTCAGAGAAAGAGCACTGCGGGTGGCTGACAACGGGCCCTCTTTGCTGATGGGGACACTGAGACACTGAGACTCATTGAGATGACAAGACTCGCCGTCTCCTGGCACAGATCTCTTTCCCTCTGCCTCAAAGCCCTTCCATCCACCCACCTCCCTGGGGCACTCTAAGCCACCCTCACAGCCCTCTGATGCCAGTCCTGCTCCCAGGTCATGCCAGCCCCATCTTACCCATCTGGTTTTTGAGTTTGGACAAGCTCCTCTCCAGCTTCTCTACCCGACGCATATCTTGCTGCTTCTCTTTCTTTAATGTGCAAATCTGCCCAAAGCACAAGGGGAAAGGGCCCTGGAGAGAGGGGCTGGAGGCTGGACAGGCTGCCCTCTCCCTCTCTGCCCCCACCTCCACAAAGCCCAGACCCATGACCACCTCTGGCTCTACTATTCCCATTTTACAGATGACCAGAAAGATCCAGTGACCTATCTAATGTGGGGGGGCTGAAGGGTCAGATCTCACCTCCTGCGACATTTTTCTCATCCTCTGCTGCCACCGGGCCCTCTCTCCTTTTAGATGTTCAGAATACTCATCTCTTTCTAATTGGACTTGTTGAAATGACTCCTTCAACTGCAAGAATGGGCACAGAACTTAGGAAGGGCTGTCACTGGTCCTCACCTGCTCCTGGCCACCTGGGGTCATCTTCCTTCCACATAACTCCCTCAGAAAACCTCACCTGTGTCAGCTGCACTTTCAGTAGTGCCTCCTCCCGCATGGACTGCTCTAACTTCCACTCCGTACCTGCTTTACTGGGGCTGGACAACTGGATGGCAAAGAGTGAGAAGTTTCAATCTGGAGAGCCTGGGCATTTCCACACAGTGCCCCTTAACAGGGCTCGGGCTAGGCCCAATATACAACTCGGTCAGTAAAGATCAAGGCATTTCCAAGCCCGTGGTCTGGTTTTTAAAAGAACACAGTAAAGTTGGAACGGACAGGGAATGAGATTGAGTTTATAGCTGGCTAACAGAGGCCCAGAGAGATCAGATAATATTGCTATTGTTATTACTGTTATTATTACCACTGTTTGAACCTTTGTGGAATGCTTCACCAGATACCATGCTAACAATCCCATTTAATCCTCGCAACCACCATAGGAGACAGTTACTATGATTCCCTCTATTGTGGAGATAAAAAACATGGAGTATTTGAGGTTAAGTGCTTGCCTAAGTTCACTTAGGTAGAGCTGGGATATAAACACCCAGGTCTATCCAATTCTCTAAGCCCGTTTTTCTTGCTGGGGATGGGGGCACAGATAGGAAGGGGAAAATTAATCTTTTGTTCACTTTTTGAAAGGATGATACATTTGCATAGTCCAAAACTCAGAAGGTACAGAAGGGAAGTATCTCCCGGCCATCTTGTTGCTCTCTCCTGAATTTTTTATGAACCCTTGCAGACATGTTTTATGTATATTATCATAGTATGTACACACACACACACACACACACACACATGCACACGTTTCCTCTTTCTACAGAAATGGTAACATACTAAAGGTACTCTTCTGTACCTTCACAGTACAAGTACCCAATACCCCACCTAGGACTTGCCCAAGACCACAGCCAGGTAAGGGCGGGGCAGGCACTTGGCCTCCAAGCTCTGCGTCCAGTGCTCACTCCACACAGTGACCCCCAACTCACCCACAGCAGCTGACTCAGCCCCAGGCTGCCACTAAAAACCATACAAAAAAGTAGCAAGAAATGGCCATGCTGCCTTCTGGGCAGGACACGCCATCCTGCAGAAGGGACCTTTAGGCTCACTCCTCCATCTGCAAAGCCAGACTCCCAGGGGATGGGGCAGGTGGTTGGACTCACCTGGTTTGCCTTCTTCTTCTGTGTGGCCATGACATCAGAGAGAACACTCTCTAACTCTCCTTTACGCTGCAATGAATGTTGCAGGCGGACAGCCAGATCCTTGGACTTTTCTGTAGTGAGAGAGTTGAGATGGGGCCCAAAGGACTCCCCCTGAAGACCTGTCAAAGTGCCAGGTTGAAGGATGACAGGGTGCCCAGATTCCCACCTTCAAAGTATCTGAGAGAACGTTTCATGTGGTACAGGTCCGTATTTAGTTCCTCTTTCTGTATGTTCAATGTCTGGAGTTGAACCTTTGGGAGAAAAGCCAAGCAAGTGCTGAAAGAGAAGGAAAGAAACATTCTCCGGAGGACAGGAGGAAACTGCACACCCTCCACTCACCTCTAGCACCCTTTTGGCTTTCTGTTTCTTGTTGTTTGCTTTCTTTTCCTGTAGGAAGAGGAAGACAGAGCTCTTACCAGGGGGAGGCAGAGATGGCACAGCAAGAGACATGCCCCCAGAATGCCACCAATGCCCCAGGACAGGCCCACCCATGGGACCAGGTTATCGGGGCCCTGTGGGGATGGGGTGGAATCTGAAGGGTGAGCCTTCTTCCAGCAGTCATGTTGCAAGGAAACGAAATCACGTTACTTCTTCCAGCTGATGTTCCACTTGTTTCTTCTGTTGTTTCTGTGGGGAGAGTCAAATAAGGTGATGGAGGGTGGCCCCCTCAACTCTATTCCCCAGACCAGGAAGCGGTAGGCAGGGGCCAGGAATGGATTTTAAAGGCAAAGTTCTCAGACATAATGGGAACACGAACTGGTAAACTCTCCTCAAGCTCCCAAGGACAGAGGATTTGGGTCTTTGTGGGCTTTTGCCCACAGCCACAGAACTCAAAGTCTGAATCTGGAATCTCTTGAGAGGACAGCAACATAAACCTCTAGAGATGGAGTTTCAGAAAGGCCCCTCCTTCTGGCAGCTTGTGATTTAGAAAAGTGGGTTCATTCAATAAACATTTACTGAGCATGTATGGACCAGGTACGGTTCTTTACAGCAGATATAGGATGGAAAAGGACAGACAGGAGCCCTTAGCCCTGAGGTTTCCATTCTCGGGGGCCTTTAAATCTCAGACTCGAGAGCTAACAGAGACCTTTGATACTCACTACCTCCTCTGGAAACACGAGCCCAAAAAGGAGAGGTGGCTTGTCCAGAATCAAAGAGCAAATTAGGGACTGAGTCATGGCAGAAATACGGGGACCTTGACAACCAGTCAGGCTAGCACTTCCCCAAGAGGCAACAACCCCAGGGCGTGTGTAGCAAGGACTCGAGCAGGGGTGTCTGGAGAGGAGAGAGTCGGCAAAGAGGGCAGCAAAAGAAGAGCCATGCTGCATGCTCTGGGGTCCCTCCAGGTGAGGCCTGGGCACCCAAGCTCCCTATTTGTCCTGGGCACCAGGGACCCCCAGCCCCTTTCTTCAGGGCCCCAAGGGGAAACTGGAGCCCAGGATTGGCAGCGTGGAATCAGGGGACCCCACCGGACTCTTACCAAAGATTTGATGGTGTTCTTCAGTTGACTGATTTCTACGGACCTTGAATCCAGGACTACTGCTCGTTCTTGGCACGGGCTCTGAGGTGCATGCAGAGAGGAGGAGGTGGAGCAGGAGTCGGGGGAGAGGTAGAGAGAACAATCATTAGGGCTGGGGTGTGTGGGCTGTCTCAGCTGGCAGAGGGGCACCCAGTCCCTCCTGGAGGAGGAGGTTGGAGGGCTGACCCGAAGGGTCACTGCACCTCTGCCCAGAGCCTCTTACCTCCAGATCTTTCAGGGTAGCAGATGATGTAGGGCCTTCCCTGTGAAAACCTGTTGCTGACTACAAGAGATGAGAGTGCACATGGAGATGTTCTGTCCCCCACAGTGTCTGAGCCCTCTGACTTCCTTTCTTCCCCATCAACTGGCAACATTTTCTTTTCTGCCTATCTTGGACCCTTTGTCCCATAACTCCTTTGTGCCAACTTCTCTCATGGTTCTTATCTCCCCACCATCCCATCCTGGGGCCCCTTCAGTGACTCCTGATGGCAAGTGGCTGTTCTCATTGTCCTGGCTTCCCCTTGAGACTGGGGATGAGGAAAATCAAACAGCAAAGACCATATCCTGGGTGTCCTGAGTGTTTACAGCAGGCCATGTACTAGGGATTAACATAAAAACAACAATAACAAATCTCATGAAAATTTCACAAATGGAAGTGAAACAATATCACCTCTATTATACAGATGTGAAAAGAGAGGCCCGATGAGGTCTAGCAACTTGCCCTAAATCATATCCCTAGCAGAGCAGATGGAGAGGCAGGATTCAAACCCAGAATTCCTTTTTTTTTCTTTGAGACAGAGTCTTGCTCTGTCACCAGGCTGGAGTGCGGTGGCATAATCTTGGCTACTGCAAGCTCCACCTCCCAGGTTCACACCATTCTCTTGCCTCAGCCTTCTGAGTAGCTGGGACTACAGGCACACGCCACCACGCTTGGCTAATGTTTTTGTATTTTTAGTAGAGACAGGGTTTCACCGTGTTAACCAGGATGGTCTCTATCTCCTGACGTCATGATCCGCCTGCCTTGGCCTCCCAAAGTGCTAGGATTACAGGCGTGGGCCACCACACCCGGCTAAAGCCAGAATTCTTAACCCGTACCCAGCAGTCCATCCACAATCTTAACAATTACCCTCTATTGCCCCTTGGGCCCCCTGTCCCCAGAAGCCTGGTCAGCCAAGACTCACATCCCCAGGTGGCTGGCAACCACCAGAAGTGGCTGTCTGAGGGATACTGCCATTTGTTTTCCTGTTCCTGTTCGCTCCTGCTGGAACTCTAGGGCTGTTTTTCTGCCAATATTCTTTTAACTGTTGGAAAGAAGAGCAGTAATACTCATGAGAACCGTCAGCCCCTACAGCCACATCCTCCTTTACAGTTTTTACAAAATACACTTACACACCATCTGATTTAATGACACCAACAACTGTACAAGGTGTTGTCACACTCATTTAGTGACTGAGAAGGATTGATATCATGGCTAGAAAAAAAAAAAGAAAAAGGCAATACTGGAACTTTGAAACTCAGTCTTCTGACTCCAAGCTCTGAGGTTTTGCCAAGAATCAGCAGCTGCCAGGGACCAAAACCAGAGGCAGAGGTAGAAAAGTAAACATTAAGTAGGCAGGAACTGTATGCCATGTGGTTTAGAGTCATACATCCTCACACGTCTGTTAGTGTGAAGAAGTGCACCAGTACCTCTCAAACTTTTATATCAATGTGTCCTCACGGCAGAAGGCAGCCTTTCTCTTAAATCAGAATTCATCAGAAAGAGGACAACCCAAGCCTCATTTCAGAGAGAGGGCTGGTATACTCTTAGAAACCTATGTGACTGTCATCCCTAAGTATATTCATGTTTTTTCTCTTGATCTCAAGAGAATCAAGGGAAACTGATGCTTCAGAAAGATGTCCCACATTTATCCTGTGGCACTCAAAGTACCCAAAGTTGAGATAATATGAGGAAGATTCAAGGTGTCAAGTTCAGTTTCCCAAGATCTATTCCACAGAAGATGAGCAAATGTCACTTCAGAGACCACTGACTGAAGGAGAGTCTGGTCCCAGAACCATGGAGAATTAGAATATGAGGTGGAGAACTCAGAAAAAAATGTTAAAATCTCTCTGGAAAGTAGAAGCCTGGGAGAAAACCAAACCAAACCCATTCTCTCATTGCCACCCAGAGATACCGTCAATGTTTTGAGTTCATGGGGGAAGTGTAGGCTTTTCCCACCGTCAACATCTGTAAGGGAGTGAGGCAGCCTGGAACCTCTTGCTCCTAGGTCCCATAGTCTCCATTCCCCTTCCAGCTGGAAATTTGTCCTGTGACCAGAGGAACCAGAAACGAGGTGAGAACGCTTAGGGGACTGGGTCATAAGATCAAAGGCCAGTCTTGCAGTAACGGCAGTTACTAGGTGGGCTGTGACATCACAACATTCCACTCCTCCTGGTCGGGGGGAGGGACCATGTCAGCACCATGTCTAAGTCGCTGCTCCACGATGGGGGAGGGAAGCACAGGGTTGGGACCCAGCTCCTTGGAGACGCCAGCACAAAGAACCCAGGGAGGTCGACCTTGAGGCAGCAGGAGGGGAGGGCAGAGTCTGCAGCAGGGAGCCCCAGGAGTCACCAGCCCAAAGTCACCCAGGGATGATTGGCGAGGGTGGGGCCTGGCTCCTCAGAGATGAGAGCCCAAAGAGCCCAGGGAGATCAAGCTTGGGGCGGCAGGAGATGAGGGCCCAGTAACGGAGCGGGAAGCCCCAGGAGTCACCCACCCAAAGTCACCCTGGGGTGATTGGCGAGGGCAAGGACTGGGCTGCTTTCTGAAGGGGTGGGGCTGACTGACAAAACTTTGATGGGGGTAGCCCAAGGCACCGGGGTTGGGGGGACCAGTCCAGTGTGCCTCAGGAGTCGTATAGACTCTGGCAGGGGTCTTGTCATCAGAGGGGATCTGTGGCTGGGTTGAGGGGCTATGACCTAGTGCGTTTTTACCTTTTTCTTGGCTGCAGCCAATTTGTTGTGTTGAGTTTCTTCTGCCATCGCAGGGTGGGGAGGGAGGCAGGGTTGGGGCCACAGCAGCAAAATCGCAATGAGAACCGATCAAGGCCTCCAGTCACCTTCCAGGCAGCTGTGTGACTGAGCCAGAGGAGGCGTAACCAGGGCCCCAGTAGAATGCGGAATAGGGGTGTGGCCTTAATGCTCCAAGCCCATTGGTCAATGAGAAAGATGAAAGGGAAAGGGGGCGTGGCCAGACAGCAGCGTGTCCAGAGGGCCCTGTGGCTCACAAGGAAAGCTGCCCATGCGACCGCTCTCCGCACCCACTCTAAGAGAGGGGAGAGGCCTCCCACTCTGGAAGAGAAGAGGGGCCAGCTTTTGCTTTAACAGCTTTAAAACTTTAAAAAATATATGTGTGTATACTTTATATATATGTGTGTCCGTGTGTGCGTATCTATGTTTTTCTCCATAGCTGTCTTCATTATCCAGCTTCTATGCAAGGTCTATGATTTTGGCCTACATTTTTCATCTTTGATTACAGTACAAAAATTACCAGTATTATCTTAACTGAGATACAGATCCTATAAAAATGGAAAATGCATAGCATGCTTGATGATTAATGAAGCAGACTATATTATCCAACATTCTAATAAGATAAAATAATCACAATGATTTCTCTTTTTTGGAAAAATGTTTCTCTTATTCTCCTATGTTTTCGTTAAGATTTTTTTTCTTAAACAAGAAACATGTCTAATATCTGTAAAAACACAAAGCTTTTGGGCCGGGTGCAGTGGCTCATGCCTGTAATTCCAGGACTTTGAGAGCCCAAGGTGGGTGGATCATGAGGTCAGGAGATCGAGACCATCCTGGCTAACACGGTGAAACCCCATCTCTACTAAAAATACAAAAAAGGCCGGATGTGGTGGCAGGCAGCTGTAGTCTCAGCTACTTGGGAGGCTGAGGCAGGAGAATGACATGAACCCCCGAGGTGGAGCTTGCAGTGAGCCAAGATCATGCCGCTGTACTCCAGCCTGGGCTACAGAGCAAGACTCCATCTCAATTAATTAATTAATTTATTTATTTATTAATAAAAATAAAAAATTAATAGTAAGAGCAATGTGAACAAAAGATGCAATAAAATAATTTAGAAAATACAAGCTATTAAAAAATAGATTTTAAAACTTGTGCAACAAAGTCAAACAGCACCCAACGAAAATGTATACCCTTACATGTTTGTTTAAAAAGCAATTTAAATTACATTGATCCACTAAACTAGGAAAAGCAAAGCAAACAAAAAGGGAGAAATAATTAAGACGTCAGGAAAAAGGAAAAAGAAAAACCACTAGATTTAAAAAACAAAACTGAAGGAGGATTCTTTCAAAAGACTGAGATAATAAAACAGTCAAGCCTCTGATAAGTAATCAAGATAAAGAAAACTTTGAAGAGAAAAGGGCATATAGCCACATGTGAATATGATGCAAAAAGTGAAAACTTTACACATCTTTACAACACCTTAGAAGTATGGATGACATGTTCTTTTTTTTTTTTTTTTTTTTTGAGACGGAGTCTTGCTCTGTCACCCACGCTGGAGTGCAGTGGCGTGATCTTGGCTCACTTGCAAGCTCCACCTCCCGGGTTCACAACATTCTCCTGCCTCAACCTCCCGAGTAGCTGTGACTACAGGCGCCCGCCACCACGCCTGGCTAATTTTTTGTATTTTGGCTTAGTAGAGACGGGGTTTCACCATGTTAGCCAGGATGGTCTCGATCTCCTGACCTCGTGATCCACCCGCCTCGGCCTCCCAAAGTGCTGGGATTACAGGCATGAGCCATCGCACCCGGCCAAAGTGTTCATTTTTTTTTAAGAACCTACAGTTACGAAAACTAACTGAAGAAGTGGGAAATCTGGAGACCAATATGCAGAAGAAGGAAAAAGACAAAGACTCATCCCCCAAATTGGGTATTTATTTAAACCAGAATTTGTCAGCCTCAGCAATATTGATATATTGGGCCAGATAATTCTTTGTGGAGGGTTCTCCTGGTGTGTTGTCGGGCATTTAGTAACATTCCGTCTACCCACAGAATGCCAATAAGACCTCCCGACCATGACCAGTGGTGACCACAAAAATGTCTCCAGATATTTCCAAACGTCCCATAGGAGGCAAAATACTCCTGCAGGTGAAAATTACTGTGTAAACCAGATCTACATCCTAGATCTTAGAAAAAAGATGTAAAGCTTCCCAACTCAGCCCTGCATACCCTTGATACTGAAATGAAATAACAGCCTTAAAGGAAACAAACAAAACTATAATCTTATTTAATACAGAAGTAAAAATACAAAAATAAAATATTACCATAGCCATTCTAACAGTGTTTACTATAGGAATGCAAAGATAATTCAAAATTAGGAAAATTTCATCAGGCAATTCACAAATTATATTTCTACATATAATTGAAGGCACAATCATGAAAAACAAAGTAGCTCTATATGCATTAAGTTGATGATCTATTCAGTGAAAAACACAAGTTGCACATGTCTTACAGAAGGAAAACTTAACACTGAACAAAGATTCTCACCATCTGCTCTTTGTCCTGAGGCTCCAATAGAAATACAGTGAAGAATAAACATTGTATAAGCACACAATTACAAAAAAGGAATGGGGTTACCAACAGAAGAGAATTCATCTTCATTAGACAATGACAGTACATGGAAAATGGTTAATTCATGGAGCAAAGCAACAAAGGTGGAGGTCAGGGGGATACTGAGAACAAGGAGGCTAATCTGTCCCACAGCAACCTGGAAAGGTTCTAGACCCAGACACGAGGTACCCCCGACAGTGGGACTGATAGGCAAGACTGAAAACAGAGATTAAGCAAAAGCCCGGATAGAGAACACATTTCACAGGCCCTGAAACACACTGCTGGCCCCATCTCCTTGAACAGAACCCAAGCAAACGTATCTACCTCAGGCAAGAGAATGTAGATTTTACATCCAGAGGAATGGAGTAGTCATCCAGCCATCATTTAAGATTGCAACAGGAGATAAGATAGAGGGATGGAGGATAACAATTAGGAATCAGCATACATTCCCCTTAAAGCTATCAGTTGACAAGTCTTGGCCACAAAGAACTCCCAATCAATTTTTATTTATTTTTATTTTTATTTATTTATTTTTTTTGAGACAGGGTCTTGCTCCTTCGCCCAGGCTGGAATGCAGGAATGCAGTGGCATGATCAGAGCTCACTGCAGCCTCAACCTCCTGGGCTCAAGCAATCCTCCTGCCTCAGCCTCCCAAGTAGCTGGGACTGCAGATGGGTGTCACCACACCTAGCTATTTTTCTTTTTTTTGTAAAGATGGGGTCTCACTATGTTGCCCAAACTAGTCTTGAGCTCCTGGGCTCAAGTGATCCTCCCACTTCGGTCTCCCAAAGCACTGAGATTATAGGTGTGAGCCACCACACCCCGGCTCCCAGTCTTTTAGTACCTCTCTCAAATATGAATGAGCAAATAAAGGAATGGAAAAAAGACTACAGGTCAGGCACGGTGGCTCATGTCTGTAATCCTGCACTTTGGGAGGCTGAGGTGGGTGGATCACCTGAGGTTGGGAGTTCCAGACCAGACTGACCAACATGGAGAAATCCCATCTCTACTAAAAATACACAAATTAGGTGGGTGTGGTAGCACATGCCTGTAATCCCAGGTACTTGGGAGGCTGAGGCAGGAGAACTGCTTGAACCTTGGAGGCAGAGGTTGTGGTGAGCCAAGATCACATCATTGTACTCCAGCCTAGGCAACAAGAGCGAAACTGGGTCTCAAAAAAAAAAGAAAGACAACAAATGATAAGCAACATAGAATAGATATTTAAGGAAAGGCTTTAAAAAGAAAAATAAGACCAAAATAAACTAAGAAAAAAATTATTAAAGAACAAGGAGATGCCAGGGAGAAGACAAAGAGTATCAAAATCACTTCATAAAGACACTTGTGAATATATTACATGTATAAAACAAAACAATATGAATAAGAAATAATCAGAGAACAAAAAGTTCTTAGAACTCATGCTTCATCCTGGGAGTTGGTCTCCAATGAGCCATACCTCCTGTCATCATGTCCTTAGACAGGCCCATCCCATAGTCAATCTGGGTTGGCCCCAACACTCACTTTAACCTATAGCATGTGGTAGAAATGACACTGGACCTGTTCCAGGTCTAAGCCTTAAGAACTCCTGGCAGCTCCATTTCTGTGCTTCTGGAAGCCAAAAATAAGAATTGGCTACCTTCTTGGAGAAAGAAAAGCCACATGAAGAGATCCAAGAGGATGAGATGCTATGCAGAGAGAAAGGCCACACCAAGAATTACCAAGGCAGCAGACCTGTGGGTGAAGAAGCCGTCTCAGACATTCCACTGCAGCTGAGCATCCAGATGACCAGTCCCTGACACTGTTTAACCACACAGTGAGAGCTGCCAAATGAGACCAGCAGAAAAACTGTCCAGCTAGCCCCAGTTAATCAATACAGTAGTGACAGATAGACATATGTGTAGTTTTACGCCATTAAGTTTTGGGATAATTGGTTAAGCAACAATAAATAACCAAAACAAAACTTAAAGTTATGACAGTCCAAATAAAATTTCCTGAAAGTCAAAAGATAAGAAAATATTCCAGAACTTAAAATTTTAAAAAATTTAGAAATAACGTGAGATACAACACTCAGGACAAGAGGTCTAAAATCCAATTAACAGACACTTCAAAATGAACAAATAAAATGGAAAAGAGAAAGTTAACAACAAAATATGACAAGATTCAAGACTCCAACTTTGAAAGAGCCTATCCATTGGCCTGTTCATTTGGTGTACCCAGCATAATGAATGAAAAAAGACCCACACTAAGTACACTGTTGTGCTATTTCAGCTCACCAAGGAAAAGACAAACTCCTAAAAGCTTCCAGAGAGAAAGTAATGCATAAACAAGTGAAACTCATGATGGCATGAGGCTTCACCACCACGACTGGTTAGAAGACAACAGCACAGACTTTGAAATTCTAAGGTAAAATTATCCTCAACCTAGAAATACATAATCAAGCAAACTATCAATCAAGTGTGAGGGTAGAATATGAGAGACGTGAATACCGATGGGGATGTGATATGCAGCAGGCACTGTTCTAAATGGTTTACATGTACCAACCCAATTAAGAAACTTAAAATACACACACACACACACACACACACACACACACAGTTTTTCCTGCTAATCATTTTACGATGAAACAACCAAGCAGCTAACCCAGAGCCCACAAAGGCAGAGTAAAAATTCTAACACTTGGTAAAATAAAAATGGACATATACACCCTGTGATCTAAAAAAAAATGCTTAAATATTCAAAGACAGAGAGCAATTACAGCTACTGAGAACATCACTGTAAGCAAACTGAGGCAGAGAAAACAAAGGTGCTAATGAGGATTTGAACCACCTAACATGCAGAAACCCACTGGATGCTTTCCTAGGTTCCGAGCTGGCATTGTCTTTCAGAATGATCTAGAAGAGGTCACATGACACTGTTACAAAGGATCTGGAGAAAGGGACCCTTGCTTTATCACTCCGGCTCTCCAGTCATGCTTCACATTTTCGCTTCTTACACTCTTTCACATGAAGTCAATTTACAGACCTCCGTCATGCCCCTAGAGACCTTTTTGTAATATTCTGACAAGTTCTGGATGTCATCTCTGCACTTTTGACAAATTCTTAGCAGTTAACTTACAAGACAGTTAACATTTTTGTTCACAGTATAGCTAGAAAAGGGTCATATACTCAATAAAACAAATATTTACCAAGCATTCATTAAGTGGAAGATAAAACGCACAAAGCATAATTATAAAATATTCTCCCCTGCCATGATACAACAAAATTTTTAAAGGCTTACAGAATATAGCATAACATGACCAAAGCAAAAATAGTAAGGACTAAAGAGGGGAGGAAGGGAAAATATCAGCATGAACTGAATATGACCCAGAAGAGTCTTGATGGTCAGACATCTAAAGATGTATTGGGCAGGGTTAAGGGGTGGAAGTCAGGGGCACAGGTCAGGGGCACATTCTACAAGGGAAAAACAGCTGATACAGAAGCCTGAAAGGTAAAGTGGGCAGAGCACCTGTACAGGACTCTTACCTGCCACAGCGAGGGCACAATGCGCCTTTCCAGAACACAGCAGCGCACAGCCAGGCCTGGGGCAGAGGGATCACTCAAACAGCACCAGAGGCTGCATTCCTACTTTTCTTCCGTCAACAAGTCCATTTTCATTGTTAGTTTCTCCTTCAACACAAACTTAAAAACAAATGGCTGAACACGCAGGAACAAGGAAAACCTGACTGAAGAATGAGACGTTAAAACTTAAGGGCCTTAGGTCCTGGCACGGTGGCTCACGCCTGGAATCCCAGCATTTTGGGAGGCAGAGGTGGGTCATTTGAGGTCAGGAGTTCAAGACCAGCCTGGCCAACACGGTGAAACCCCGTCTCTACTAAAAACACAAAAGCTAGCCAGGCGTGGTGGCCAGTGCCTGTAATTTCAGCTACTCGGGAGGCTGAGGCAGGAGAATCACTTTAACCAGTGGACTGTCAAGAGAGGTAGGCTGCAGTGAACCGAGATCGCGCCACTGCACTCCAGCCTGGGCTACACAGTGAAACTCTGTCTCAAAAAAAAAAAAAAAAAGTCATGGTCATGGTAAAAAACCTATGGCTTTGGAAGGCTTTCTCGGTAACGTCCTAGAATTAAGGTTAAGCCTGTGTTTCATGTTAACTGAACAGGAAACCAGCCTGACCAACATCCTTCTGCCCGGTGGCTTGCTCTCAGCTCCTCTTCGTTGGGCCTTGGGCAGCCAGACTGTCTAGTTTTAATCCTTGCTCTGCCACCTGTGACCTTGGACAAGTTACCTACCTTCAGTTACCTCATCTACAAAATGCAGATATTAATAATACCCTCTTTTCAATTTATTCAGAGGATTAAAAGAGTTAATAAAAAGTAAAAAATAAAAAGACTTGGTAAGCATAGGCACAGAGGAAAAAAAAGTAAAAATAAATAATTAAATAAAAAGACCAGTGCCTAGCACATAAAAGTTCATCAGGAATTAATTCTATAATATGAACTCAATTTTGCAAAACTTCAAAGTACATATAACTTTTAACTTACTAGGGTATACATACCAGTAATAAATTTACAACGGTAGACATGTTTGCCTACTGTAAATATAACAAAGACTAAACAAGCAGATACTAAATCATTAAGCAATTATCAGTTAGTATCTTTAATTTTCTTATACTTCTATATTTTCTATACATCATCTTTGTAACAAGAAGAAAACAAACCAAATGAAAATGAAATGAATTCTCTCAAAAAGAATTAAGTCAAGACAGGAAGAAGGCTCGCAAAGTAATATAAAATATATCTTATGGTTTATGTAAAATTCTTAATAAAATACCTTCTTTGCTCCAAGCTGCACTCTGGCTTTGCCTTTGAGTCAGGTGGCATTTCTTTGCACGATGACTGGTTCTATTGAGTAGGCACTGCTTCAGCCCTACAGGAAGAACAAAACCTCTCTGGAACACAGCAGCATTCCTGACTCCCACTTGAGGAGGCCTAACAAAACGGCATATGCCTCAACAGCAGCACATCAGTGTTAAAAAGTCTGGAGTCAAGGGGAAAAAGTAAAATTGGACCATTTCCAGAATCTCACAAAAAGCAACAAACTGACGTTCTAAGTGCCCAACATGAGCAAATTAGAACCTTAAATAAAGGTCACTCTTAATGCCTATCCCGGCATAGATTCAGCACCAAGTACAGTGTCATTTTACTGGTTTACCTTTTTCATTCTTGAAAGTAGGAGCTATGAAAAAAAAACACTAAAATTTCTCTAAGAGAACCTTCTACTTTCTATCTAAATTACATAATCAAAACACTGTATTGAGGGTGAAAATTGAATATTATAAGAAAATAATCACGTGTTTTGCGAGAAGTTGCAAATATAATGCTCCTCCACCCAATACCTACCTTAAAAAGAAAAAAGGAAACATACAAAATTATCTCGAGAATTATTCCTGCTTAAACAATGTCTACGTGCCATTACTAAGTATGCACACAGTAAAGATGAGAAGAGGACATGCAAGCGTGAACATACTTGTTAGGGATATAGGACTATGGGTAATTTAAACATTTTAATGGTATTACTCTCATGTAATTGCTCTGAAATTCTAGTCAGTTGTTTGAAATGGCTCTTAGAACAGAATACTTTGACATTTTTATGATGTCAAAAACTAAGAACTTAGCCCTAAATATTCCAAAGAATAGGTGCAGAAGAACCCGTTTCCTTAAACGGCATTTGAGTATTCTTCACAACTCAAACTTTCTCTCCCATCCTGTGATGGCCGAGAGTTTTTCCTCTGACGACGGCACTGACCTTACCCTATCCAAAATATGAACATCTGCATGGTTTCCTGGTTCAAATTGTTTTTATCCATTCTGTCGTGAGAATCAAATGGTTCAGACCATGCAGCACCTCTCTGGGACTTCTCAAGTCCTTTCTAGATCTGAAGACTATTCTCTGAACCAAAGACAACTTCTGGGGGTGTACCAAATCTCCCTTTAGAAAATTATTAAGATCAAGATGTTTTAACCTTTTAACTCTTTCTCAAACAAAATAAATTCGTTTCTCCTTTACTGTTATTTTAAATTTCAAAATACACAGATAGTATGTCTAAAATAAAATCAAGAGAATGACAGTTTTAGAACACAAACTGTGGTAATTTTGAAAACACAAAAGCTAAGACCACTAATTAGGTCTATGTGGACACCAAGTCCACCACAACCTGTTCTGTCCTCCGGGGCTCTGCCCACGCCTTTCCCTTGCCTGAGATTCCTTCTGCTTCCTACCCTTCCAAATGCTGTATTTCCCCCTGGAAGACTTGCCAAGACCACTCTAACCTGCACATCTCCCATTCCAGCTAACCAAAGGCATCCCTGGGTTGACTAAACCAAATTATTTTGCAGACAAGGCATCTAAAAACTTCCACTGTAGACTATTCACCTTAATAATTGTTATTGTGACATTATTCAATAATAAAATGAGGGAAAGAAGTCCTCTTCAATCCCTTATCCTGGAGAATCCAAGCAAGTATCTTTCCCACTTGCTTTGCCCAAACCCTGGGACCTTTCTAAGTAAAAGTTTAATGGAAGGGAAAGAAAATCTAAAAGAAAAACTCTCCAAAAAATTAAACTCGGGCAAAGAATCATGGGATTAAAAATTTTTATTCTTTGTGTATTTGATTTCCGAAACATAGAAATCTCTCTCCCACTCCTTAAACCTGCCACTGGGCTAAGAGAGTATTGTACAGAATATGCACTCACTGACTTAACAGAATTAGAACATCCAGGCACTCACTGAGATTTTGCTGCCACAACCGCTCAAAGTCTAGTCATTAGTTCATGAGTTAACACCACACTTGATCTTCAAATTTTCGAAATGCTGACGGTAGACAGGGACTTGTTTTGGGAAAGGAAGTACACAGTAGACATTGTTACCCATGACCCAACCACCACCACCTTTCCTTTAAAGAACCCCACTCTTCCTTTAAGGTTGCAGAGTCTCAGAAAGTGGGAAGAAAGGAAGTTTTTGCATTTTCAGGTCAAAACGAAGTACATTTGTGCAACCACATAATGCCCATGCAAAGGTCTGTTGAAATCTAAACACAAGACAGAAGTAGTTCTAGCACCTCCACAAAAAGTAGGGTAAGTAAACTTTTCCTTAATATACACTTTCAGCAGCATCAACACCTAAAAGTGGTTGACTTTACTACTGTACTAAATTAAATTACATTCATTTTGTCAATAGGTGTTCCAAATTCATACTGATCTTTGTCTCCAAGGGGTTCCTGCTGAATATTGAGACAGTTGAAGATTACTAGGGGAAAAAATTCTTAATAATCGAAGTAAGGATCATCTAAGGATAATATGCCACATATACAGACACAGTCACATTTTCAGCTTTACAAAAGTTCAGTTATCAAAGTTGTACAGCAAACACTATCCTAAGCTTAGCGTCTTCAGGCATTTGATTTATAATCACTGTAAAGAAAAATCAGTCACAAAATGCCACTTTTGTATGATTCTATTTATATGAAATGCCCAGGATAGGCAAATCTACAGAGATAGAAGTTAGATCAGAGGTTGCCAGGATCAATGGTGGGGGAGAGAGGTACAGGGAGTGACTGCTAGTGGGTACGGGGTTCTTTTTGGGGAGATGAAAATGTTCTGAAATTAGGGAGTGGTAATGGCTGCATAACTCTGAATATACTAAAAACCACTGAACTGTACACTTGAAGGGTGAGGCTTATCATACAAAAACTGTATCACAATAAAGCTCTTAGTTTAAAAAATGTTTGTCTATGTCAAGAAACAAAGAAATAGGGTCATAGCTAGAAGATATGGGATATAAAATACTGGAACAAAACTGCTTAATAATATATCTAGAATCACACAATGGTTAGTCTGTACGCTGACTAAAATCGCGAGATTTGTGTTTTATCGGTATTTCACATTTTTTACTTCTTCTAAGTCAGCCAGTAATTCCTCCTTCTCACCTAAGCATTGACTACAAAGACCAAGCCATTTTGACTCTGCCGCCAATGAGCTTTCACATTTCTTTCCTCCTTCCATTCCCATGACTACCAAACCAGTGTAGGTTCTCCTCACTTCACTCTAAGACAACAGCGTGGCCCTCAAATACTGTCACACTCTTCAAGGCTCTGTGAGCACAATCTGTCTCATATTCTCTTCTGCTGTCACCAGATTTATTCTAAGACCGTTTCTTCACTGTTACTCCCCTGTTTCTCAACCAGTTACACAGAAAGATGAATATCCAGGCATGGTGTCATGTGCCTGTAGTCCCAGCTACTCAGGAGGCTGAGGCGGCAGGATCGCTTGAGAATGTGAGATTCAGACTGCAGTGAGCCATGATCATGCCACCGCACTCCAGCCTGGGCAACAGAGTGAGATTGTCTCAATAAATAAATAAATAAATAAATAAATAAATAAATGTGGTCTATCCATGCAACGGAATACTATAAAATTATCAGCCTTAAAAAAGAAAGAAGCCCTGTCACATGCTGCAATATAGATGAACCTTGAAAACATTACACTAATTGAAATCAGCCCATCACACAAAGACAAATGCTGTACGATTTCTCTTACATTAGGTTTGAAATTAGTCAAACTCATAGAAACAGAAAATAGAGCGGTTGTTTCCATAAGCCAGGGGATAGAGAAATGGGGAGTTGTTGTATAGTGGCTATAGTTTCAGTTCTCCAAGAGAAGCAAGTTCTAGAAACTCGTTACTCAACATGTATATTTTTAACACTACTGCACTGTATACTTACAAGTGGTTAATATGGTAAATTTTATGTTGTGCCTTATCACCATAATGTTTTTAAAAGAAGGGGTTTGTGTTTCCCTTCGTTGTGATCACCCATTTTTCACTTCAGCATTTTGAACTTGAGATTTCCTGTAGCGGTTTTACTGAGCCCTGCAGTTACCGGCTCAGAATGTCTCCACCACCTTGTAACCTTGTAGGCAGACACTTTTCAGCATCTTATTGGGCTCCGTGTGCTTGATGCTTAAAGTGACATGGAGACATGCCACTTGCTGAGAAGCAAAGAAAGGCAAAAGGTGACTGCTTTCCTGGCATCGATGAAGGCAGAGAGAAGGGATCTTGGAGGCACAGATATTAAGCCATAAGCAATAACATGGGTTGCCAAAAAGAGAACTAACCCCTCTCCTGGTAACATTTCCAGGTGTTTTTCACAGGGCCAGTGGATTTCACAACGCGAGTGCTGTCCAGCACCAAAGGGAATGGCCAACAGGCATGGAGCAGCCTGCAGCATCCAGCACCCAGGAGGATGACCGGCATGCATGGAGCAGCCTACAGCGTCCAGCACTCAGTAGGATGGCCAGGAGGCATGGAGCAGCCTGCCTGTCCCAGGAAAGCAGGAGTCACAGGACACAACTGGACCCAGGTAGGCATGTATGTTAGTTTCCTGTGGCTGTTAGAGCAAATTACCAAAAATTTGGTGACTTAAAACAACAGAAATTTATTTTCTCACAGTTTTGGATATCAGGAGTCCAAAATCAGTATCACTGGGCTGAAATCTAGGTATCAGCAGAGCCAGTGCTCTCAGAGGCTGAGGGGAAAATCCATCCTTTGACTTTCGCAGCTTCTGATGGCTGCTGGCATTCATTGTCTTGCAGCTCCACCACTCCAGGCTCTGCCTCCTTGGTCACAGGGCCTCCTTCTCTTCTGTCTGAAGTTAAATCTCCTTTATCTCCCTCTTATAAGGATATATGTGCCAGGATTTAATGCCCACGGAGACAATCCAGGATAATCTCTCCTCAAGATCCTTAACTTAATCATACCTGAAAATATGCTTTTTCCAAATGAGGTAACATCTACAGGTTCTAGGAATTAGGACTTAATTATTAGCTCCCACTTATAAGTGAGAACATGCAGTATTTGGTTTTCTGTCTCTGTGTTAGTTTCCTGAGGATTATGGCCTCCAACTGCATCCATGTTGCTGAAAAGGACATGATTTTGTTCCTTTTTATAGCTTCATAGTATTCCATGATATATATGTCCCACATTTTCTTAAAAAGAGATTTATTATGGGGTCATGGCTTACATTATTATGAAGGCAAAGAATGTGCCATCTGGAAGCTGGAACACTCAGAAAAATTGGTGATTTAATTCTGTCCAAGTCAGAAGGCCTGAGAACCAGGAGAGCTGATGGTGTACATCCCAGTCCCAGGACAGAAGATGAGATGTCCCAGCACAAGCAAAGAGGCAGAAAGAAAGGGGGCAAATTTCCCCTTCCTCCCTTTGTTCTACTCAAGCCCTCACCAGGTTGGATGATGTCCATCTCCATGGGGCCATCTACGTTACTGAATTCACTGACTCAAAAGCTAAAGTCACCTGGAAACACTCACAAACACACCCAGAAACAATGTTTAATCCGAGCACCCTGTGGCCCAGTCAAGATGGCACATAAAATTTACCCTCACAGTGTAATCCCAGGAGCGAGGCAGATCGCTTGAGACTGGGAGTTCCAGACCTGCCTGGGCAACATGGTGAAACCTGTTTTTTTGTTGTTGTTTGTTTGTTTTTCAGATAGAGTTTCGCTCTTGGTGCCCAGGCTGGAGTGCAATGACGGCTCACCGCAACCTCCACCTCCCGGTTTTAAGTGATCCTCCCGCCTCAGCCTCCCAAGTGGCTGGGATTGCAGGAGTGAGCCACCATGCCTGGCTAATTTTTTTTTTTTTTTTTGGTGGAGACAGTTTTCTCCATATTGGTCAGGCTAGTCTCAAACTCCCGACCTCAGGTTATCCACCCACCTCAGCCTCCCGGGGGTGCTGGGATTGCAGGCGTCAGCCGCCGTGCCCGGCGCAATTTATTAATCAGAAAGGAATAGATCGGCCTGGCGTGGTGGCTCACCCTTGTGATCCCAGGATTTTGGACGGCCGAGCGCAGCGGATCACTTGAGCCTAGGAGTTCCAGACCAGCCTGGACAACATGGTGAAACATGGTCTTTTTTTTTTTTTTTTTTTTTTTTTTTTGAGTGGAGTTTCGCTCTTGTTTTCCAGGCTGGAGTGCAGTGGCACGGTCTCGACTCACCGCGGCCTCCACCTCCCGGTTAGGTGGTTCTCCTGCCTAAGCCTCCTGAGTGGCTGGGATTGCAGGCATGAGCCACCATGCCAGCTAATTTTGGTGTTTTTTTTTTTTGTACAGACGGGGTTTCTCCGTGTTGGTCGGGCTGATCTCAAGCACCTGACCTTGGGTGATCCACCTGCCTCCACCTCCCTGGGTGCTGGGATTGCAGGCGTGAGCCACCATGCCCGGCTTTTTTTTTTTTTTTTTTTAAGAGACGGGGTTTCTCACTTTTGGTCAGGCTGGTCTCAAACTGTGGACCTCAGGTGATTCGCCCGCCTCGCCTCCCGGGGTGCTGGGATTGCAGGCGTGAGCCACCACACCCAGTCCAATTTATTAATCAGAAAGGAATAGATCGGCCTGGCGTGGTAGCTCATGCTTGTGATCCCAGTACTTTGGACGGCCGAGAGCAGCGATCGATTGAGCCTAGGACTTCCAGACCGGCCTGGGCAACGTGGTGAAACACTGTCTTTTTTTTTTTTTTTTTTTTTTTTTTTAGTGGAGTTTTGCTCGTTTTCCAGGCTGGAGTGCAGTGGCGTGGTCTCGACTCACCGCGGCCTCCACCTCCTGGGTTTAGGTGGTTCTCCTGCCTCAGCCTCCTGAGTGGTTGGGATTGCAGGCATAAGCCACCATGCCAGCTAATTTTGGTTTTATTTTTTTGGTACAGACGGGGTTTCTCCGTGTTGGTTGGGCTGATCTCGAGCTCCTGACCTCGGGTGATCCGCCCGCCTCCGCCTCCCTGGGTGCTGGGATTGCAGGCATGAGCCACCGCGCCCCCGGTCCAATTTAGTAACCAGAAAGGAATAGATCGGCCTGGCGTGGTGCCTCCCCCTTGTGATCCCAGGACTTTGGAAGGCAGAGTGCGGCAGATCGCTTGAGCCTAGGAGTTCCAGACCGCCTGGGCAACATGGTGAAACCCGGTCTCTGTTTTGAGACGGAGTTTCACTCTTGTTGTCCAGGCTGGAGTGCAATGGTGTGATCTTTGCTCACCGCAACCTCGGCCTCCCGGATTTAGGTGATTCTCCTGCATAGGCCTCCCTAGTAGCTGGGATTACAGGCATGAGACACCATATCCGGCTAATTTTGTAGATTTTTTTTTTTTTTTTTTTTTTTTTTTAGTAGAGACGGGATTTCTTCATGTTTGTCAGGCTGGTCTCCGACCTCGGGTGATCCGCCCACCTCTGCCTTCCAAAGTGCTGGGATTGCAGGCCTGAGCCACTGCGCCCGGCGGAAACCCAGAACAGAAAAACAAAACAAAAACCACAAAGATTAGCCGGGTGTGGTGGGCCGCGCAGGTAGTCCCAGCTACTCTGAAGGCTGATGGAGGAGGATTGCTTCACCCCAGCTTCTAGGTGGCAGTGAGCTATGATGGCGCTGCTGCACTCCAGACTGGGCGACAGAGCGGGACTCTGTGGCAGGAAAAGGGAAAGGAAAAAAAAAGAAAAAGAATGTAAATAAAATTGCTAACTCAAGGAACAGCTTGACAGTATATTATTGCGACAAATAGAGGCAAAGGTTAGCAGACACCAGTGTTCACTTAGTGGGAACTGCAGGTGTTCCCCCCATAGGAGGCTGCTACTTTCCCACAAGAAATCCATTACTGACTACCGATAAAAGAACACATTGTAGGTTTCTTACAATATATAAATAGCTAAACTTTATATAGCCACGACCATATTCTAGCACTGCTCTAAGCCTTTTCCTGCTCTGAAATAGCTACTATTGTTACCTCCATTGTAGAGAAAACAGGTGCCGGAGGCTGTTGTGGAAGGACCAGAGAAACTGACTATGAAATTGACTTGTTGTAAGTTTCAGACTTAAAAGTTCTTCCTGCTCTGCTCCTTCCATTGCCACATTTTAGTTAAGGTACCTCTTACAATACTGGTCCTTTCTGTATTTGGAGGGACTTCTCTTGCAAATTGAAGTTTTTTCTTGCGCTAAGCATTTGGTCATGAGATTATCTGCGTTTTACATCAGTTTAAGTACCTCTTTAGACATTGTTCAGTTAGGAATGTAAATAGGAGCTAACATTGTGTGTAAAAGGAAAGAACATCTGATTACAACCACTTTTGTTTCATAATACAAATATAAATCAATATGTTATTGGAAATGCAGGCTGGGAGGGGAGGGAAAATATGCATACAGAAAAGCCCCATCTCTGCTTGGAGTTCAGCACTGGGTCTCTTTTTCCTTTCCACCTTCCTTGTCAAGGCTGCCACAGTGACAAGCACACAGAGGTGCCTTCAGTGACACCTGCTGGGACAGACCTGGCAGAACGGATTGCAGATTTGCATGTTTCCTGGCTGCCTCTGCTAGCCTGAGTCAGCAGCCCACTCCAATTCATGCTGAGCTTAGACAGCTCAGGTTTGCAAAATTATCCCTTCCCTTGGAGCAACCGCTTTCCAGTCTCCTCATCATTCCTAAAGGAGAATGATATACATGCCAGCATGACAGAGGTCCAGAAATTTATAGAAGCTTCACTGTGAGCCTATATCCTTAACAGGGGCTCAAACTACCAACACCGAATGAAGAGAGAGGTTTTGCAGTAAAGCAGGAAGTCATTAAAATAATGAATCACCCAGCTAGGTTTTGAGCTCCTTTTCCACCAATTTAATGGAAAGTTTTATTGTCTTTCCAATGTACACTTTCATAAATTTTCCATAAATTTATTATTCACATCTTAACATAGGTAACTCCTTTGTGTTTGATCACTGAGCAAATTATACGCAGCAAAACAATCCTATATTTTGGTGAACTCATAGCTTAGAAAATACTAAAGACTCATTGTAAGCTGAGGGCAGCATTAAGCAAATTATATTTACCTTTGTGACTGCAAAACTTAATGATTCAATGCTTTTCCCATGAAATTTATCTTCCAATACTGATAGTTTTTTAAACAAAAAATATGAATTAAATATCAATTAAAATTTTATCATTGTTTTCAGAAACTGTGACTTCACTAGTTATGAACAGACTTGAAATGTATAGTTTTTAAGTTTGGAAATTCTTTGTAGTTTCATTTACTTTTCCAGGAAGGGAGTGAGATATTTTTTGCCACTGTTGCCTGGTTTTTGTTTGGTTTTTGATCATAAACAAAACTTAATGGAGCCTCAAATCTACTAACTCGGTCCTCCTCTGGCAATATGCCTTTTTCTGATTTCTAGATATCACTTGATATTTTTAACACACTAATTTTATTATTTAAAAATTTATAAAAGTACTCAGAAGTAAGAAGCAAATTAAATTTGAAACCTTAGTAGTAATACCATCATCCAAAGTCATCATCAATAATATTTTGGCATATTTTATTTTAAAATACATTTCAGCACAGTTTAGTTACATTTGTTATATCTGTATCAATAAACTGTTTTCATATGTCATTACTTTTATGGATATAATTTTTGACGTGTGACTAATACTAAATCTTACATACTTGCTGTAGTTGACCTTGTGAGACATTTAGATTTTCAACTGTTTAGTACTTTAATAACCAGTTTTTATTCTAATATCATTATTAGAATAATAATATTACTATAGTATTATTATTATTATTGTAGCAATAACTTGTTTTTAGAATAAATATCCTATTTCTCATTTAACTTGATTGGATCCGTGCACGGACAATTATGTTGGGAACATAGAATGTAACTGGCCCTGTTTCAACCCCTTAGATGTGGCCCTCAGTTTAGGGAAGGGAGGAGTTCTCTACTGGGCTGATAAAGCAGAATTCAGAAACATTGTTTTCTTCTTTACCTGGTGTTTTACAAAACCAGATGTGAGTGTGACTTGTAAAGGCAAGAGCATGTATATTATGCAAAAGCAGCCTGAAATATTTTATTCACAGATAGACAGACAATGCTTGACTCCCTGCTAATCTGAAATACTTCATGGGGAGGGCCAGGGAAATCAAAACAAAATTTCAGAAGTAGAATGAGCTATTTGGTGTATGTCTCCAAGGCCAATAAATAACAAGAAGGAAAAATAAATTTCTTTGCTAACAACAAGAAGGAGAAATAAACTTTTTTGCTCTAAAACATTTTCCAATTATCTCCATGACACTGGAGGGAAGGACTAACAAAAAAAAAAAAAGAAAGAAAGAAAAAAAAAAGAAAAGGAAAAAAAAAGGTGGGGCATGGTAGCTCATGCCTGTAATCCCAGCACTTTGGAAGGCCAAGGCAGGTGGATCACAGGGTCAGGAGGTTGAGACCATCCTGGCCATCCTGGCTAACACGGTGAAACCCCGTCTCTACTAAAAATACAAAAAATTTGCCAGGCGTGGTGGCGCCCGCCTGTAGTCCCAGCTACTTGGGAGGCTGAGGCAGGAGGATGGTGTGAACCCAGAAGATGGAGTTTGCAGTGAGCCGAGATCCCGCCACTGCACTCTAGCCTTGGCTACAAAGCGAGACTCTGTCTCCAAAAAAAAAAAAAAAAGTTCCCAATGCACAAATCAATCAAGAATTTCACCCCCAACAGTGAAAAAAATTGTGAAAGCAGTCAGGTTTTAGTCACTGTAAATTACAATTTCAATTCCACCCATCCAAAGAAAGCTATGTACATCCTTCTCATTCCAAATACATACAGGCCATGAGTTAATAATCTTTCATTCTTCTAAAATATCAACAGATTTGCTTTTTTACTTTCATTTGTAGTTTATAGCACTCACAATTAAATTGATCCAAATGTATTTGAGGTACTATATATATACATATATATATATATATATATATATATATATATATATATGGATCAAAGGTCAATGCTATTGTCTATGCATTAGCCACTCCCATTTATGAGAATTTTCTGAACTTGTTGCTATATATCTCTTAAATGGTGTCCGTTGGCCACATTTCTTTCCTGAGAAACAACTGAGCAGCTGACAATGGAAATGAAGCTCTCTGCATTCCTGTTAGGCATACTGCATACATCTTAGGCTCTCTGCATGCCTCTTAGGCACTTACATTTACATATATTTGTATCTCATTACATAGTGATACAGTCCTAAAATAAATAATGAGTTATTTTCTAGACTAATTTGATGAGGCTTTTATTTGATAACAAATTAAAATTATGCCACCAGATGCCTATACTTTGACTTATAAAATGTGTTGTGTTCTGCATGGGCAAACAGAAAGTGCAGAAATTGAACGGCTGCCTGGTAAAATTACCTAAATCCACAATGCCACTGGACAACATTGAACTAGATATTTAAATAAGTGAAAGTAATCAAGTAGTTGAGTTCACTGATAAAATTATACTTGGAATCTTACATCATTCCCAGATTAATATATACAATGTATATCAAATGTCATTGCTATGGGAATGGAAACTGTTACACATGAGGTTAAATTTTTATAAAGAATTTTTTTTCCTCTAGAACTGACATTGAGAAACTTGATACCCTCTCTTTATGGCATGTCTTAAGAAAATGTCAACCCAATGTCAAAGGATAATTAATTTTTTTAAAGAAAAGAAAAATAATGGTTCTCATACAAATGTAAAATGAATATATGTTCATGATTTTATTTAACTGATTAATAAATAAGAGTGCCACAGGATGTTTTAACTGGTTCAAAGGAGAATACAAAGAGAATATATAGGCAGACATTCATGCTGAAATGAATTTGCTTAATAAAGGCAAAACTAGCCAATATCCATAGGGTGATGGTCAAATATATCTACACTGGATAATTTGCATTTTCATGGACAGGAATTATTTGCAATTTACACAGTTGTGAAATAGGTAAAACAAACAAAAAGTGAAAGGTTCAGAAACCCCATACAATCAGCTAAACTAACATTTAGTTTTCCATTGAAAATATTTAGCAATTTTTTGAGACAATTTCAAAGTTTTTCTTAATTTTTCTCTGCTCTAAACAAGTATATAAATTATTTCCAATGAAAATTAGAGCTTTTTCTTTGTTGAATTAGTGTTTTGAAAAATTTATGGAAGGAGACGGAACATAAAAGCAGTTGCCAAGTTTATCAATTAAGTTGGTACGATTACAAATCCCAATTGAGAAATATTTTTAAGTATATTTTTCTTTCCAAGACAAATAGACATTTAAACAGTCCTAATGTTCATATCCTTTATGTTACATATATATGTATAGATGTGTAAGTATATGTATATCTACATGTATATAAAAAGACACAAACTCACATAGTTATTTCAGAGAATTATTTATGGAAATGTGTTGGGTTTTCTTTTTGTGAAGCTATGTTATCAAGAAGTTATTCTTAGTTTTACAGAAAATAAAACAGCTCTGGCTCTTTGTATCATAAGATAAATATCTGTTTATAAATATCAGTATTTTCTAATACTTCTAATGTACTCTTTTGGAGGTAATGGTATATGAAACCCTATAAGAGCAATTCTACTTCATTAATTAATTCGGAAGAAACACAAGTTTTTAAGACCCAGTGTATGCCAATAATTGACAAAGTCATTAAGGTAGACAAAGATGGGTAGAGCCTGGGCTTTGGCTATGAATGTTAGAAAATGAATCACTGAAAGTAAAACATGTTTAAAAGATTAAAATAACAAAAAATGGTTTGAAATTAATTTCAGTTATTGGCCATCAATTGGTTAGAATGAGTAATTAAGAATGAGTCGAAGCTTTTTTCTCTTCATTTATGTCAAATATGTCATAAAAATAGTCAATTTTAGATTATTATAAGTCAATTATGTCAAAATGGTTGAATGACATGTCATTGAAATTAATCTTTAGCTTGTAATGCTATCATTTCAGTTTTAATTAATATTGGGGCCAAAATGTTCATTAGATACTGTTTTTAATGATCAGTTTTTATGCAAATGATTTATATAAGTCAGAACTTCAATTCAATGTTTGGTAGCTGTTTGATTTTTAGGACATTATATATTGAAATGTACACTGATTATCCTAAAGTTGTAAATATTTAAGAAACTTTACAGCAAAAAGTCTAAAATAAAGATATATTTATATTATTTCCAAAACAGAAAATTTAAATTGATTCCCTAGTCAAAGAAACTGTTTGTAAATAAAATGTAACAAACTATATATTCCTTGGCCCCCAGACAGTTTAAAGTCACTTTTCCTTTTTATATACATGTTCTAATATTATAAACAGTGAGCTCAGGAATACCCTAATTTGTCTTTTGTATATTTTCAGCAGATTGTGCTGTTTCAAATTATATTATTTTACTCCAATTCTTTTGTTTACATATTGCTTTTTTTGCTAGCGTTTTTCATATTTTAAAATATATTACTATATTGTATATAGTAATATTGTGTTTCTCTTTCTTCATGTTTTATTTTGTTCCATAACCTTTGGCTTGTCCTTTTTATTCCATATTCCCATTTGTAGATGTAGTTTTCAAAGGTGCTTATTTACACAAACTTAAGACTCTTGGGCCAGGCGTGGTGGCTCACACCTGTAACCCCAGCACTGTGGGAGGCCAAGACGGGCGGATCACAAGATCAGGAGATTTGAGACCATCCTGGCTAACATGGTGGAACCCCGTCTCTACTAAAAATACAAAAAAAAAAATTAGCCGGGCATGGTGGCGGACGCCTGCAGTCCCAGCTACTAGGGAGGCTGATGCAGGAGAATGGCGTGAACCCGAGAGGCGGAGCTTGCAGTGAGCCGAGATCGCGCCATTGCACTCCAGCCTGGGCGACAAAGCGAGACTCCGTCTCAAAAAAAACAAAAAAACAAAAAACTTTTGAACCAAAATATTCTGAATGAGATCAAAGTCAAAGCTCAAACGTTTCTTAAAAATGAGGTTTTTCTGAGTTGGGAACCAGAGTCATCTATTGCCCAATGCAGTAGGCATTGAGAATAGAACTTGCGACAACTCTCTGTGCATTAACAATAGAAAAAATGGGATAAGATAGAGGCAAGGAACATACATTCACGGAGCAAGAGGAAACACTGAAGAACTAATAGAAATTGGGCTTATTAAAATAAACTTACCAAGGTATGGTACCAATTCTCCTTTTTTTGTTCAGTCCATAATAGAGTTCTTAATGCTTTCAAATTTTTTCTTATAATAGTTTTCCTAAATATATTTCATTTATTTATTTGTTTGTTTGTTTTTTACATGGTGTCTTGCTTCATCGCCCAGGCTGGAGTGCAGTGGTGCGATCTCGGCCTACTGCAACCTCCGCCTTGTGGGTTCAAGCAATTCTCCTGTCTCACCCTCCTGAGTAGCTGGGACTACAGGTGCCCGCCACCACACCTGGCTAATTTTTGTATTTTTAGTAGAGACGGTATTTCACCTTGTTGGTCAGGCTGGTCTTAAACTCCTGACCTCAGGTGATCCACCCGATTCGGCCTCCCAAAGTGATGGTATTACAGGTGTGAGTCACTGCGCCCGGCCCTAAATCTATTATTTAAAAATCCACCTATACAATTGGTATTCACAGAAATTGCCCATATATGTTATTATTTTATTCTCATAACTCTCTATGCCAAGTATAGATACATTATTGATGTGGAAAATTAGATCACAGAGATAAAGTGACTTTCCCAAGGTCAGTGCAGAAAGGGAAAGGTGAAAATTTGAACTTGTACCTGAAGAGTAAGAGCAAAGGGGTTAAGGAGTTACTCATATATCTTTGTGCTTCAGAGGTCCTTACTGAGAGTTTTAATCCAAATGGTTTGGTAAATCTGGGGCAACAGCTATAACATGGCTTATGTGATGCTTAGTGTTTTGGAACCATCAAGATCTTTGCAATGGCATCACCGATAACAACCCCATCATCTTGTAAAACATGGACATGTTGGGAAATAATGTTTTAGTTCAGTCATTGAACTGACCCAAACTTCTGTGTTCATATTTTTATAGACCTCATGATTGTTAAGATATAAAGAAGCATCAGAAGTTTTGTTTTTGTTTTTAATTACAAAGGAGTTAGGATATTCCTAACATCCAAAGTGAATTAAAATAATTCACTTTGATGTGAGAAAGAGCTTCTTGTCTTAGGGACACTGGTGAGGTGAATTCACAACTATGGGTTGTTTTAATTGAATTACATCCTCAGAGGTTTAGTTTTGAGCTCTGAATCTACAATCTGTATTTTGCAAGTAATCAATGGTATTTATTTAAGTTCTCTTGGTAAAGATAATGTGAATAGGGAAATCTGCTTATTTCTAGCATAAAATTGTTTATTAAGCAAAATAATAGCACTGCAAATTAACTAGTAAAATGAAATCTTTAACTTTCACACCTTCATTTGATATTTACTGAATATTTTGGGGACTAGCTTATATGTAATTTAGCTCAACTTTTGTTTAAAATAGGAAACTGAACTTTGAAAATAAGTACTTTTAAAAATATTTTAGAATGCAAAATAGTTTTCATGGAAACTTTCATGGAATAATATTCTTTATATTTTAGAATCAAGGTATGTTCCTACTTGGTATTTAATCAAGGAAATACCTAAATCAAGAACAATTCCAAATGGCTGTTTATTAAGTGTGATGGTTTACTAATGTCAACAAAAGTGAAAAAAATCATATTGAAGTATAAATAGTAATCTTGTTTAACATATTTATAAATACATTTTTGTACATATTTGTGTTTTGTACCTATTTATATAAAAAACAAATATTATTATCTTTTGTACAAATATTTTTAAGATCTGGCACTTTTTTAGCACCCCAGAAAAATATTTTTCAGGCTCTCAGCTGATGCTGAGAAAAAGAAGTCAGTCTCACATGTTACCATAGATTAATATTGCCTATCTTTGTCTTCATATAAATGGAAGCATATGGTATTTATTTTTTTCTGGCTTATTTCACTCAAAATTACATTTGTGAAATCTGTTTATGTTATGGACCAGTGATTCATTCCTTTTTGTTTTGTGTAGCACCCTGTTGAATGAATATGGAGCTTTCCAATCCATTCTAGCCTGATGAACATCCAGGTGTTTCTGTTGAAACTGCTAGTCATAAATTATGTGTTTAAATGTAGTAGATAATGATAATTATTTTTCCAAAATGATTGTATCAACTTAATAACTCATTCAAATATGTGAAGACCTCCTAACAATCTAAAAAGATGGACCTCCAATTTCAAATAATAAATAAAAAGAGTAAGTACTTGAACAGGCAGTATATGCACATTTTTTAAAATAAAAGATTGAGTTAAATTTTGTAAAATGTAGGCCGGGCGTGGTGGCTCACGCCTGTAATCCCAGCACTTTGGGAGGCAGAGACGAGCAGATCACGAGGTCAGGAGATCGAGACCATCCTGGCTAACACTGTGAAACCCCGTCTCTACTAAAAATACAAAAAATTAGCCGGGCGTGGTGGCGGGCACCTGTAGTCCCAGCTACTTGGGAGGCTGAAACAGGAGAATGGCATGAACCCAGGAGGCAGAGCTTGCAGTGAGCTGAGATTGCGCCACTGCACTCCAGCCTGGGCAACAGAGCGAGACTCCGTCTCAAAAAAAAAAAAAAAAAGAAATGTTAAGTAAGAATCTCATTTGAGCTACATGTGTGAAAATATGTCTTTTACATTATTATATAACACAGATTTTGGATATGACGAGTGCTGAACTGAGGCTTTTCACTTGATATGCATTACAAATTAGAATTTTTCACTCACAAAACATGCTTATGACAATTTTATATGTGAATAGAATTGTAAAAATTGCCTTAAGAGTTATTGAATAAAATGTTTAAAGTACCCCATAGGATGAGGAAAAAATGGAAGAGTTAATTTAACAAGGATACAAAGCGTAAAAGATAGAGAAGAATAAGAGTTCAAATAAAATCGAATGAAAAGACACCATCTTGTGTAACTCTGTAGTTAATTGTGCATGTGTGCTATTTTTCATGACTTGGAGCACGTTATTTTTGGCCAAGAGCTTCCATTCTATCTATGGATATGCCAAAATTTTCCTATTTTAGATCTTCTAGTCTCCAACTCTCAAGATAAAAAACAAAAATCATTAAAACCTCTGACTGATATTGAATGCCTGCATAAAAATCTCCTCCCATCACCTTGCAACAGATGACTTGCTCATACACCTTTTTGACTACCACTCCCCATCAAGGGTTCTCTCCTTCGAGACGGCAGTAATTCTCTATGTATTTCATGTTATGTGCAAACTTTACTTTCAAAGAGTTGTTACCTATATTAATGTATTTACATCATTCACTTAATATATTTTCTCTATCAGTAAAATTGGTTTAGATATATTGGATTAGGATAGAACACGTCACAATTTTTCTCACCTTTATGATTTTTTTTTTTTAGTTGGACCCTTTTTCAGTTGGTGACAGTGTCAGAAATGAATTAAAGTTGTTAAGAATAGGTAAGGGTAAAGAGAAGGGTGTCCTTATGTATCAACTTTGCTTATTTAGTTTTTTCAAGTTCAGTAAGACCCTCCTCTCCCTTCAAGGAAGATGATTCCTAGGCACGTTTGTTATTTCTATCAAAACAGCTGAGGTTTTTTTTTTTCATTCATATTGTTAAAATACCAATTGTGGAGCGAAAAATGCTTCACCTGGGACTGTCCCCTGACAGGCGGTGCGACGAGGTCAGGCCCGCGCCCGCCAAGCCCTAGGGCCGCTGCCGCCGACGGCCATGGAGGACGAGCAGCCCGACAGCCTGGAGGGCTGGGCGCCGCTCCGGGAGGGCCTCTTCGCCGATCCCCAGAGGCACCGGTTGCGCTTCCTGGTGGCTTGGAACGGCGCGGAGGGCAAGTTTGCTGTGACTTGTCACGACCGCACCGCGCAGCAGCCGCAGCGGCGCGAGGGGGCCCGGCTGGGGCTGGAGCACAAGCCCGAGGCCGCCGTGTCCCCGCCCAGCTGGGCCGGCCGGCTCTCGGCCGCGGGGTTCCGCGGCGCGCGCCGGCAGCCAGCGGCGCTGTGGCCGCCTCTGGAACACTGCTTCCCACGGCTGCCGCCGGAGCTGGACGTGGGCGGCGGCGGGGCCTGAGGTCTGGGGCTCGGGCGGTGGGCGCTGCTCTGGCCGGCGCGCGTGGGCCCCGGCGAGGCGGCGCTGCAGGAGCTTTGCGGGCAGCTGGAGCGCTACCTGGGCGCGGCGGCCCACGGCTGTGGCGGCGCCACCGTGCGCGACGCTCTCTTCGCGGCTAAGGGCCGCGCGGCCGACTGCGAGAGCCCGCGCGAGTTTCGGGAGCGGGCCCTGCGCGCCTGATGGGTCGAGGCGGACGCGCGGCTGCGTCAGGTAAGCGAGGCCGGGCCGCCGGCGTTTGACCGCGCTTGGGTGGCCTGGGACCCTGTGGGAGGCTTCCCCGGCGCCGAGAGCCCTGGCTGACGGCTGATGGGGAGGAGCCGGCGGGCGGAGAAGGCCACGGGCTCCCCAGTACCCTCACCTGCGCGGGATCGCTGCGGGAAACCAGGGGGAGCTTCGGCAGGGCCTGCAGAGAGGACAAGCGAAGTTAAGAGCCTAGTGTACTTGCCGCTGGGAGCTGGGCTAGGCCCCCAACCTTTGCCCTGAAGATGCTGGCAGAGCAGGATGTTGTAACGGGAAATGTCAGAAATACTGCAAGCAAACTGAAAACAACCCATCCATGTAGGAAAGAATAACACGGACTACACGTAAACAATTCTAAGTCTGTGTCTGCGGGGACGTCGCAAGTGGGATAAAATGGTTTAAAGGAAGAAATGGCTTTTAGGAGTTAGGGTGTTTTGTTTTAAGTAATACAGACTTGGTCAAATGGAAAGCCGGTAGAAAGTGAGCTTTATTCATCAGTTTAACCGCATTAGTGCCCTTTTAAGCTTGAAAGAGGTAGTTTGAGAGAGTAATTGAGTGGTAAACTTACTGAACTTAGGGGACGGGGAAGTACATGTTCATAGAAGGGTTTAGGAGAAAGTATGCCTTCTAAATCCACACCCACGGTTTACTAAGCAGAGCCAGGCTGGAGTCTCGGCTCACTGCTCTTATTAACCTGAATGATATTTTTCTGTGCATTCTTTTGAGGAAGGGGAGGTGAAAAGAAGAATTCAGCCTAAGCTAAATATAGAATAAGCTTTCTAAATTAAAATGGTTTTATAAAAGGAGCTTGTTAGTGGGGTCATTTTTGTACTGTGAGCTTTATGTGTAAATGTCTACACACCCACTTAACGTGTTGATTTCACTTTAGACTATGAGGAAACCACAGGGGAGTTTCAGGCCAGTCAGCTTTTCATCTTCAACTTTATAACTTTCACCTGAGGATATGAGGAACCCACAGGGGAGTTTCAAAAATGGTATCATTTTGTATCAGACTTGTTTTTTAAACACTTGGTTTCTCACAGAGATAGGTGGTTTCTCCTTAAAATCGAACATTTATATGGTGTATTTTACTGTAGTTGCTATCAGAAAAGTTAGTTTTCCCAAATTTAAGTTCACTCTGGGGTACTATAGCATGAATGTAGTTCATTCTGTTGAGCTAGTTGTTCACGTTAGTGTAGTTCACATATTTATCTGGAACTCAAAAATGAGGGGTTGAGAGGGGAAGCTAAACTTCACATGTCCAAATATATAATTTTAATATTTACTTTATATTTAGAATAGAAAAGTAATTGATTCTAGAATTAGACCAATTGCTAGGATTGCTAGGATATATAAAATGAAGCTGAATGTTTTAACTCCGGAATTTTTCTGAATAGTCTAAGAAAGAAGGCTGAAATGTACCACTTGCCTTTTGACTTTTGCTTGTGTGTTTTAATTTTGTTCAGTGAGGCTTTCACTTAAAAAAAATGATAATATTATTACCTGGATAAAAAATACAGCTGAAAGTAGATCACTTTAGCCTTAAGCAGAAGGATGGAAATAGAAGACTTTAAGAATGTATTGGTTGAAAAAAATCTATATTATTTGATTTTATTTCTCTTCTTGTGGGAGTAAAATAATTTCCAACCAAATCAGTCCACCTAGATTATACACTGTTCAGTTTGCTTTCTGCCCTGCAGCACAAGCAATAACCAGCAGAGACCGGAACCACAGCTGAGGCTCTGTAAATGAGTTGACTGCTAAGGACTTCATGGGAATATTAACCTGGGGCATTAAGAGAATCAACATGCTAAAGTACTTGGAGACAGCTCTGTAATGTTTTATGAGATTTTGTTTAGTTGAGTTTTGTTTTGTTTTTTGAGAGAGTCTTGCACTGTCGCCCAGGCTGGAGTGCAGTGGTGCCATCTTGGCTCACTGCAAGCTCTGCCCCCCGGGTTCACGCCATTTTCCTGCCTCATCCTCCCCAGTAGCTGGGACTGCAGGCGCCCGCCACCACGCCCGGCTAATTTTTTGTATTGTTAGTATAGACAGGTTTCACCGTGTTAGCCAGGATGGTCTCGTTCTCCTGACCTTGTGATGCGCCTGCTGTGGCCTCCCAAGGTGCTGGGGTTACAGGCGTGAGCCACCACGCCTGGCCCTTATGAGCTTTTAAAAAGGAATACAGCCTCACAAAACCTTTACAGTCAGAAAAGTCAAATGAAAAAATATCCACAACCTCAAACCTTCTTTTGGGTCCTTTTCGCTGCATACTTAGTGCACAGTTGAGATTAAATTTTATACTCTGCCTCTCCATTTAATTATAAAAGTCTCTTTTTATTTTTGAAACGGAGTTTCATTCTTGTTGCCCAGGCTGGAATGCAATGGCACTGTCTCGGCTCACCGCAACCTCCGCCTCCCAGGTTCAAGCGATTCTCCTGCCTCAGCCTCCCCAGTAGCTGGGATTACAGGCATGCGCCACCACGCCCAACTAATTTTGTATTTTTAGTACAGACAGTGTTTCTCTATGTTGGTCAGGCTGGTCTCGAAGTCCTGACCTCAAGTGATCCACCCGCCTCGGCCTCCCAAAGTGCTGGAATTACCGGCATGAGCCACCGTGCCTGGCCAAAAGTCTCCATATTATTAAACAATCTTCAGAAGCACAGTGCTGAATGACTACACTAATAATATTCTGCCATGGATATATCATAATTTTCTTAACAATTCTTGTTTTATTGGGCATTTTTGATGGAGAATGATAACATTTTCGTATTTAATCAATATTTTAAATTGATGTATTGAAAGTTGAGAACATGAAGGTTTCTTTCGTTTAGCTTTGTTTGTTGGGTATGTATTACACTGTCCTGACTTGAGCTTTATTCACATTTGCTCTCTAGGTTATTCAAGGACACGGAAAAGCCAACACCATGGTAGCATTAATGAAAGTTTACCAAGAGGAAGATGAAGCCTACCAGGAATTAGTTACCGTGGCAACCACGTTCTTCCAGTACTTATTGCGGCCATTTAGGGCTATGCGAGAAGTTGCAACTTTATGTAAGCTTGATATTTTGGTTTTTTTTTTAATTTTTATTTTATCACATTTACTATTTGTCATATATTATTTCTTTATTTACACTTAATCTTCAATCTCTGTACTTTGTTTGGGTTTGTTTGGGTTTACTCTTATGTTTATTTACTTATTTATTGATAGAGATGAGGTTTTGCCATGTTGCTCAAGCTCGTTTCTAACTCCTGAGCTCAAGCAGTCTGCCCACCTCGGCCTCCCAAAGCGTAGCATTACAGGCATAAGCCACTATGCCTAGTTCACCCTCGTGTTTAAATATTGAATTTATATTTAAAATTGATAGAAAATGAAGACATTTACGTTGGTCATCTTAATAGCTTAAGATTCCTACAAATTTTAAAGAGTTAAATGTTTTTTCTGGCGATGAATTTTTTTTTTTGTTTTTTGAGATAGGGTCTCTCTTTGTCAGCTAGGCTAGAGTGCAGTGGCACAATCTTGGCTCACTGCAACCTCCTCCAGGTTCAAGTGACTCTTCTGCCTCAGCCTCCTGAGTAGCTGGGATTACAGGTGTGCACTACCATGCCCAGCTAACTTTCTTTGTATTTTTAGTAGAGACGGGGTTTCACCATGTTGGCCAGACTGGTTCGAACTCCTGGCCTCAAGTGAGCCACCCGTCTCAGCCTCCCAAAGTGCTGGGATTACAAGCGTGAGCCACTGCGCCCAGCCTGATGAATTGTTTTTGATGTGATGTTTATTTGCTTCAGTTGTTTTCCTCTAAGGACTCATGCAGATTTCTTAAAATAGGATGAAAATTTAAATAGCAGGACCCTAGATTGTAATTCAGTAACTTAAATTTTAGTAAATACAGTTATCGCTCTTGCTTCATTGAGCCATCAAACATCCTTGTGACACCATTCAGGAAAGGCATTCTTATTCCAGTGTTACAAATGAATCTAGAGTCCGGAGTTGTTAAATAGCTTGCCTTGGGTCTCAACAACGGGAATCAGAAGACACCTAAGAGATCTCTTGATTTCTGCCCCCTGCACTGGGCCATCTTTCCACATATAATCTCATGCCCCTGCCAGATGATTGTACTATAAAAATAGTATCACATTTAGATGAAACTCATGCCACCCTAACCTGTGGATAAAGTTGTTCTGTTCATTATTTTGAAAGTCTATTATTTGGAGAGTCTACGTCTCGCATATATTTTGCTTTCTTCTTCTTTTTTTTTTTTTTTTGAGATGGAGTTTCGCTCTTGTTGCCCAGGCTGGAGTGCAATGGCGTGATCTCGGCTCACGGCAACCTCCACCTCCTGGATTCAAGCGATTCTTCTGCCTCAGCCTCCCGAGTAGCTGGGATTACAGGCATGTGCCACCTTGTCCAGCCCGGCTAATTTTGTATTTTTTTAGTAGAGACGGGGTTTCTTCATGTTGGTCAGGCTGGTCTCGAACTCCTGACCTCAGGTGATCTGCCTGCCTCAGGCTCCCATTGTGCTGGGATTACAGGCATGAGCCACCGCACCCAGTCTATAATTTTCCTTTCTTTAAGTAACAGCTGTTTTAAAATACCATTCACAGACCATATATATATATATATATATATATATGTAAAATCTGTATATATATGTATACATATATGTATGTATATATGCATGTATATGTACATACATATATGTATATATGCATGTATATGTACATACATATATGTATATATGCATGTATACGTACATACATATATGTATATATGTATGTGTATATATGTATACATATATATAATCTGTATATGTATGTATGTATATGTGTATATATGTATATATACGTATATATGTATATGTATATATGTATGTGTATATGTATATATACATATATACGTATATATGTATGTATACGTATATACGTATATATGTATATATATGCATATATATATAAAATATATCTACATATATAAAAAGATGTACAATTCAGTGATTTTTAGTATATTGAAAGTTGCACAATGATCATTACTATGTAATTTCAGGACATTTTCACCCCCAAAAGAAACCCTGTACCCATTAGTCACTGCCAGCCCTGGGCAACCACCAATCTACTTTCTGTCTCTGTGGATTTCCCTACTCTGGACATAGCAACAGCATTATTGAATATGTGGTCCTTTCACTCAGCACAATGTTTGCAAGGCTAATCCATGTTGTAGCAAATACCAGGATTTCATTTCTTTTTATTGCTCAGTGATATTCATTGTATGGATATATTGCATTTTATTCATCAGTTGATGGACATTTGGGTTGTTTCCACTTTTTGGCTATCATGAATAATTCTGCTATGAATGCTTGTGTGTGAGTTTTTGTGTAGACATATCTTTTCATTGCTCTTGTGTACGTACTGAGGAGTAGGATTGCTGGGTCCTGTGATTACTCAGTGTTTAACCTTTTGAAAGACGCCAGATGGTTTTCCAAAGTGGGTGCATCATTTATATTCCCAGAAGCAGTAAATGAGGGTTCCAATTTGTCCACATTATCACCAACACTTGTAATTGTGTGTCTCTTTGGTTACAGCCATCCTAGTGGGTGTGAAGTGGTATCTCGTTTTGATTTGTAATTCCTTGTCGGCTAACTTGTACATATTTCTTATGCTTTGTAGAAGAAAAATTGCATATTGGATGACATAGCTGTACATGTCTTAGTTCAGGCTGTTGTAACAAAGTACTGTAGATTAGTGGCTTATAAACAACAAAACTTTTTTCTCACAGTTCTGGAGGCTGGGTAGTCTAAGATCAAGGTGCTGGCAGATCCAGTGTCTTGTGAGGGCCAGTTTCTTAATTTGTAGATGACTGTCTTGCTGTGTCTTCACATGGTGAAGAGCAGAGAGAGAGATCCTGTGTCTCCTCTTCTTTTTATAAGGGCATTAATCCCAATTTTCTTGAGGTCTCCACCCTCATGACCTAATTACCTCCCAAAGGCCCCATCTTCAAATCCCATCACACTGGGGATTTAGGCTTCAACATATGCATTTTGGGGGGACCCAAACATTCAGTCCAATACCAGTACATGTTATAAGCATGAATATACAGATACTGTCTTTTAGGTGATAATATTACATATCCCTAAAAGAAATGATAACAACAGCTAACACTTAAGTGCTGTTTTCCAGGCCCTGTGCTGAGTGCTTGACAACACAGATCACTCATTTAAACAATTGTGTATTATTATTAATAGAGAGAAGCATAAGTTGACAACATTCCTCTCTAGAAAAAGTTATTCTAGGCATGTGAAGTGAAAGTAGTTTTTTTTCCCCCCCACTTTATGCCCCAGAGGGTCCTTTTGTCTTCCAGGTGGTGCTCAGCTTAGAGCCTTATTCATATGCAGTAAGGGACTGCTGAATGAATGAAAATTTAACTGACTGAGTAGTAGTGTAGTTAAATTAATCCATGTGACCAATTTCCTTTCAATTTCCTAATGGTTCTACATAACTATTAGCTCTTACTAAGATAATTTTCCCTTCTGTCTGTAGAAGTCCTTGGATGAGGATGACCTAGGTCCTAGAAGGGTAGTTGCCCTGGAGAAAGAAGCTGAAGAATGGACCAGACGGGCTGGAGAAGCTGTCGTCTCTATTCAAGATATCACAGTGAATTATTTTAAGGAGACAGTAAAAGCATTAGCAGGTGATAATCTAAAAAAATGCTATACGCAGATACGTGTAATTGATTGTCATTTTATTCAAATACCATTTGAGTCCCTCTTACGCACTAGGCACTGTGTTTTCTAGGTGGCGAGAATTCAGTGTCAAGCATTAAGAGACATTGTACAGTCTGGTGAAGGGAGAGAAATCTTAATTATCTATTCACTGAAGCACACAGAAAATGGCAGTGACAATAAATGGCACAAAGAAGAGAGACATGGGGCTCTGAGGGTCTGTGAGAGAGAAATTGGGCTTGATCAGCGTGGTCACTGAAGGCCTCTGAGAAGTGGCGCTTGCCCCAATATCTGAAGGGTAAATGGAAATTGAGAGAATAGAAAAAGTGAGGAGTGTTCCGGGCAGAAGGAATAGCACTGGCGAAGGTCCCCTGGCTTGAGGGAAGTTGGCAAATAGGAGCTTACAGAAAACCTGCGGGGCTGGATCGCAGAGAGTGCAGGACAATGTGGTATGAGGGAGAATGCTGGCAAGACAGGCAGGGATCAGACCGTGCAGGGGCTTGTGGGCTGGGTGAAGGACTTTTTTTCAGTCTTAAATAATTGTTGATAAAAACACCAAATAGGAAACAACTTAATGTCTGTCAGTTTAAGTTATGGTACATTCATAAAAGAGAAAACTACATAGCTATTAAGCATGATTCTTGATTTTTTTTTTATAAATGGCAGGAGTTTCTGATATATTGCACAGAATCAACAAGATATAAAGCAGAATGATGATCCTGGTTTTTTGGTCAAACTATCCATATGAGCCTGTCTGTCTAGCTAGTCATAGAAACAATATGGAAGCAAGTGTGCCAAAATATAAGAAGCAGTTGCCTCAACTAGGTGAGATCATGACTTATTATTGTCCTTTTAAAAATTGAATACCTAAAATTGTATATTAATGACCATGTATTATTTTTATAATAATAAAAAGTTAATAAAACAAAATTTCTTTTAAAAAAGATGTTCTGCAGGTAGTATGGAGGCAATAAAAAAAGAATTAGCTCATGATCAATGTTTCCCTTTTTAATGAGGTGTAATTATATTTTATTTTTATAATCCAACAGGAATGCAAAAAGAAATGGAACAGGATGTGAAGAGACTTGGCCAGGCTGCCTGGGCCACAGCAATTCCCAGGTTGGAAAAACTTAAGCTAATGCTAGCTCAAGAGACTCTGCAACTCATGAGAGCGAAAGAATTGTATTTAAATTGCAAAAGAGCTGAAATTCAGGGAAAGGTAAGACAAAGATAAACGTAACTTTGTTTTAAAAATACACTTTTATTTATTTTTTATTTTTATTTTTTTTTTTGAGACGGAGTCTCGCTCTTTTGCCTAGGCCGGACTGCAGTGGCACGATCTCGGCTCACAGCAAGCTCCGCCTCCCGGGTTCATGCCATTCTCCTGCCTCAGCCTCCTGAGTAGCTGGGGCTACAGGCGCCCGCCACCGCGCCCAGCTAATTTTTTGTATTTTTAGTAGAGACGGGGTTTCACCGTGTTAGCCAGGATGGTCTCGATCTCCTGACCTCGTGATCCGCCCACCTTGGCCTCCGAAAGTGCTGGGATTACAGGTGTGAGCCACCGTGCCCCGCCCCACTTTTATTTTTTAAAAATTTTGTATAAATAAAGGATACAAGTGCAGTTTTGTTCCATGGATATATTGTGTAGTGGTGAAGTTTGGGCTTTTAGCGTAATCATCACCTACATAATGTAATTGTACCCATTAAATATTTCTCATCCCCCCTCCCACCCTCTTACTCTTCTGAGTCTCCAGTGTCTGTTATTCCACACTGTCTGTGTATACACTACTTAGCTCCCACTTATAAGTGAGACCATGTGGTAAAGCACACTTGTATTTTTAGATAGCACTTTTCTTTCCAGGCATTGTTAAAGAGCTGCTTTTCTTCACTTATTCCAACACCATCTCCTATGGAAGGTTAGACATAAAGTTTTCCTTTGGTTAAGATGTTTCAAAATACCACACTGTAGGATTCACTTTATAGTAACACCAAGCCCAGTATTGAAGTGGGTACTGTACTTGAAAATCAATCCAGCAATGTTTTCAGTACAGCTCTAAAATAATCAAAGAGATACTTCCCTGAAGGATCTTAGACACTTAAGTTTTTTCCTATAATCTTATGACTTTAAAGCAGAAAACACTGTAAACACCTGTCTTAGTTGGCTAAGGCTGCTATAACAATATTAAATATCACAGATTGGGTGGCTTCAACAACGGACATGTATTTCTCACAGTTCTGGAGGCTGGGAAGTCCAAGATCAAGGTGCCTGCAGATTCACTGTCTGGTGCGGATCCTCTTCCTGTCTAGTAGACAGCTGCCTTCTTAACTGAGTGCTCATATAGCCTTTCTTCTGTGTGTATGTTTGGAGAGAAAGAAAGTGATCCCTGTCTTTCTCTTCTAATAAGGGCACTAATCCCATGATGGGGGTGCTATCCTTTTGACATAATCTGAACCTAATTACTTCCAAAGGACCCACCTCCAAATAACATCACATTGGGAGTTACAGTGTCAACATATGAATTTTGGGGGGACACCGATATGCAATACATAATAATACCTCATTGCCATTTATGTTTCTCAAAACCTAAATGTTTTTCTCTGTTTCAAGGATGGGATAAAGTATTAGCATCACTAGATGAAATGAAAAAGTGTTTCTTTCCTATTTGCTCTTTTATATTTAGTACGGAACAAGGAATAGAAAATAGCTAGAATGCTTCTAAAGTTTGTTTTTAATATACTATTTGTTTTAACTTATTTTTCTTTTTTCTATGAAAATAAGATGGAAGATCTTCCAGAACAAGAAAAAAATATAAATGTTGTAGATGAATTAGAAATACAATTTTATGAAATTCAGTTAGAACTATATGAAGTTAAATTTGAGATATTAAAAAACAAAGAAATACTGCTTACTACACAGTTGGACTCTCTTGAAAGACTTATAAAAGGTAAAGTTTTTATTTAAGTATATAGATTACAATGTTTATAAATTTAAGGAAATACAGACCATATTATCAATTACTTTTTGTAAACTGTAACATCTGAAAATTTCCTAAAGTTTTCCTTCAGTGGTTTATTATTCAAATAATATATTCATTGTTAGCACATAGCAAAACAAAGAAAGAAAAATGATTATTACCCCAATCCCATCATCTAGAGATGCTCAATGGTTGGCTGGGCACAGTGGCTCAGGCCTATAATCCCAGCACTTTGGGAGGCTGAGGCGGGCAGATCACTTGAGGTCAGGAGTTCCAGACCAGTCTGACCAACATGGTGAAACCCCGTCTCTACTAAAAATACAAAAATACTAAACCCTGTTTCTACTAAAAATACAAAGTCCAATGTGGTGGCACGTGCCTGTAATCCCAGCTACTTGGGAGGCTGAGGCAGGAGAATGGCTTGAACCCGTGAGGTGGAAGTTTCAGTGAGCCAAGATCGTGCCACTGCACTCCAGCCTAGAAGACAGAGCAAGACTCCGTCTAAAAAAGAAAAAAAAAAAGACGGATACTTAGTGGTAACAATTTGCTGTATAACTTTGTAGATTTCAAAATATGCTGATATGTAAAAATATAAATTTTTAACCAAAACTACATAACCAGTTCAGTAACATCTTTTTTAAAATTTTTTAATGTTTAGGGGTGCATAGCAGATACATATATTTATGGGTTACATGAGATATTTTGACACAGGCATACAATGCATAATAGTCTCTTTTTCATTTAATACATAATAATTGTCTTTCTGTTTCAGAAATAATAAAAGTATCAAAATTTTAATGGCTGCATAGTATTCCATTATATGGATATACCGTGATTTCCAAATTTCCGCTGTTTTGAACAGTAGTGTAGTGAACTTTCCTTTACACATGTCTTTGAGTATAGGACAGATTATCTCCTTGGAATAAATATCTAAGGATGGAATTACTGGGTCAAGGGCAATGTATATTTTACATTTTGCTACGTAACAATACAGCAGTCATCTGAGATACATTTTTCCTCACCTCCGTATTATTTTCTGATTTCTAAATTTCATACTATGTAGTGGCCCTCTAGATAGGTCGTACATTTAAAATGACGCTCCCAGGCTGGGCGTGGTGGCTCACGCCTGTAATCTCAGCACTTTGGGAGGCTGAGAGGGGGCAGATCACTTGAGGTCAGGAGTTCAAGACCAGCTTGGCCAACGTGGTGAAACCCTGTCTCTACTAAAAATACAAAAATTAGCCGGGCGTGGTGGTGGGTGCCTGCAATCCCAGCTACCTGGGAGGCTGAGGCAGGAGAATCGCTTAAACCTGGGAGGTTGAGATTGCAGTGAGCTGAGATGGCACCACTGCACTCCAGCCTGGGCGACAGAGTAAGACTCTGTCTCAAAAAAAAAAAGAAAAGAAAAAAGACGCTCCCATCAGCAGAATATGAGTGTGTATGTTTCCCAGACTCATGCCATTCTTTTGCATTTTTGCTTACTTGACAGAGAAAATGGCAGTCTTCCAATTTTCATTTATTTAATTATGAGTGATTATTGAACAAAATTTTGTATGTTTACAAGCCATTTGTACTTATTTTATGAAATGCCTATTCATAGTCTTTGTCCATTTTTCTTTGGAATATTTCCTTTCAACATTAAGAATAATGTCCTCTATTGTCTGTCATATGTTGCAAATAATCTCTCCTTGTCATTTGCGTTTTCTTGCCTTTCAGAAATATTTAAGTTTTATGAAGTCGTGTTTATCGATTTTTTTCCCCTATGGCTTCTGCTTTTAGTATTATGTCTGGCAATAGTCTCCTATCCCAAAATTATGTCAATATATACTTATGTTTTCTTTCAGTATGTTTATGATGTTATTTTTTAAAACATTTAATTCTTTAGTCCAGGTGGAATTTATTTTGATTGTGGTAGGAATTGAACCTTTCCCTCAAATTGTTAAGCAGTCCCAATCACTGATTTTAAAAACATTTTCCCTAAATGTTTAACATTTCTCCAGTTAAACCTTAGATTGACTTGGGTCTGTTTCTGAGTTGTTCTCCTCCATTGGTTCGTGAGTGGCTTCTGCTGCTGGCTCCATACTGTTCCCACGACTGTCTTGGAGGCACATTTTAGGGTCTGGTAAGGCAAGTACCCCCCACATTACTTCACAAGTTTTCTGACTATTTTCACTCGTTTATTCTTCCAGATGAAATTTAGAATCAAGTTCAAAACAAAAAACTCTTTGGAATTTTGATTGTGATTTTGCTTAAAATTAGAGATTACTTTGGGGAGAATAGTGGTCTTTGCAATTTTGAATCTTCCTACCCAAGAACTTGGTATGTCTCTCTCCATTTATTTAAATCTTTTTTCCTAAAGTTCCTCCAAGTTTAATAAATTTCTTCACATAGATCCTGAACTTTTAGTTTAATCCTGAGTATTCAGAATTTTTTTCAGTAGTTTCAGGTTATAAGCATTTTACATATTTAGGAAAAAAATTACATTAAAAAACAAGTTAATCTGGAAGGATGCATGCCAAATTGTTCGTAATGTTTTTCCTCTGAGAATGACTCAGAAGGTTTGGGGAAGGAGCAATAGAATTTCACTGTTTATTTGATGTACTTCGGGTGGGTTTGAATTTGTTACAGTAAGCATGACTTTTAAAAAATCAATATGTAATCAAGATTAAATATCACTAAGGCATCTTAATAATATATTGCTGGTAGAATATAAGTTGCCTTTCTGGAGGGCAGTGTGGCAATGGGTATCAAGATCCTTAAACACTTATCTGCTAAGGAAGTGATAAAAAGCATACACAAAGATTTATACAGAGATGTTCATCACAGTGAAATGAATAATAATGGAACATTGGAACAGCCTAACAACATGGATTGCTTAAATTAGAGAATACTATGCTGCCATTAAAATTTATCTTTTTTAATTTTTTTTTGTTTTTGGAGATGGAGTCTTGCTCTGTTGCCCAGGCTGGAGTGCAGTGGCACGATCTCGGCTCACTGCAACTTCTGCCTCCCAGGTTCATGCTGTTCTCCTGCCTCAGCCTCCTGAGTAGCTGGGATTACAGGCACACGCCACTGTGCCCAACTAGTTTTGTATTTTTAGTAGAGATGGGGTTTTGCCATGTTGGCCAGGCTGGTCTTGAACTCCTGACCTCAGGTGTGCAGCCTGCCTTGGCCTCCCAAAGTGCTGGGATTACAGGCGTGAGCCACCGCACCTGGCCTAAAAATTTATTTCCATCCCATGGAAAGTGTTCTTTTAGAACTCCATTGATACGTGTAGCTATGTAAGTAGTATGTGTGTGTGTGTGCATGTGTATATATACGTATGTCTATACAGGTATATATACATGCATATACTACTTACATGTATATACACACATGCTACTTACATACATGTGTATAGTCATGTATATATACACATGTGTATATGTATATTACATTTATACACATAGATTTTTTATATGTTAATAGTGGTTCTCAGTGGTGGGATTACAAGTGATCTTTATTTTCCTTACATTTAAAAAAATTCAATGTATTTTTACAAATAATAAAATATGTTTTAAACAATCATTAATACCTTTTTAGAAAAACAGGATGAAGTTGTCTATTACGATCCATGTGAAAGTCCAGAGGAACTTAGTCATTGACTGTGGTGGGGCTGCAGGACGATAAGAATTCGGAAGTGAAAGAACTCAGAAGGCAGTGCCAGCAGCTGGAGTCTATTAAACGGGGCAGGATCTGTGTCAAAAGAGCTTCTCTCCAGAGTAGAAAGGTGGGTACGCTCAGAGCAGCTTTCTTTTCTTTTCTCTTCCAGAGATTTATTCTTGTATGAAGGATAAAGAGGTATTGAAATAAGGTTTTTACCAACACAGTGATTAATTTTTTGTGTGCTTATGAACTTATCCATGGCTATAGTTAAAATGATTTTTAATATTTTTCTTAAAAATATTATTTTTTTCTTTTGGGTTTTAAGCATTTAGCAAATCTCAAGGTTTTAATTTATTCATTCAACAACTATTTGTTGAATTCCCACTGCATACACAGGCACTTTATTTTTATTTTTTTTGAGACAGAGTCTTGCTCTGTCACCCAGGCTGGAGTGCGGAGGCATGATCTTGGCTCACTACAACTTCTGCCTCCTAGGTTCAAGCAATTCTCGTGCCTTAGCCTGCCAAGTAGCTGGGTTTACAGGCACGTGCCACCACGCCCAGCTAATTTTTGTATATTTTGTAGAGACGGGGTTTCGCCATGTTGGCTAGGCTCGTCTTGAACTCCTGACCTCAAGTGATCCGCCCACCTTGGCCTCCCAAAGTCCTGGGATTACAGGTGTGAGCCACCACCCCCGGACCACAGGTACTTTAAAAACCACAATAGGTAGAAACTCCATTTCTAATAACCAGCTATAATAATTCTAAATATATTTTAGTACACAAAACAATTACAGATAACAATATTCAGCTCACCTCAGACCTTGTATTTGGTGATTTTTTTTCTTAATTTTTAAAAATCCATGAATACATAAAAAGATAACACTAAGAAATTTAATTTTTTCTGACAGAAAAGGAAGCTTCTATATATCATTTTTATACAGACTTTTATTTGTATTTACTCATATTTACTATACTTTTCTCCCTTTTTTTTTTTTTGATGCGCAGTCTTGCTCTGTCTCCCAGGCTGGAGTGCAGTGGCGTGATCTCGGTTCACTGCAACCTCCACCTCCCAGGTTCAAGCGAATCTGCTGCCTCAGCCTCCTGCATAGCTGGGATTACAGGTGCCTGCCACCAAGCCTGGCTAATTTTTGTATTTTTAGTAGAGACGGGGTTTCACCATGTTGGTCAGACTAGCCTTGAATTCCTGACCTCGAGCAATCCACCTGCCTCAGCCTCCCAAAGTGCTGGGATTACAGGCGTGAGCCACTGTGCCGAGCCTACTATACTTTTCTTGTTAGAATTAAGAAAACATGAAAATTGTGACTTTTGTAGCTTACAAAAATGTTAATTACTCTTCCATGTAAATACAAATACTTAAAAAAAACTTGGCTAGGTGCTGTGGCTTATGGCTGTAATCCCAGCACTTTGGGAGGTTGAGGTGGGAGAATCACTTAAGGCCAGAAGTTCGAGACCAGGGACAACACAGGGAGACCTCATCTCTGTGGTGCGCACGTATAGTCCCAGCTACTCAAGAGGCTGAGGCAGGAGGATTGCTTGAGGCCAGGAGGTTGAGGCCTCAGTGAGCTGTGATTGTACCACTGCACTCCAGCTAGGGTGATAGAACAAAACCCTGTCTCTAATAAAAATTAAAAATAAAAAAATTTGTTAGAAGAGTATATTCTTTGCATGTTCGTGTTTAAGAATTGTACTTCTGGATTTAGGAACTGTTATTCAGAGGATTTGAAGATCTACAGGCATTTGCCCTTTGCTCCACATTTCAGAAAACCCATGAGCCCCAAGAGGAGTCTCCTTTGGCACTCCCATGGTGCTGTGGATGAACAGATGCCTCCACCTCCTTGGCAGTGTTATATGTATATGTATATAAAATGCTCCTGTGCCTTCTCTTATCCAGACTTGGAGCATTAACCTTCACTCTCAAGATATAATCACTCCCCCTACCCCATTTAGAGGAGCTCTTTCCACTGATTCTGGAAATGTTGGAATTTGGAAGGCACTCGGTTAATAGAATGGTAGTTGAGGTGAGCTCTCAACTTGGGTTCAGATCGCAGTCTGGCCACTTAGGTAGTAGTCATGTGACATTAGGCAAATTACTTAAATCTCTTTTGGGCTCACAGTTTTCTCCTCTGTTAAAAGAGGATGATAGATCAGGCACGGCACCCGTAATCCCAGCTACTTGGGAGGCTGAGGCAGGAGAATCGCTTGAACCCAGGAGGCGGAAGTTGCAGTGAGCCGAGATCATGCCATTGCACTCCTCCAGCCTGGGCAACAAGAGCAAAACTCAGTCTCAAAAAAAAAAGATAGTGGTAATAATACAAATTTCATGTGACGATAGAGTAGCATAAGGCATGAAAAGTATTTATCACTGAAGCTAAAACCTACTCAATAAATGTTAGTATTATCTGTGAGTATTACTGTATTATTTTTTACATAGATTAAGGATTTTATGTATGTATAGCATATTATATATTGGTATAGTGAGTGGTTAAGCACAGGTGAAACACAGTTATAACAATTTTTCAGTTGCTCTGCGTTTGTAGGTATGCTTGGAAATGTAATTAGTATTTATAATGTTATGGGGAAATGTGTTTAAAACAATCACATTAAAACATTGTTGGGACACATCCCATTTAAGAATGGGGGCTGCCTGTGTGTCCTCTCATGGTTGGCGGATTGTTTTCACCTCTTAAAGCACTCTGCTGGGAACAAATTATTTCCATAAGCAGCCAGGCAACTCTCATCATAGACTGTGGAGGAGAGTACCATTGGGCCGCACCAGAACTAATATTAATGAATGCCTTACACTACGCCCAAATGCAGTGCTTTCTTCTTTTAACCTTTTATGCTATACCAGGGTAACACTAAAAACCATGTAGGTGATTTGTATTATTCCACCAGGATCAGTGCAAAGAAAATCATTGGCTCAGATTGCAACAGGCTGAAGAAAGCATAAGATATTCTCGTCAGCATCACAGTATTCAGATGGTGAGTGTCCTCCGAAGGAAAATGTTCTATGTTTGTGTAGCGTGACATGCAGGCCTAGACTTGTGGAAACTGGAGTTGCGCTGCCCTGGACCTGCAGCTGTCAGCCAATTCACCTCCAGGCCTGCAGTCTGGGCGCAGTCTTGGGGTGGTAATGTTGGGGTACAGCCTCTTTCTTTGTCAGGACATTTTTATTGTATGCCACACATTTTTGTAATGTTGAGCAATTTACAAATATACATCTGCTTAAATATAGAAAAGAGACAAGATAAAAAGGAGCAAAAGAAAAAAGAATGGGTCAACCAAGAACGTCAAACACTCCAACGATTGAGAGCATTTAAAGATGTAAGTTCTATAAACAATCACCTCATCTACACTTCTGGGGAAATAAATGAAGACCGCTCTAAAGAGGAAAGTATTAAGAACAGGTCATTCAGAACATGAAACATTTAAAAAATAACATTATTTCTGGTATATCAATAAAAAGCAACAACAAAAATAGAATATCAGTGATTCAAAACCCATGATATAAAATAACTGCTGTTTTTAACATCACAACACGCTTGGGTTCCTGCTCTGCACTCTTCACTGAGTAGTCCTTACTGGCACTGGTGGTTTAGATTGGCAGGGAAAACTGAAAACTGTTCAACTCCCTTGACTTTAGCTGGCATTTCCTCTCATTTGTAATAAACAATTCTTTAAAATGTTATCCAGGCAGCATTGTGATATAAGTGTAGTGAAAGTGCCCAGTTAAAAGTAAAATGTGTTGTTGTTTTTTTTTGATATCTACAACTTTCTTTTTTCTTTTTTTTTAAAGTATATACTTAAGAGGATGATGTTATTTTTTTATGCCCTCTGTTCCAGGCCTACATTTGTATTTCCTCCACAAAATGATCCTCAGTCTGTAATTTTTGTTCTATTTGACTTTATTATTAGAGATAAATTCCTTTAATTAAAAAAAAGCTACTATGAAGGTTGAAAAAATAATTTTTTGGTTTTATTTTTAATTGACACATAATTGTACATATTTATGAGGTATAGTGTGATATTTTGAGGTATATAATATGGAATGATCAAATCAGGGTAATTAGCGTATCTATCACCTCAAACATTTATCTACAGGTAAATAGGTTTTTTAAAATAAAGTAAATAGGGAGTCTGGCACAGTGGCTCATGCCTATAATCCCAGCACTTTGGGAGGCTGAGGCGGGCGGATTGCTTGAGACCATGAATTTGAGACCAGGCTGGGCAACATGGTGAAACCCCAGCTCTCCTAAAAATACAAAAATTAGCTGGACATGGTGGTGCATGCCTGTAGTCCCAGCTACTTGGGAGGAAAAATACCAATTGTGCACATATTTTTGTAAAATTATACATAAACACTTTATTTTTTATGTCATTCTAAATAATTTTTTGTATGTTTCTATTTCCAAACGTTGTTTGGTAATATATAGAAATATGATTGATTTTGTTTATTGAGTTTGCATATAACCACATTACTAAACTCGCATATTGAGCATTTTAATAGGTTATTTTGAATACTTTTACATAGACTGTTGTCTGAAAATAGAAACAGGTTTATTTCTTCCTTTCTGATGTGGATGTCACTGATTTTTTTCCCTACATTACTGATCTGGCTAGGACTATCAGTATAAAGTTGAATATAAGTGGTAAAAGATCTGACTTCTTGCCTTGGACCCAGTTTTTAAATCAGTTGGAGAGTCACCATTAAGTGTAATTTAGTGGTAGTTTTGTTTGTTTTTTTTTTGTTTGTTTTGTAGATGCCCTCTATCAGGATAAGTTCCCTTTTCTCATTTTGCTGAGAGTTTTTATAAAGAATAGCTATTGAATTTTGTCAAATGCTTTTGCTGCATCTGCTGAAATGACACGTTTATTCTTCATCTACCTAATAATGTTGCAATTTATATCTGTTGAGCTTTGAATGTTGAACCAGCCTTGCATTCATGGTATAAATCACTTGTTTGTAAAGTATTGTTTTTAAATATTGCTAGATTTGATATCTTAGTATTGTATTTTTATATTTGTCTTCATGTGTTTTTGTTTTCTCATAAGTGTCTGTACCCCCCTTTTTTTTTCTTTAAAGAGAAATAATGAGAGAGATTGTCTCTCTTGAAGTTCTCAGTGCCTGTGCATTGCTGCCACTACACAGCTAGTATCATGACAGCAGCTTCAGAACCAGAGCTGGCTTCCAGGCAAGGCTGGGTGGGGAAGAAAGAGAAAAACAAAAGAATTATTTCTCTATGCCGAGACCAGCTCGGTCAGGGAGACCCTAACCTAGCGGTGCTAGAGGAATTAAAGACATAGACACAGAAATATAGAGGTGTGAAGTGGGAAATCAGGGGTCTCACAGCCTTCAGAGCTCAGCCACAAACAGAGATTTACCCACGTATTTATTAACAGCAAGCCAGTCATTAGCATTGTTTCTATAGATATTAAATTAACTAAAAGTATCCCTTATGGGAAACGAAGGGATGGGCCGAATTAAAGGAATAGGTTGGGCTAGTTAACTGCAGCAGGAGCATGTCCTTAAGGCACAGATCACTCATGCTATTGTTTGTGGTTTAAGAATGCCTTTAAGCGGTTTTCCACCCCGGGCAGGCCAGGTGTTCTTTGCCCTCATTCCAGTAAACCCACAACCTTCCAGTATGGGTGTTAGGGCCATTATGAACATGTTACAGTGCTGCAGAGATTTTATTTATGGCCAGTTTATGGCCAGATTTTGGGGGGCCTGCTCCCAACACTCTACATATGCTCCATCTTGCAGAGGCTTCATTCTTGGTTCTCTAGCTAAAAACAGTAGAAATTTTGCACACCTGGGTTAGAAAAAAAAAAAATAGCCATTAAACCCACCCCTGTTACAGGTCACTATTGGTATTTTGATTTTGCCTTCAATCCATCTGTTATTGTTTACTTTTAAGAGTCCTTGATAGTTGCTTTTTATGTCCAGAGTTTTAATTTCAGTCAGAAAGAGAAATAGGCCTTGGTGAGCATGCTTTGTCTTGGCTGGTGCCAGAAGTCTGTACTCAAATATTTTTAAAATAATTTTTAGTTGAATAACAAGTTAGACCTGTGTTTAGCTTTCTCATTGTTTTCCTAAAAATAGAAGAAAAGGTTTTAAATACTTTAACCACGAAATAATTTAAAGCAGGTTTAAAATAAACTCCTTCATTTTGCCTGTTCTATTACTCTGTTCTCACACTGCTAATAAAGACATACCCAAGACTGGTAATTTATAAAGTAAAGAGGTTTAATTGACTCACAGTTCCACATGGCTGGGGAGGCCTCCCAATCATGGCAGAAGGTGAATGAGGAGCAAAGTCACATCTTACATGGTGGCAGGCAAGAGAGAGAGCATGTGTGCAGGGGAATTCCCCTTTATAAAACCATCCAATCTCATGAGACTTATGCAGTCTCATGGGAGCAGCATGAGAAAGACTCACCTCCGTGATTCAGTTACCTCCCACTGTGTCCCTGCCACAACATGTGGGAATTGTGGGAACTAAAAATCAAGATGAGATTTGGGTAGGAACACAGTCAAACCATATCTCCTATATACATTCACACTAGCATTTTAGTTTTAGAACTAGTTCTATGTTACTATCTGAATTAATTTTTCCACAATTTTGTAAGGAAAAATAATGCGTTCTTTGAATTTCATGTGTAAATGATATTTTTAGTTTTGTGTCATTTTGTCAAATAAATTCTGAAAATCTTTGTATTGACAGTGTGTTATCTCTGCATAACCATATATGTATAAGAGTGCTCAATAAAAAGAATAAAGAGGAAACAGCACTGGATCTATACCTATACAAAACAAGCTACCAGCAGAGCCCACTGGGAGTGGTCATGATATAATCAGGAATGTTATATTCACACGTTGTAGATCTGCATATGAGAGGAGGGTTTGCAGATAGCAGATTCTAGAAAAGTTGTCTAATCAGACAGTAAATGAAGGTGTTGAAGCACTGAACAAAAATAAGCTGCTTTAATTACTCATAAGAGGGAAGTACAAGTCATTATTCCATCTGCCAATTTACAGACTGTAAGATACCCTTTAAAAGTAGCAGTAAGTAAACTCTTCATAAAAGTTAGACTGTATGACAAATCCACTGCCTTTCTTCTTTTGCAGCAGGGCCTTTCTTTTTAATGACTATTTTTTGTTTTTGGAGATGAAGTCTGTCACCCAGGCTGGAGTTCAGTGGCCTGATTGATCACTGCAGCCTCGACCTCCAGCTCACATAATCCTCCTGCTTCAGCCTCCTGAGTAGCTGGGACTACGGGTGTGTGCCACCATGCCTGGCTTTTTAAAAAAAAAAATTTTGTGGAGTTGGTGTCTCGCTATGTTGCCCAAGCTGATGTCAAACTTCTGGATTCAAGCACTTCTGCCCAAAGTGCTAGGATTATAGGTGTGAGCCACTGTGCCCAAGCTAGTGACTATTTTTGAAAAAAGAAGCACATTACCCTCCCTTGTTAATCACTTATGTACAAAAATGCATGTTTTGCTGTTGATCTGTTTTAACTCTTTCTACATAAATAACACATTTGTACATGTATATGTGCAGATATATTTATAATGTTAAAATTGTGTTTAAGTGATGTTTACTAAACAGGATAAAATTTTGTTTGGAAAATTGCGATGTGAAATTTTATCTAGTTAATCTATAGTCCTTTCCCTTATGGTGTCCAGCTCTATGCAGGCTCTGCCTCACTCCAGATTATGTAAATATCAATTCATATTCAAATGAATTTGAAATTTAGCTTTCAACATTTGCCTTTTTAATTCATCTTGAAATCATTGTGGTAATATTATTTCCTGTCCACTAGCATACTTTTTAATCCCAACAGTAAAGTTTCTGAAAAGACCACTAGTTCTTCTTTTGAGCAGTTACTGATACCTTGCCATTGAAGGGGAGGATAGATGCCCACAGCCCCTCTCCTTCAACCACATATGTCCAAGTAAAACTAGTATTTCTTCTTTTTAAAAAGATAGACATAATTATTTTCCGTATTATTGAATACATTTCTGTTGTAACCTCAGTTCTACTCTTCAGAATCCTTTGTTCGATTTTCTTGTAGTTGATTTGATGATCCCACTCACACTTTCCTACCAGTTGTTCCAGAGACGATGGGCTTAGTCACACAGTGGGGAGACACGTTTGTGGGGGTTGGGTGGAAGTTCTGGTTCAGGTCTGCATCTGTTCACCATCATTTATGATGATGCTGTAACTCACATCTGCTCTTTGATGAGAAGTCACACAAGTAATTGCTAAATTAACCCGTCAAATCTAACTATCATTCAGCTATGTCTCACTGAGCCTTTTCTGGACAAATCGTGTTGTTCTCAAGAATATTTATGTGACTTTATCCTTTGTGCAAAGGCTATAGGCAACGGAAGCGATAGGGGAAGTATGTGGAAGGTTGACCCACATAGCTGTTGCCATATGCAACTTTTCAATCTTCTTGATTTCTGCTTCTCTTCCCAGTTCTTATCATCCATAGTGATTTTTGGAAAAACTGCCACTACATTGGCATTGTGAGTACTCAGAGTGGTGTGTCTCTTCTCCTTAGCTAGACTGTCAGGACAATTCTATTCGCTTTCAGACTTCCAAATGTCATCACATCTTATTCGTGCCTGACCTCCTTTTCTCTCATTCGCAAGATATTCATGGCTCCTTTTAAATAGGATAATGGCCAAATGAAAAGTGTGTTATTTTCTGAAAAAATTGCTGAAAGGTGAGGAAAGTGGCAAATGTATTTGCCTATAAAATTTTTAAGGAAAAAATTAAGGTTGAAATGAAAGTAAGGATATTTTCATCCAATTACCTCATTCAATTATCATAATCAAGGTCAGAAAAGAAAGAAACTTCAGTTCAGCCTTTGCTAGAAGTAACTTGCAACAAATCACACATCTACTGACTCTGACATTCGCCCAGTGATAGCAGCAATGCTCCACATATCACATGCTATACTGAAATATAGCAATTAAAATAGTTTTCGATGCAGATCAAGCAGTAATTACTTTTGCCCAGAAATCTTAAAAAATAAATTGTATGTGGAGAACAGGAAGCTTAGGAAATGAGGGTGCCTTTTATCTTTGCAGTGACAATTTACCTTGCGCTCGCAGTGACATTTTCTAGATTTTAAAAATCAACGTTTTTTATTTTTATTTATTTATTTATTTTTTTAAATCTGCTGGCCCTTTTGCTTTTAGCAGCCACAGACTTCTTGGCCTCTCAAATGCCCGGATGCCTGAAACTTCTGAAGAGATACTGCCTTCAGCTTCTTCTCAGTCCCAGCACGGTGTGAACACGTAGCTCCGATGACGCCTCTGCTTGCTTCAGCCTGCTGGTGCTTAATTAGGTGCTTATCCTAATACCTTAGAACATACTTTCTGTAGATGGTTTAATTCCAACCATCATATATGCTTTTTCTCAGATTTTCTCCAGCTTCTCAAAACTTCCCTGTAAATGAGGCCTTGTAGGCAGCTTTCTTGCTATGACCTCACCTTCCATTCAGCACAGAAACAGCATCCATTGCTGTTATGCAATGGATAAAATTGTATAACAAAGGTTATGGTTTCATATCTTTAATGTTACTGGCAGACTTTACTCCTGGCCTTCTCCTAATCAATAGGCCAGTCTTCCCCTCCCCAATCCCCCATTTTTAGCCATCTAATTTTATTCCTTACATTCGTTCTTATAAAGGCAAAAACCTGGCCGGGCACGGTGGCTAATTCCTGTAAGCCCAGCGCTTTGGGAGGCCAAGGAGGGTGGATCACGAGGTCAGGAGATCGAGACCATCCTGGCTAACACAGTGAAACCCCGCCTCTACTAAAAATACAAAAAAATTAGCGTGGCAGCGGGCACCTGTAGTCCCGGCTACTCGGGAGGCTGAGGCAGGAGAATGGCGTGAACCCGGGAGGCAGAGCTTGCAGTGATCCGAGATCGCGCCACTGCACTCCAGCCTGGGTGACAGAGCAAGACTCCATCTCAAAAAAAAAGACGCAAAAATCTTTTTTAGCCTTCTCTTCAGAATGGTTAAAATATATTGGCAACAAAAACAATTTTTACAAATGATTTAAAACACAAATTATTTGCTTATTATTTTTCACACTAATAACAAAGAATATAGACACTATATATGTTCCAATCACATTGATCATGCAGAAAATAAATATTCTTTGGTACTGGTTTTCCTTTGATCACAAATAGATATGAGGGCAAAATGTCTTATCACTTATTTACAAATAACTGATGGCCAAAATGGATAATTGTCATGATAGAAGTTATTGACACTGGCTGGGTGGGGTGGCTCATGCTTGTAATCCTAGCACTTTGGGAGACCGAGAAAGGTGGGATCACCTGAGGTCAGGAGTTTGAGACCAGCCTGGCCAACATGTAGAAACCCTGTCTCTACATAAAAAAAAATAAAAAATAAATAAACACTCTTTGGTTTTGGTGGTGGGCACCTGTAATTCCAGTTACTTTGGGAGGCTGAGGCAGGAAAGAAGTTATTGATACAAATATTTGCAAAAATAAAAAGTTATTTGATACCCACAAATAATTCCAAAGTATGTCCATGTGCTAATTTGTAAATAGGAAGGAAGTTCTTATTTTGAAACTTGCAGCCTGGAAAATATTTATAAGGTTGTTATGACATTGATAACTGGAGTACTTCCTATATCAACTTACTAGAATTTTGGAGACTGACTTTAAAATATAATAAAAAGGGAAAGACAGGGAATTGAACTTCCTTCTCATGTTTTTTACAAATTTTACAGGGAGCCAGTCTCATTTATGTAATCACAGATTTATTTTACAAGTTTGGACTTGCAAAAATATGCCAAAATTTGAATGCCTTACCCATTTTTTTGGGAAGCAGCTAAAATATGTAATGCACTGACCTTTTAATGTTCACTTTGATTGGTTAATGGTTACACCTTTACAGCTCAGTCAGATTGTAAACAAGGGGACAAAACTGAATATATAAGGTCAGAGAAGTATAGTGACAAAATTTATGAACCCCTATACATTTCCTATGAATAAAAAATGATTAAAATTCATACGTTTGCTTTTTAAATATATACATAAGAAACATCAAAAATTAATTCAAAGCATATATTAGCAAATATATTCTTAATTTTGTCTTGAATAACCTTCTTTAGGTGTGCCTTTTTCTACAAAGTTATGTCTTCATTAAACATTTTTCAAATTATTAGTATTATTATTTTTAACTGATGCTTCATATTTTATTTCCCCTCTGCTCTCCCATCCCACCTTTGGTGATGGTTGTGCCCATCTGAGCATTTCGGGGCACATGACCGTAAGTAAATCTTGAGAGAGGAGTGGAATTATTGTCTAAACACTAACAGAAGGGGATTACCTGTAAGGATAGCATAACTGTTGTGCAGGAACAGAAGCTGCCCAGATCTTCTTGGTGGAGAGTGCATAGAAAAAAGACTTAGAATTATGGAACATCTGTCCCCCCAACCACCCTTTCCCACCCATCCCCCAAACCCCCACTCCCACCCTATTCCCCGCCCAATTAATAGTGTTAACAAAAGGTTAATCTAACTTTTTTTTTTTTTTTTGACGGAGTCTTGCTCAGTCGCCCAGGCTGGAGTGCAGTGGCGCGATCTCAGCTCACTGCAAGCTCCACCTCCCGGGTTCACGCCATTCTCCTGCCTCAGCCTCCCAAGTAGCTGAGACTGCAGGCGCCCGCCACGACGCCCAACTAATTTTTTGTATTTTTTAGTACAGACGGGGTTTCACCGTGTTAGCCAGGATGGTCTCCATCTCCTGACCTTGTGATCCGCCCGCCTCGGCCTCCCAAAGTGCTGGGATTACAGGCGTGAGCCACCGCGCCCGGCTTCCAGAATATAAAAAATGAGTTCCATGACGACAGGGCCCTCACTGAGCTGGCAGGCCCCTCCATGGATCACCGGCACCAAGGCGCTGTCCAAATCATTCATGGACTGCGAGGGAAGGGGCTGGCCGCTGCTCCCTGCTTGATAGCCAGCCTGATCTGAGTCAAGTGTTACACGTAGTCCCAGTTTGGTCATTCCATCCTCCTTCAGAAGCTTCAGGAGCAAGGCAAAAAGCCTTGGCAACATGCTCAGTCAATCTACTGTGATCCGTAGGATCACTGAGGCAATTGTGCCGGTCATCGTTTCCTTGTAATCCCAGCACTAGGATTTCTAGGAAATCCTGGGAATCGTTTTCTAGAAAAAACACCTCTGTCCATATGATGACTTTTCCATTTGCTTTGTATTCTGATCCGTGGAATATCTTCACATTTGTTATAGTCTCCATGGACTTCCCATCTATAGGACTTAGACACCCTTGCTAACGTTCTTGTCATCATCCACCCACCGGATGTGCATGCGCTCCTGGGGATCCTCCGCGTCTGCCTTCCCACAGGTGATGCTGAAGTCCCTCGTCTCTAGCAGTGCCTGCCTCGAGGAATCCATGTTCTCTGCAGTGATCTGGACCATAACGCCATCTTCCACAATACTGGACTTGGCAAGGTATCCAGAAGAGGATTTCAGAGCGCCACCGAACACAAAAAAACTGCTTTGAGTTTGCATATAGTTACAGTAGTACTGAAAAATCCTCGCAATTTAGGTTTTTGTTTTCAGTTTTCTCTGTTTTCTAGTGCATAATGACTTAATAAATATTCATTTAACAAAAATTGAAATCTCAAAGGTACATATAAATAAACAATATAAATAACCATCCTTATTACAGTTAACTTTGTGCTTTAAAAAAAAAAGGCATCCAAAGAAAGACAGACGTATTCATGCAATAAAATCTTAGCAATCCCTGCAATAGTTTAACAGAATTATCAGCCCTCCCATCTTAGTCTGGACAGAATGAAAAAAAAATTAGTTCTCTCGTGTTATTCTTTGAGCTCCAACTAGGAAAAATTACTGAAAACAGCTGGACGTTACAACTGTTTTGGGCAGAGAAGTCACACTGTTCAGGAGGACCCCATGGTAGAAACTGTTTTAAAAAAGTTCTTTTTACTTGAAATTACACAAGAAAGCAGAAAATGACATTGCAAAAAGGAAAAAAGTATAGGCAGGAACATTGTTACAGAAGCCAGGTGACAATGAGAAGTAGAGAGTAGAAAGCAATCAACCCTTTTGACCACTGAGAATGAGGATAGTAGAAATTCAATGGCTCATGGATAGCAATAGTCACTCACATGTCAATAACAGGGATTCTGAAGAGTCAGACTTATGCATACACAGAGCATCTCTACCACATGCATGAATTATGTGTGAGTTTGGTGATAATGAAGAGAGACAAACTGCTGCATCAACTAATATACTCTGGGAGTGAAGAGCAGGATAAAAAAAAAACTGTAGAGACCACTACTCTAGGTCATTTAAGTATTTTAAGGAGAAAAAAATAACATAATAGAAGAAAGTGATAACTATCTGGAGTGGTGGGATGGGTGGCTTCTGACACAGCTCCCATGTTTCTGATTCCACCTCCCGATATCTTGTATTATCTCCCCTTCTTGAGTATGAGCTGGACCTGGTGCCTTGCTGGTAAGAGACAGAATTCAACAAAAGTAATGCGGTGTTACTTCCTTGGTTAGCTAACAAGGAACTATGTCTTGCCCCTTGCTAGCCACCCCCAACTCTTGCTGGCATTCCCTCTTGCCCTCTCGCTTGCTTGCTTTGATAAAGAGAGTTGCCATGTTGTGTGATGCTTTGTGGAGAGACCCACGTGACAAGGAACCAAGGGAGTTTACAGCACAACACCTGGCACAAAACTAAAGCCAACAACTATGTGAGTGAGTCTGCAAATAAATCATTCCCTGTCCAGCCTTAAGATGACTGCAGACTTTTAAAAGAGTGAGAGTCAGAGGCCACAGCTAATCCACATGTGGATTCCCACCAACAAAAATTGAAATAATGTGTGTTTTAAAATGCTAAGTTTGGGGGTGATATGTTACATATAAATAGATAAATAATAAAGATGGTTTGGCATGGAGATAATGACAGAAAGGAATTCGACTATTTTAATAGTCCAATGAAGAGGTATGAAAGATCTGAATTTGGATGGTAGCAGTGTGAATGATGTAAAAGATAAATGTGAGATTCTATAAGGTAAGATTTTATAGGACCTACCAATAATAGGGGTGAGAGGAGGATAGAGAGATGGGAGAGAGAAAGGGAGGGGGAAAGAGAGAAAAGGAGAGGGAGAAGTGGTAAATGAACAAGATTTTTAGTTCAAGTCAGTAGGAAAACCACTGGCAGAGTTGTTTTATTTAAGCATTAACAATTACTTTCCGAGCAACTGTGATGTGTAAGACATTATGTTATCTGTACTAGACACTGAGATGAACCCTCAAAATGGTGATGCCCTCAAAATGGTATAGTGCAAAGTAGAATGTTGTGAAATTTTTCCTAATGGAGAAATTCATCCAATTAGCATTTGAGGAAAGGTATATGTGAGTTGGACTTTGGATAGTAACATACAGAGATTAGCATTAGAAAGGAAGCAAAATATTTCATTAGACATATAAAGAAGTCAATAGTTTATTTTCACTAGATTGCAAGCATATGAAAAAGACAACAGGAAAATGTGTCTCAATTGTCAGCCTAAATTTAACATCTTATTCTGTAGTGAAATCACAGGACAAGTAAATAGATGTCTTGCACTTAGGACAAATTATTTAAGTTTGTTGAAGAAATGAGATGATTGATTTTATTTTTAAGTAATAAGTAATGTGAGAACATCTGCAATCAGTAAGATTTATGTAGATCCAGGCTCAACAAACTACTGCCGATGGGCCAAATCTAGTCTGCAGCTCATTCATGTAAACAAAGTTTCACTGGAATATAGCCGTCCTCATTCATTACGTAATGTCTATGGCTTTGACAGAGACTGTGCCACCTGCAAAGTCAAAAATATTTACTATCTGTCCCTGGACAGGAAACGCTTCTCAATCCCTGGTCTACATCATAAAATGGATTTGAGTGGAGAGAAAGAAAAAAAACTCATTAAAACATATGGGGTGTTACTGCCTTAAACAAGTAGTATACTAACAATAGAAATGGAAAGGAAAAGTTGGAGTGTGCATGTGGGTATGCATCTGTGTGCATTTGTGTGTATGTGATGAAAACTGTTTAAATGCAGGGTACAATATAGAAGAGGAGGCCATCGTGGTGCTTAGATGGCTCTGAATTGACAGTCTCCTCCGTTAATATTTAAGTGCAATTTTGGAGGAATAAGTCTTTCCACTCAACTCTTAAGTGGTTTAATCAACTGGCCATATTTTTTTCCTAATGGTTAGAAAGGATAAGTTACTCAGAAGGAAAAGTAGTACTGATTGAGAAAGAATTATAATGGAAGGTGGGGGGTGATTGCATACTTCTAGGAAAGCTGGAGGGAACAGCTAAAAAACAGTATGATACTGAACACTTGGATGAAAGCATGAGTGAAAGCAGGTGAGAGCAGCCCTAAAAGGACGCCAGTTTGCACCAAAAGTAAACACTGGTTTTCATGCTGCCTCTTGTATATATGTATCAAAAGATACTGGTACTTAATGTATAAATTAGAATATTAACTTTTAAAATATGAATTGAACTTATATGGGGTTTAAAAAAATCAATTATTTAAAAACATCACCAGGTTCCTTTTGTTGTTTAAATTCTCTCCTGATAGAACTAAATAGGGGTCTCTTAAACAGGGTTCAAGAAGCAGAAACATACATAATGGTACTCAGGATTCAATGCATTAAAGATTAATATTCCTTGAATTAGAAGAGCCGAACTAAGTATCCAAACACCAGATATAGGTCTAGAATAGCAGATACATCTAAGTAGGTTTCAACTGTCTAAGGGCACATGCCTGGTGCAGGGACATGAACAAATTGTGAGTAAACAGGGATAAAAGCCCTATGAGGGATGTTTAACATTGAAATGTATAAAGTTTTTATTTAATCACAAAGTTTTCTATATTGGCTAAAATTTTATAATGATAATGAATTATTCATGTGAAAATTAAAAACTGTTTTTTTTGTATTTTTAAAGAAAAAAGCACAAATACACCCATAGAACACTGTGAAATATTATCTTTCACAATGTACACCAGGCCAGGAAATTATTGGGCTAATTTGAGTCTTCAACAAAATTTTACTTTGTGAAGAAATAAGACAATGCTGGAGGGACCAAGGTTTTCATTTGCCTGTGCTCCTTCTGATGCCATCTTTACTCTCCAGGTGAAAGGATGTTTCTGAGATCAATATTCCTCTCCTTTGATAGTTACCTTCTTTTAAAACCTACTGAACACTGACTTACTCAGCTCCACTCTATTCTTCCCCGTTTCCTCTGGGTCCTTTGATAATAGATGCTGGTATCCCTGTCTGTCATTCACTCCTATATGGTTCTCAGGATTTGTTTGCTGTTCCTCCCTCTGTTAACCTGAGCCTTGCGGGCCAAAGTAAATTACTCTCCCAGCACCTTTTATACAGAGTGGTCCATAGTAGTTTTCCTGACACCTATGTTATTACACATTTCTCTCCAAGAACATCTCTAAAGCTTTATGATTTATACATTTGAGTTACCTTAGACCAATTGACCTAAACACAAGATATGCTGTCACATTTTAAGCTGCTTCCTCAGAATATGTTGGTTGAAATCTACTGCCTCTCCCTTGTCCAGGGTTTCTAAATACCCGTAGGGTAGCTTCTCAATAATATATATTACTAATAGCTCAGAATGATTATTATACTAACAAGAACTTTTTACTTTCATTACTGTGTCAGAGGACTCGGAATATCATTAGCAAAACCTGTTTAGAACAGCCATCTTAAATCCTTGTTGAACCAATTCCAGCATGCTTTTAATTTAAGTAATCCTGGCGCCGTGGCTCATGCCTGTAATCCAATCACTTTGGGAGGCCGAGGCAGGCAGATCATGAGGTCAGGAGATCCAGACCTTCCTGGCCAACATGGTGAAACCCCATCTCTACTAAAAATACAAAAATAGTTGGGCATGGTGGCATGTGCCTGTAATCCCAGCTACTCAAGAGGCTGAGGCAGGTGAATCTCTTGAACCCAGGAGGCAGAGGTTGCAGTGAGCTGAGATCGCGCCACTGCACTCCAGCCTGGTGACAGAGTGAGACCCCATCTCAAAAAAAAAAAAAAAAAAAAAAAAGAAATCTTGAGTAGTACATTCCTTCCCAAGATGAGCATGCAAACAAAGATAACATGACTTTTTATTCTATATGTACGTTTGAAAGATCTCTTTAGTCCTTTAAAAACTTCATGAGATGTATAATTTTATAAATATTGAGATGCTTTGGGAAAAATATTGAAGAAAGGCCATTTGATTAGGCATAAAGCACTTAAAGTGAATGCCAAGAAAGTTGCATAGGTCAAAATAGGTCCACAAAAATGTATAGATTAATGAACCTTCCAATGTGAACTGACTGTTTCTCTGAGTGTCTTTTATAATTATGGGTGAAGGCTGAGGATTGGGCCTGGCCCAGATATGGATTAGGGGTAAAATAAGCAGTGGCACACAAAAGATATTTTCCCTGAGGCATATTGACTGAATTATTGTGATATATGCAAGAATGAGGAGTTATTCCAGAAGATTTCAAGAGACAGAATAAAATCTTCAAGAGTATCACAGCAACTGGGAGACAAACTCATTGCAAAGAAGAGAGCCTGCCCCAAAAGCATGGCCAACTCCCTTGTTCAACACATTTCTAAGATTTTGAAGCTGAATAGGGTGAAATGCTAAAGGGCTAAGCCCAATACCCCTGAAATTAAAATTTAATCTCCAACAACATTTTTTGAGACTAATGAGAAGTAGTTCCTACCAGCTCTCAATCAAAAGCTCAAAAGGAACATACTTCAGAAACAGAGATAAGCCAAAGATGCCAGTCTTACTGAAACTAAAACTGAATCCTGACTGCTCCAATATCTGATTGTATTGGTAATGACTTTCTCCCAACACTATCTGCTTAATAGAGAAAAGTGGGAATACATTCTAAAACTACTATTACCAGAATACTTTATTATTCTTTTATACACAATGTCCAGCATGATACAAAAAACGTCTAGATATGTGAAGTGGCAAAAATTGTATTAATCAAAACACATGTGCACAATAAGCGCAGCTCACTGATTCACAGTTCAGAATTTAGCAGACAAATTTAGAATGACCGTTGCTAATATAATAAAAGTAGGCAAACTGGATGAAATGATGGAGATTGCAGCAAAGATTTAAATATCTATAAAAAGTCACACAGATATTCTAAAACAGAAACATAATAATTGAACTTATGTCACTGAATAGGCTTGCTTTAGAATAAATGTAGTAAAACAAGTTAACCTGAAAAGAGATTCATAGAAATAATATAAATTGATCTATAGAAATAATCTCAACTGAAGAGATTTAATAAAGCAGAACAAAAAAGACATAAGGCACTGTCACAACATCTACTATAACTAAACTGGACATAAAGACAAGTGAGAGAGAATGGAGAAGAAGCAATATCGGAAGAGCCGTTGGTCAAAAATTTTGTAAAATTGATAAAGAATATCAACCTACTTGCAAGAAACTTAACAAAACCTAAGGAATATAATACAAATAAAACTTTACCTATGCAGATTATAAGCTGCTGAACCAAAACAAAACTCTCAAAAGTAAGTAAAAGAGCACAAATAAGTATTCCAACAAAAACAATAGAAGCTGGAGACAATGAAATGGCATTTTAACATGCTGAGGGGCAAATTTGCCAGTCTAAAATTTAATAACCAGTGAAAAAGCACATAAAAGTGAAGCGCAGTAAAATATATTCAGACAAGTAATTGTTGAGAGAATGTTTGCCTAGGAGAACTGAACTACAGAAATACTAAGGAAAGTTCTTCAGACTAAGAAAAAATTATCCCAGAGAGAAGCATACAATTAGAGGAAGCAATGAAATTAACTGAAATAAAAGCCTTAAAATATTGGCACAAGAAGTTCTAAAGATCTGAGTAAGTTCTGTATGTATTATAGAAACTACATTTATGATTAACACATTTTACACACACACACACACACAATTCCAACCACATGTGGATTACCTGGTGAATCCTTACCAAAACTTAAGGAACTAATTGAACTAGTCTTACACAAGCATTTTCAGGAAATAATACAAAAGAAAGAACACTTTAATTTTTTTGTGGGAAGCCAGTAATCATTGATACAAAAATCTGAAAGATATTAAAGAAAAGTAATTTATAAAGAATATTCACCATGAAAATAAACCTGAGAAGTAAGGATAAATATAATTAACTTGTCTTTTACAAAGTTTAAATGTTGAATAAAATATATGACAAAGAGTGGGAGTAGCTAAATAGTGTTCAACTGCTCTAAGGTCCTTACATTGTTGGAGAAGTGGAAAAAGTACGAACATACTTCAGAAATAGTAGTCCACAATAGTTGAGAATAAATATTATATCCTCTAGGATAACTAAGGTACTTAAGGTAGTCCACAATAGTCTAGAATAAATATTCTGTAGGATAACTAAAAGTACTAAAAAGGAATTACAAGTATTTTAATAAAATGAAAAATAAATAATTATTCTAAAAATGGAAAAAAGGCCAGGCGAAGTGGCTCCTGCCTGTAATCCCAGCACTTTGGGAGTCCGAGGCGGGTGGATCACAAGGTCAGGAGTTCCAGACCAGCCTGACCAACATGGTGAAACCCCATCTCTACTAAAAAATACAAAAATTAGCCAGGCGTGGTGGCGCATGCCTGTAATCTCAGCTACTCAGGAGGCTGAGGCAGGAGAATCACTTGAACCCAAGAGGCGGAGGCTGCAGTGAGCTGAGATGGCACCACTGCACTCCAGCAGGGGCAACAGAGCGATTAAAAAAAAAAAAGCCAAAAAAGGAAATAAGAATAAAAAAAGATAGTACAAATATAAAAATATTAAATCCAGAATTTGAAAGATTAAATCCAGAATTTTAATACAGAAGATTGTTTCAGAAGATTGTTTCAGAAGATGTGGAATAACTACCACTCTTATAGACTGTTGTGTGAATGTGAATCTGAACAACCATCTTGAAAATTCTTTTGGCGAGATCTACTGAAGTTAAATGTTTGCATACCTTTTGACCCAGCAATTCCACTCCTGGGTATATATACTCAAGATCAATGAGTACTTCAGTCTAACAAAAGATATATATAAGATATTCAATTAGCATTATTTATAGTAGCCCAAAATTAGAAACAGATGAATCATCCAATAACACAGTTATATATTCATAAAATGGAATACCCCTATTAAAATTATAAAGTATGAACTATAGGTATATACAAGAATCTCATAAATTTTGAAAACCTAATATTGAATAAAATCAGCCATATGCAGGAGCATATATACTGCATGATACTATTTTTATGAAGCTCATTAACAGCCTATTAACATTAATTCATTAATGGAATGAATCTATATAAATAGAGGTCAGTATAGGAGTTATCTTTTTTTGGGTTGTAGTTGACTGAGTTGGCAAGAAGAAGGTTTATGGGGTATTTGTAAGATTTTTTTTTTTTTGGAGGTGGAGTCTCTCTCTCGTCACCCAGGCTGGAGTGCAGTGGCACAATCTGGGTTCACTGCAACCTCTGTCTCCTGGGTTCAAGCAATTCTTCTATCTCAGCCTCCCAAGTAGCTGGGATTACAGGTGCCCGCCACCACACCCAGCTAATTTTTGCATTTTTAGTAGAGACGGGGTTTCATCAGGCTGGCCAGGCTGGTCTTGAACTCCTAAACTCAGGTGATCCACCCGCCTCGGCCTCCCAAAGTGCTGGAATTACAGGCATGAGCCACCGCGCCCGGCCTGTAAGATATTTTTTATCTGAGTTGTTCCGTGTATGAAGCTATGTGAAAATTCAATGAGGTGTATACTTAAGATCTGTACACTCTGTTATGTGTAAATTATACATTAATATTTAAAAGAAAAATAAGTAGATTAATAAAGCACAGTTTGGTTTTACAGATACCTATCTATGACCCAACCATTCTACATTTAAGTATATACCCAACAGATATGACTGGGAATTTTTTACACCAAAAGACTTTCATTATAATATTATTTTTATATGCAGACACTCAAAACAGTTCAATTGTCCACCAACAGCAGAATGTAAAAATATTTTATGGATCATTGATAGAGTGGAATAAAATACAGCAATTAAAGAACTGCTGCTACATCTGTGGTGTCACAAATATGCCTGCATTCATAGAAATTTCCTCAGGAAAAATGAATCTATTGTAGAGGAAGTCAGAAAAGTGTTCTATTCGGTAGAAGAAAATTAATGAGGCATGAAAGAGGCTTCTGAGGTGCTCTTGTTTATGGTGGTCACATGACTGAGTCCATATTGAAAGATTATAAAAATTGTACACTTATGATTGATGCACTTTTTAGTCTATAACAATGTATTCATTTGCAGGAGCTACTCTCCAAGGTACCACAAACCGGGTGGCTTAAAACAACTCACATTTATTGTGTCACGGTTTGGGAAGCTAGAAGGCTGAAAACAAGATGTAGTCAAGGTAGTTTCCTCCAGAAGGATATAAGGGAGGCTGTCTGTGTCTCTTGCATCTCTCCCAGGATCTGGTGGTTTGTTGGAAATCACTGGTGTTTCTGAGTTTACAGATGTGTCAGCCCAGTCTTCCATATAGTGTCTGCATATAGTCTTCCCTCTGTGCATGTTCCCCTTGTGTTCAATTTTCCCCTTTTTATAAGAACACTAGTAATATTGGATTAGTACCCACCCTAATGACCCCATTTTAACTAGATAACCTCTGTAAAGACTCTATTTCTATATAAGGTCACATTCTAAAGTATTGGGGGTTAGGGCATTAGCATATATTTTCGGGAAAAACACAGTTCAACCCATAACAACATATAATTCCATTTTTAAAATCCCAAAATTACATCTAGCCTAAAAAGGAATGAAATTGAAATAAAGATCGCAGAGGCCTGCAGTAAGCCTTGATGATGTAATACCTGTTTATAAACCAAATGTTAGAATGGCTTGAAACAGAATTGAACATTTTTGCGCTATAAGACACATAGGAGAAATTTTAAGTACTTTTTTTGGATGAGACATTAGTCTCAACAAGACTGAATGATTTTCTTTTAAGGTCACACATTTAAATAGTTAACAGGAGAAATAGCGACCAGAATCATAGTCAAATACCCACCTACCCCCTTTCCAAGACAACTAAGGTCTCAAATTGCGCCCATTTTTCTCAAATTATTTCTAGAATGTTTAGCAAAAGAGGCTTTTAATTTGGCATATCTTTGTCTACAGTTTTGTAGTTTATGTAAAGAAAGGTAGACTAAGGGAATTTCATTTTAAAGGTGAGAATCAGAATGACATTTGTGAAGCTATGATGCCTGTGCCATCTGGCATACACGAGGGTGTTGTACTAAATGGGATCAGAATGAGCTCCTTTTGGAAGGAAACCTTTAATAGACTGGGAAACATTAAGGGAATCTTCCCTTTTTATTTTTATTTAATTTTCTTTCTTTCTTTCTTTCTTTCTTTTTTTTTTTTTTTTTTTTTGAGATGGAGTCTCGCTCTGTCACCCAGGCTGGAGTGCAGTGGCGTGATCTCGACTCACTGTAAGCTCCGCCTCCTGGGTTCACGCCTTTCTCCTGTCTCAGCCTCCCGAGTAGCTGGGGCTACAGGCGCCCACCACCACGCCCGGCTAATTTTTTGTATTTTTAGTAGAGATGGGGTTTTACAGTGTTAGCCAGGATGGTCTCGATCTCCTGACCTTGTGATCCGCCCGCCTCAGCCTCCCAAAGTGCTGGGATTACAAGCGAGAGCCACCATGCCCGGCCTTTTATTTTTAATAGAGCATTGGAAAATGAATTCTGCATAGCTAGCTAATGAAGGAAATCCAGAGTCATTGCCAAAACCGAGTTTTAAAGGAATTTGCAATCCTTCACAGTTCATTCAAGGAGGCAATGGAAATTTTGAAGAAGAATTTTTTTAAAATCTTTCTTAAAAGGAGCCCTTACATTGGCATTGTATCACGACTAAAGTCTTGCTCCCTCCCTCTCTCCCTTCTATGCTTTTTGTTTCTCTTTTCTATCTTTCAATGACATCAGTTTCATGGAGATAAATGGTTAAAAGATAATGATTACAACACATACAGTTGAGTGACACAAATCTTGTTGTAGTGTTAGAAATACATCAATACATTGGGATCATAAAGATAAATGGCAAGAAAAAAAATCTAAGTTAATAACAGAAAATGCTGATTCCCACAGTCCGTGTAGAAAATACACGTTTTTTCCTGTCAGTGGAGATAACTGAGACCAGTTAATATTGTCAATTCTGTTCCTTCTGACTGAGCCAGGTGAGGCAAAATTTAGCAGATGACTTGAGGGACAAAACTATGACCTTGGCAACATAAAAATTAATACTGTCTACATTGTTTACTAGGAAATGCATGCAAAATTAATACACTCTTGGTAGTACAGGTTGGTTTCACTTCTATAGTGTGTAGTTACTAGAAAGCTGATTCAACAGATGATAGATTCAACAGACGACATAGAATTGTCTAAAATCCAGCCGGGCGCAGGGCCTCACGCCTGTACTCCCAGCACTTTGGGAGGCCGAGGAGGGCAGATCACAATGTTAGGAGATCGAGACCATCCTGGCTAACATGGTGAAACCCCGTCTCTACTAAAAATACAAAAAAATTAGCCAGGAGTGGTGGTGGGTGTCTGTAGCCCCAGACACTCGGAAGGCTGAGGCAGAAGAATGGCGTGAACCCGGGAAGCGGAGCTTGCAGTAGTGAGCGGAGATCGCGCCACTGCACTCCGGCCTGGGCGACAGTGCGAGACTCCAGCTAAAAAAAAAAAAAAAAAAAAGAATTGCCTGAAATTCATCTTCAATTAGTCCATGGCATGTTTTGGAATTTATTCACTTGTTTGCCTCAGGAACAGTAGCTGTTCAGATTTGTTCTTTGATTTTGGAAATGAGGTTACCGTGCTCTGTAGTGTCAGGAAGATGACGTGGCATAATCAGGCAAACGGCTAGGCATTTTCTCAGCAGTAAATTACCAGTGCCCTTGCTTGCCATAATACCCACAAAAGGCAGAGGCAGTTTCCTGAGGCAATCCAGGCCACAAAGAACTGTACATTTGGGGAAAACGTATCTTCAAATATATATGTTAAAATCTAAAAAATTGGTTAGTATGTATTACTTTTGTGGATATTTAAACATTCCCTATGCATAAAGACCTAGTTAAAGAGGTGCAGGCATTTGGCATGTTAAATAACTCCTTGATGAGAAACCACACTATGAATAATAAATATGACTTAATAAAAATGAAAAATAATGAGATTAGTTTCTATTGAACTATTCTTGCTTAGAATGCCCCTGAATTTCAGTCATAGAAATTCACTTGTACCTGGGTAAGTTACAAGTACTTATTTGTGCTGGTTTCTGTGTCATTGGCAATTAAAATTTTGGTAAGTTGAATAAAAGATCTTTCTAAAAAGGGAGTTCTTTTTTTTTTCTTTTTTGAGGGGGACGGAGTCTCGCTCTGTCGCCCAGGCTGGAGTGCAGTGGCGCGATCTCGGCTCACCGCAAACTCCACCTCCCGGGTCCATGCCATTCTCCTGCCTCAGCCTCCCGAGTAGCTGGGACTACCGGCGCCCGCCACCACGCCCGGCTAATTTTTTTTTGTATTTTTAGTAGAGACTGGGTTTCACCGTGTTAGCCAGGATGGTCTCCATCTTCTGACCTCGTGATCCGCCCTCCTCCGCCTTCCAACGTGCTGGGATTACAGGTGTGAGCCACCGCGCCCGGCCAAAAGGGAGTTCTTACACTGGCAATGTATCATGATTAACGTTTTCCTCCCTCTTTCTCTCCCTCCCACATATGTATTTTCGTGTCAGTATATGTATATGTGATTTGTGCCATTTGTGTGTGTGTAGGTAAATGAAAGTGGCATCAAGAAAATCTCACATTAAAAAAATTTGAGATAGTACAATTCTTATGCATCATATGTTGCATAATGTTTGACTATTAAGAAATTTGCATCACACGTCTACTTATTTCATTAAACATGTTACAGGCAATTAATTTACTTACACCCTCCATTTCTTTTTTCCCACTCTCTGGGTCTCCTGCTGCAGGGTCATTATATGTTCCACTCACAAAATGTCCTTGTTTTTCCCTTACTCCTGTCATTGATCTTCTGAATCTTTCTGGTGAATTTAGCATGGATGTTTTGATAGAAAGCTCTGGCATTAACTCTGGAGTTGTTTTGCAAGGAAGATTGTTCTCTTTTTCACCATTTTTTTTTTAGGTCCTTGAAGTGTTTTCACATAGATATTTCACAAGAGCCATTTCAGAACTGAGAACATTCGGCGTGCACTTTTCCTCTTTTGGTCCCACAGTTTTTATGAGTCCTACTTGAAATTATGTTTGCTCCCGTTTCAATTGTAATATTGCACTTACTCATTAGTTTTTAGTTTGAACTCTCCTGGGAGGTCTAATGTAGAGTTTGGACAAAGACACAGATTCATAATAAACCTACCCAGTCAATTTGGTATAAAGGCTTAGAAGGTGGAACTGGCCACATTTTGAATTGGAGGTAAGTATCAGGAATGGTAATGGAGAGACATACAGGATTTTCTTATGGGAACAAGAAACAACCTCTGGGCAGTATTAGAGCCCAGAGAGTGAAAAGCCTCTTCTAACTTCAATATTCTATGTACAAATTTACAAGACTTTTTTTTTTCTTTTTTTTTGAGACGGAGTCTCACTCAGTATCCCAGGCCGGAGTGCAATGGTGCGATCTCAGCTCACTGCAAGCTCCGCCTCCCGGGTTCACGCCATTCTCCTGCCTCAGCCTCGCGAGTAGCTGGGACTACAGGCGCCTGCCACACCCGGCTAATTTTTGTATTTTTAGTAGAGACTGGGTTTCACCGTGTTAGCCAGGATGGTCTCCATCTCCTGACCTCGTGAGCCACCGCGCCCGGCTGAGACTTTTAATTGACAGACTGCATTGCATAAGCCAAAGGCCAACAGAGAGGTGACCTTTCAAATTACTGGCACAACAGGAGCCGAGATCAGAAAGCTCCAACTTAATGCAAACATCGACAAGAAATCCGACAGAAATGACTTCTGTGTCTGGTCAACTTAACATAACATGACATATTGTCAAGCGCATTTTGCTTTTTAGGTAGAATTGTCTATAACGATTTAACTGCTTTAGAAAATATAAATGTGAAGATTTGTGGTATTCGGGTTTATATATAAGATATTTCTACATTTAAAAGAGACAGAGTGGAAAAGCTTGATATAAGATTTGTAAAATATGTTTGTAATAATGCTAATGGAAGAGGTGAGAGTTGGGTGGGGTGGGGTGTAGATGGGAACATGGTTTGGGGATTGGGGAAAGGGAAGTCATGCTGTTAATAAAATAGTGAGGCATGTTGTATAAAGTGTGTTTTATGTCTCAATTGAAATGTTATAGAGAGAAATTTAAAATAGATCATGATTGGTTTTGAATCTGATTTCTAATTTTAAAATGTTATGAGCTTTTGTTGCTTTCCTATTTCATACACATTTCTTTATGGGTTTCACTTAGACTGCATGAAATTGCAGATGCCAATTACCTTTTAATAAAATTAAATTCACATATATGTATAATTTGCATGTATATATTCACGGAATTTTTTATTCTATACGTGATATATTATTTTAAAATGGTTTATCAATGACATAACGTATAATTTTTCTATACTTTCAGTTTTCTGGTTTGGATTTTTTCTGGCAACACTAATTTTCACCTACCTATACTCATTGATAGTATAAAGTTGTACAAGTGCATATTTGACCATGATTACAGTTGAATAGATGACTGGAGGTACATCTATGATGACTAATACTTTCTAAACACATATTTACCTCTCATATATCTGTGTAAATGATTGTAAGAGGAAGGGGAAAATAGAGATGTATCATTAGGTATACTGTCTTAAAGCACATTCAGCTGCTCTCATGTTTGGAGAATTTTGAATGTGATGAATGTTTCTCTTTCACCGCTAACAGGTTGTGTGTGTGAGCCAGATTTTATTGCAAGTGTTTGAAAGACTATTGCAAATATCGGATATTGCCAGACAGTTGGTAAAAAGCAAATTGAGTCTATTGAGAAATTAATTCACCAGCTGAAGGAAGCACATTTGCCTTACAGTCATCAGATATTCTACCCACCAGACTCATCTCCGAGATAGCATCCTAATGAGCTTCCTAAACCAACTAAACATGAGCAGGAAGCATCAGTCGTCAAAACTGACTCTTTTCAGCCAATCAGCTGACTGCACAAACTGTATGGCATTGAGGAAAGGAAGAACATTCTGAAAGTTTTTTTTTTTCATTCTGCCCTCACTTTGTTGGTTTCTCAGTTTTACAGATGCAGTGTCATGCGCAGAACCCTGTAAATGAGCATAGTTCATTCAAGTATATAAAGTGCTTTCGTGTATTATTATTCAGTGGAATAAAATGAATGTTAACAGGCTTAAGTGATTTTCCTAAAGGCACACAATTAATGTATGGCTGGAATTCAAAATCGGGTCTTTTCCTCTGTTCTGATTGTTCTATAAATAGGGGTGTAGTGATTGATTTTCTACCCACCATGACAGGGAATAGGTTCAAAACTTAAAACCCTGTTCATTTTATAATTAGGTAGACTCAAATGACAGGTCAAGGCAGGGAGGGGAGCCAGTCATTTTTATTCCCATATGGGTTTGCTCCTTCAAAGACAGGATTGGGGTAGCAGGGTCAGTTCCTACAGGTTATAACGATCTTAATGATAAAGTTAACTAACCATAACTGAATAGTCATAATGTGCTAGCACTTTTCATAATGTATCCCAAATAATACTCACAAAACCTTCCAAATAAATGTTACCTTTTTGTTATCTTTGTTTTATTTTGTTTGAGACAGGGTTTCAGTCTGCTGCCCAGGCTTTAGTGCAGTGATGCAATCATGGTTCACTGCAGCGTCAAACTCCTGGGCTCAAGCAATCCTCCCACCTCAGCCTCCCAAGAAGCTAAGACTACAGGCATGCACCACCACTCCCAGCTCCAAATAAATATTCTTATCCCATTTTACTGATGCAGAAAAACGTATGGCCCAGAGAAGTAATGTTAAGTTTATTGGGGGATTTAAGTTGTAAAAAATTATTTTATCGAACCCTAATGTAAACTATGGACTCTGGGTGATAGTGATGCGTCAGTGTAGGTTCATCGATTATAGCAAATGCATCATTCTGGTGCAGGATGTTGACAGTGGGGGAAGCTGTGTGTGTAAGGGAGTAGGGAGTCTAGGGGAACTCTTCTACTTTCCACTCAATTTTGCTGTGAGTCTAAAACTACTCTAAAAAATGAAGCTTATTAATCAAAAAAAATTCTTATATTTTATGAATATATGGGACAGCTATTCATGTATGTGGTAAAAAGAGATTTGTTACAATACTCGGCAGGAGTGTGTCTAATATGACTGATATTCATGTGTCACTTATAAAAACTGGCTTCATAATCTGTAGATTCATTTCATTTGTGTATGTTCGCTTAAGGGCGCACACATGGAAACACTTTGGTGTTATTAAAGGTCTGTTGGGAGGGCTCCTCTTTGGTGGAAGCTATGTCTATTTCTTAAAAGTGATTTAAGAGTAAGATGTGAAATAGCACTTGCCCCCGAGGATGGAGCCAACAGAGCATAGGGGAGTTATGTGATGCTATCTCTGAGAGACTGGAGAGAGGAATATAAAAAGCTTATTCCTTAAAAAAGAATAGGGGAGGACTTCCTTACCTGATATCTCAGATTATGAAGCTACAGTTCTCTCCCTGCTTTAGGGAAAAATAATAATAACATACTTTTTGCAAAAATCAATTACTGAACATATTCCTATATTTTAGATTTATAATGAAGCATTTTTGTACATATTCATTAAAAAAGAGTAATTAAAATATTTTTCTCTGGTTTATAGTAACTAGGATGGCAACACAGATATATCTTGGAAGTATTTCTTGGGATGATTCTTCAACATAAAACTATTCTTAAAAACTTCTTAGAAGTCTCCAGGTACTCAGGAATAAGGTCATTTTAAATTATTCCTTATTGACCATAAGAAAAATAATTAGGCAAGACCACAAAACTAAATGTTTAGACTGTTTCTCCTGTTTCCTGATTTTCAGGTTATTTTTTTATCCCAATTTTATTTTGCTGTATGGTCATACATTTCATCTTTGAAATAAAGTATATAATAATCACTTTTTTTTTTTTTTTTGAGACAGAGTCTCGCTCTGTCGCCCAGGCTGGAGTGCAGTGGCACGATCTCCGCTCACTGCAAGCTCCGCCTCCCGGGTTCATGCCATTCTCCTGCCTCAGCCTCCCCAGTAGCTGGGACTACAGGCGCCTGCCACCATGTCCGGCTAATTTTTTGTATTTTTTTTTTTTTTTTTTTTAGTAGAGACGGGGTTTCACCGTGTTAGCCAGGATGGCCTCGATCTCCTGACCTCGTGATTTTCAAAGCTGTTCGAGGGCATTTATCAGGCTTTTAACTCTAGGTACTCTTTCCCGCAGTGTGACGGCCAAGAGAAGGGATCCTGGGCTCTCTTCCCTGGCCCCAGGACGGGAATTCAGGGGGAAAATTCACCTACTCTTATCCCACAAAAGAAAACTTATTCATCAGTTGTCAAGCTAAGGAGCTTCAGAGTCCATAAAGAGGGAAATTGCTAAGAGCTTATCAGTAGTGTCCACCCCGCATCCCCACCTGGGGTCACATGGAGAATGATGGTGGGGGCACCGATCTTGTCCTGCTTCAGGTGAAAAGCAGGGGTGTGGGGGGGTTTCATTGTGAAGGGCTCCTTTGTTAAAATTCCTTCCAATTCCAGGAAAAACATGCACTCCAAAAGCCATTATCTCTTTTACTTTGTACTAGGGGACTTCCAGGAAAGAGAGAGAGGAGAAAGAAGAGGGCAAAACAACTGCAGTGAATTTAGTCACCTCTCCAATTGCCTTTCTTGTTGCAGAATATTTCACATTCCAGGAATTTCCTTCTTGACCTCTGGACTGTTGATACACCCAAGATCTTAATATGCTTTCAATCATAGGTTAAAGACATCAAGCGCCAGATCGCTTGGGCCTAGGAGTTCCAGACCGGCCTGGACAGAATAGTGAAACCCAGTCACATTTTTTTTTTAAGGGGGAGATTTGCTCTTGTTGCCCAGGCTGGAGTGCAGTGGCGAGGTCTCGGCTTGTGGGACCTCTGCCTCCCGGGTTTGGATGGTTCTCCTGCCACAGCCTCCCGAGTGGCTGGGATTGTGTGAGCCACCATGCCCAACTAATTCCCTAACTGTGCAACTGCAAGGTCACTAAACAAACTCGTCACAAAACATATTTTTCCTTAAATAGTAAAAAATAATATAATGTATGTTTCAATTAAATAAGTATCTTTGTTTCTCGCTTCTATAATATGCTTCTCCCTGCACAGATCTCCCCCTTCGCCCCACATAATGCTTGAAAGGTAACTCTTGGTTCAGTACTCAATCCTTTAAATGTTAATCCGACTGGGCTGGTGCACCTAAATAATTAATAAATGTCCTCCTAAACCCCATGAGTCTATCTAATTCCTTAAAAATCCCTCTACAGGACTGCAGGTGTGAGCCACCGCACCCCGCCCAATTTATTAATCAGAGAGGAATAGATGGGCCTGGCTTGGTGGCTTGCGCTTGTGATCCAAGGACTTTGGATGGCAGAGCACTGGGGATCATTTGAGCCTAGGAGATCCAGACAGGCCTGGGCAACATGGTGAAACTCGGTCTCTTTTTTTTTTTTTGAGGCGGAGTTTCGCTCTTGTTGCCCAGGCTGGAGTGCAGTGGTGCAGTCTCGGCTCCCCGCCGCCTCCGCCTCTTGGGTTTGGGTGGTTCTTCTGCCTCAACCTCCCTAATGGCTGAGATTGCAGGTGTGAGCCACCATGCCTAATTTTCTTTTTTCTTTTTTTTTTTTTTTGGTACACACAGGGTTTCTACCTGTTGGTCAGGCTGGTCTCAAACTCAGGACCTCAGGTTATCCGCCCGCCTTGGCTTCCGGGGGTGCTGGGATTGCAGGCGTGAGCCAGCACGCAAAGCCCAACTAATTAATCAGAAAGGAATAGATCGGCCTGGCGTGGTGGCTCACGCTTGTGGTCCCAGGACGTCGGACGGCCGAGCGCGGGGGATCGATCACTTGAGCCTAGGAGTTCCACACCGGCCTGGGCAACATGGTGAAACCCGGTCTCTCTTCTCTTTTTTTTTTGGTACAGACAGGGTTTCTCCATGTTCATCAGGCTGGTCTCAAACTCCCGACCTCAGGTTATCCGCCCGCCTCCTGGGCCTCCGGGGGTGCTGGGATTGCAGGCGTGAGCCAGCGCGCCCAGCCCAGTTTATTAATCAGAAAGGAATAGATCGGCCTTGCATGGTGGCTCACGCTTATGATCCCAGGAATTTGGACGGCTGAGCGCGGCGGATCGCTTGAGCGTAGGAGTTCGTTCTATACTTGCCTGGGCAACATGGTGAAACCCGGTCACTTTTTGTTTGTTTTGAGGCGGAGATTCGCTTTTGTTGCCCAGGCTGGAGTGCAGTGGTGAGGTCTTGGCTCAACGGGCCTCCGCCTCCCGGGTTTGGGTGGTTCTCCTGCCACAGCCTCCCGAGTGGCTGGGATTGCACGCGTGAGCCACCATGCCCAGCTCATTTTGTTTTTTGTTCGTTTGTTTTTGTTGTTGGAGATGGGGTTTCTCCATGTTCATAAGGCTGGTCTCAAACTCCAACCTCAGGTTATCCGCCCGCCTCGGGCGTCCGGAGGTGCTGGGATTGCAGGCTTGAGCCAGCGCCCAAGGCCCAATTTATAAATCACAAAGGAATAGCGTGGGGGATCGCTTGAGCCTAGGAGTTCCAGACAGGCCGGGGCAACATGGTGAAACCCGGTCTTTTTTTTTTTTTGAGGCAGTTTCACTCTTGTTGCCCGGTTGGAGTGCAGTGGCGCGGTCTCGGCTCCCGGCGGCCTCCGCCTATTGGGTTTGGGTTGTTCTCCTGCCTCAGCCTCCGGAGCGGCTGGGATTACAGGCGTGAGCCACCATGCCCGGCTAATTTTTTTTTTTTTTTTTTTGGTATAGACGGGGTTTCTCCCTTCGTCAGGGTAGTCTCAAACTCCTGACCTCAGGTTACCCGCCTGCTTCGGCCTCCCGGGGTGCTGGGATTGCAGGCGTGAGCCACCATGCCCAGCTTTTTATTTTTTTTCTTTTTTGGTAGAGACGGGTTTCTCCATGTTGGTCAGGCTGGTCTCAAACTCCCGACCTCAGGTGGTCCGCCCGCCTCCGCCTCCCAGGGTGCTGGGATTGCAGGAGGGAGCCACCGCGCCGGGCCCAATTTATTAATCAGAAAGGAACAGATGGGCCTGGCGTGGTGGCTCACCCTTGTGATCCCGGGACTTCAGATGGCCGAGCGCGGCGGATCGCTTGAGCCTAGGAGTTCCAGGCCGGCTGGGGCAACATGGTGAAACCCAGTCCCTCTTTTTTTTTTTTTTTTTTTGATAGGGAGTTTCGCTCTTGTTGCCCAGGCTAGAGTGCAGTGGCAGGGTCTCGGCTCCCCGCAGCCTCGGCCTCCCAGGTTTGGGTGGTTCTCCTGCCTCAGCCTCCCGAGTGGCTGGGATTGCAGGCATGAGCCACCGTGCCCTGCTAATTTTGTATTTTGTATTTTTTTTTTTTTTTTGGTAGAGATGGGGTTTTCTCCATGTTGGTCAGGCTGGCCTCAATCTGACCTCAGGTTATCCGACCGCCTCGGCCTCCCTGGGTGTTAGGATCGCAGGCGTTAACCACCACGCCCAGCCCAATTTTTAATCAGACAGGAATAGATCGGCCTGGTGTCATGGCTCGCGCTTGTGATCCCAGGACTTTGGACGGCTGAGCGCGGTGAATCGCTTGAGCCTAGGAGATCCAGACCCGCCTGGGCAACATGGTGAAACCCGTTTTTGTTTTTGTTTTGTTTTCGAGGCGGAGTTTCCCTCTTGTTGCCCAGGCTGGAGTGCAGTGGCGTGGTCTCGGCTTCCCGGGCCTCCGCCTCCCGGGTTTGGGTGATTCTCCTGCTTCAGCCTCCTGAGTGGCTGGGATTGCAGGCGTGAGCCACCATGCCCGGCTACTTTTTTATTATTTATTTATTTTGGTTGAGATGGGGTTTCTCCATGTTGGTCAGGCTGGTCTCCAGCTCCTAACCTCGGGTGATCCGCCGGCCTCGGCCTTCCGGGGTGCTGCGATTGCAGGCCTGAGTCACTGCGCCTGGCCCGAAACCCAGTCCCTTAATTGAAAAACAAAACAAAAACCACAAAGATTAGCGGGGCCTGGTGGGCCCGGCGGGTAGTCCCAGCTACTCTGAAGGCTGATGTAGGAGGATTGCTTGAGCCGGAGAGGGGTGGGGGTGAGGTGGCAGTGAGCCATGTTGGCGCTGCTGCAGTCCAAACTGGGCGATAGAGCGGGACTGTGTCTCAGGAAAACAGGAAAAAAAAAAAAGAAGAAAAAGAAAGTACATAAAATTGCTAAATCAAGGAACAGCTTGACAGTATATTATTGAGAGAAATAGAGGCAAAGGCGAGCAGACACCAATGTTCACTTAGTGGAACTGCAGTTGTCCCCAGACAGGAGGCTGCTACTTTTCCAAAAGAAATCTATTATTGACAAAAAAAAAAAAAAAAGGGGGTTTGTTACAATATACAAATAGCTAAACTTTATATAGCCACGACCCTCTTGCAGCACTGCTCTAAGCCTTTTCCTGCTCTGAAATAGCTACTATTGTTACCTCCATTGTAGAGAATACAGATGCCAGAGGTTGTTGTGGAAGGACCATGGAAACTGACTAGGAAATTGACTTGTAAGTTTAGGACTTAAAGGTTCTTCCTGTTTTGCTCCTTACATTGCCACATTTTAGTTAACATACCTCCTAAAATACTGGTCCTTTCTATATTTGGAGGGACTCGTCTTGCAGTTTGAAGTTTTTTCTTGCACTAAGCATTTGGTCAGAAGATCATGTGCGTTTTATGTCAGTTTAAGTTTAGACATTGTTCAGTAAGGAATGTAAATATGAGCAAACAGTTACCTGATTAAATAGAAAACCTAGAAGAAAAATCACCTATGAGAAAGTCAAGAAAATGTGAACTCTGGATTTGTGGCTATTTTCAGAATATTAATTTTTTTGGTATTTAATGGCATTGTGAATATATTTATTTTTAAAAATTCCTTGTCTTCTGCAGATACATATACGGTAATTAAAAAATGATATGATGTATAGATTTTACTTCAAAATAATTCAGAGGAAGAAGGAATGCATATAAATGAAGTGGGAATATAAATGAAACAAAACTGGCTGTGGCCAGGTGTGGTGGCTCACGCCTGTAATCCCAGCACTTTGGGAGACTGAGGCAGGTGGATCACCTGAGGTCAGGAGTTCAAGACCAGCCTGGCCAACGTGGTGAAACATCATCTCTACTAAAAATACAACAGTTAGCCGGATGTGGTGCCGGGTGCCTGTAATCCCAGCTACTTGGGAGGCTGAGGCAGGAGAATCGCTTGAACCTGAGAGGCAGAATTTGCAGTGAGCCAAGATCATGACACTGCACTCCAGCCTGGGCGACCACAGCAAAATCCCACCTTTAAAAACAAACAACAAAAAACCAACAAAAACAAAAAACTGTCCATGCCATGAATGAAAAATTGTTGATGATGTGTATATGTAGGGCAGTTACATTATTTTTCTCAACTTTTTTTACATCTGAAACTTTTTAATGAACACATGCACACGTCCCTTGATAACTGGGGCTGCTTCCCCATTACTCTCTCAATAGCCCTTCTGATTTTCACTTCATCTTCATTCTTAGAGACTCTGGATTTTTTATTTTTTTTGGCAAGTTCAAGTATGTCTTGATCTATGCAAGGACTAGCCAGCATGTCTACCTACTCAGCCATATTATCAGAAACAGAAAAAGTGTCCAGATTCTTGTCTTTTCCTGTTAAGATTTTTTAAATTCCAAGAACAGTCACCTTCTACCAGACACTCTGATGTTGGAAGACAAAGCATATTTCGTAAGTGGCATGATTTCTGTGCTCAAGTTTAGAACAAAGCCACAGATTTCAACATCTCAAAAATAACTTACTGGACTCACCAAATTTAGAAAGATGGAGATTATTTTAAAAAAAGAAAACCTTAATTTACTATGTGACCTCTAAGTATCTCAGCTGAAAATTGTAAAGATAGGTAAATCAAAAGATGCAGATAATCATGCACTTAATGAAGCGCTAAATCAAAGTATTTTTGGCATATGTGAGTTTCATTTTATCACATTTTTTACTGGTACTATAGCTATTTGCAAGTACATATAGAACTACAGTGTTACATATAAACTACCAAAAAGCAACTTTTTAAAAAAATTTTATTATTCTTATACTTTAAGTTTTAGGGTAGATGTGCACAAAGTACAGGTTAGTTCCATATGTATACATGTGCCATGTTGGTGTGCTGCACCCATTCACTTGTCATTTAGCATTAGGTATACCTCCTAATGCTATCCCTCCCCCTCCCCCCACCCCACAACAGTCCCCGGTGTGTGATGTTCCCCTTCCTGTGTCTATGTGTTCTCATTCTTCAATTCCCACCTATGAGTGAGAACATGCGGTGTTTGTTTTTTTGTCCTTGCGATAGTTTGCTGAGAATGATGGTTTCCAGTTTCATCCATGTCCCTACAAAGGACGTGAACTCATCATTTTTTTATGGCTGCATAGCATTCGTTGGTGTATATATGCCACCTTTTCTTAATCCAGTCTATCATTGTTAGACATTTGGGTTGGTTCCAAGTCTTTGCTATTGTGAATAATGCCGCAATAAACATATGTGTGCATGTGTCTTTATAGCAGCATGATTTATAGTCCTTTGGGTATATACCCAGTAATGGGATGGCTGGGTCAAATGGTATTTCTAGTTCTAGATCCCTGAGGATCTAGACACACTGACTTCCACAGTGGTTGAACTAGTTTACAGTCCCACCAACAGTGTAAAAGTGTTCCTATTTCTCCACATCCTCTCCAGCACCTGTTGTTTCCTGACTTTTTAATGATCGCCATTCTAACTGGTGTGAGATGGTATCTCATTGTGGTTTTGATTTGCATTTCTCTGATGGCCAGTGATGATGAGCATTTCTTCATGTGCTTTTTGGCTGCATAAATGTCTTCTTTTGAGAAGTGTCTGTTCATATCCTTTGCCCACTTTTTGATGGGGTTGCTTGTATTTTTCTTGTAAATTTGTTGGAGTTCATTGTAGATTCTGGATATTAGTCCTTTGTGAGATGAGTAGGTTGCGAAAATTTTCTCCCATTTTGTCAAAAAACAGCTTTTTAAGAAATGAGACTAATCTAGCAACTTTATTGAGAGGACGTGAAGTGTTTGGTTAGGAATGGTGCAATTGGTGGTGGTTGTGGACATGTGAGATGTAAGATGCCTCAACTTCCAATGTTGTTCAGAAGCAATCCAGCTTTCTGAATTATTCTTATGAATTCTGGATTTGAAACAGTAACTTCCCAAATGGCAGGGGCTTTCAGCAGAGAGGAACCTGGAGGGACCCTGTCCCTGACACCTTCTGGGTTGTTAGCTCCAGATCAAAAGAACTCCTGATTTGGAAAAAGCTTCTTGAAAAGAAGAGGGGAGGTGACCTTGGTGAAGCCTCTGGGGACATGAGCTATTTTTAGGGCTTTTGGCAGGAAAAGAGCTTTTGAAAACGGAGATAAGGCATGGTATTAAAAAGGCTTACATTGGAGAAAGAAATCATAAAACTCCATACAGTTAGGGCAATAGTTTTGTTTTTTACTAGGACAGCATCAGTTTATTGGAGTATTTATATAACATAAGCAAGGTCTCTTGATATTTTAACAATTAACAACTGGATTTTATTTTCTACTATAGGTGCAGTTTATCATTCTGAATCCAAAGCCAAGGAATATAAACATGTATGCAAACGAGCTTGTCAGAGAGTATCAACGCAATGTGTATCATCTATGCTTTTCAGTTTTGAACATAAAGCAGTGGCTCTGAGCGCGACTCGGAGGGCGACGCCGCGGCCGCAGCCATGGGTGCTGGGCCTGCAGGGGCGCGGGGGGGAGGGCGACGCTAGGACCTGCGGGGCCGGGCGGGAGAGAGGGCTGCCGGGACCGGCCCTAGACACTGAGCCGCGGTGGGATCCCCGCCGGCTCTGCGAGGCCCTGCGAGCGCCAGGGAGGCGCCTCGAGGGAGCCGGGCAGCCGCCGGCCACTTCAGGGGGGCCCGCCACTTCAGGGCGGTCGAAAGAGCCTTGGGGGCACATCTCGGGGTGCGGTGACCCGCCCGGCGCATTTCGGGGGTCGGGGCGCATTTGCCAGGGGACATCTGGAGCCCGGCCCTGCTTCTGTCGGGCTCCAGGGTACCCCTGGATGGCTGCGCTGTGCCCTCGCCGGCCGCCCGGGCGCCACAGCGGCTGAGTTCGCCGGGATCGCCGGGCCGCCGCCGCCCTTGCCACCGGCTGCATGCTCGGCGCCCGGGTCGCGGCCCACCTGGACGCACTGGGCCCCCTGGTCCCCTACGTGCCGCCGCCGCTGCTGCCCTCTATGTTCTACGTGGGCCTGTTCTTCGTCAATGTGCTGATCCTGTACTACGCCTTCCTCATGGAGTACATCGTCCTCAACGTGGGCCTCGTCTTCCTGTTCGAGGACATGGACCAGGCGCTCGTGGACCTCGGCGTGCTCTCCGACCCCGGCTCGGGCCTTTACGATGCTGACTCGGAGCTCGACGTCTTTGATGGGTACTTGGAGTAGGGTCTCGACTGCCGTTCCCCTCTTCCCTCCACGATCCGCAACCCACGCCCTGGACCAGCCGCCCAGATCATGGCGCCGCAGCAGCTGGTTGGGGGCACCATCTGGACGGGGATGGTTCCCCAGGAGGAGACCCTCCCCTGCCTCCGAGGCCTGCCTGCTACCCTCAAAAGCTTCGTGCCAACAGAGAGGTTCCTGTTTGGACCCAGGAGAGTGGAAGAGAGATTGGGACTGAGTGCTGAGATTGGGAAGGCACCTGCTCCCACAGAAGGGGGAACGCAAGGGGCGTCCCAAGACCTCATCTGCCTGCAGCGTCACACCGATGGCCTGGCCTCGGCTTCTCATTATTTGCAACTGCCATGGATGTTTACAGGAACCCAGCCAGAGTTTGCCTCCCTGCACTTCATCCCAGAGCGCACCTGCTTCCTCCACTTCACCTTCGGAGAGGACACTTCAAACTGCGGACACACGCAAAAGCAACTCCCAGCTCTGTTTGATGTGAGTTGAGCCTTCAGGCCAGCTGGGTTTAGCCCGAGGCTGGTCTTAGATGCAGCGACTGTTTCAGGGAGTGACTCAGAATAAAAAGAAGCTGAGGAAGCTGTTGGGGGGCTGAGGATGAGATTCTCGCTTCTTCATTTCAGGTTACTCGTTCCTCAGCAAGTTGGCAAAACAGATATCATGCTGGTGAGTGCCACGTTACTCCCCTGGCTGCAAATGCTTTTCTGAAAGTATGAGTGTCGTGCCTACTTAATTCTGATAAACCTGTTTAAGCAATACTTAGGAGGCTGACTTCTTTGGATTAAAAAAATGTATGCAACTCCAAAAAAAAAAAAAAAAAAAAGAAATTCAACATTTAAAAGTTTCATTTCTAGGGCAGTCTTCCGGTTTGGACTACAAAATTATTTTGCTTGTTTTTGTAGGGGATCGTTTTGTGTTGTTTTGTGTCTTTCTCCACATGATGCTTAGCTCTTTCCCCACGTCCCAGATTAAAGTCTGTATTTTTGTAATTGTGGGCACACAATCATATCTCTTTTAATCTTTGCAACGATGTTGAACTTCTGTAGACAGAAGGATAGAGAAAACAGCTTGAAGGCAGTCAGTGTGTTTTTCCATGAAGGGAAAAAAATAAATAAAAAAATTAAAATGGGTGCTTTTTTAAGAGAGATTGTCCTATACTTTTTCATTCTGTTTTTCATCACGTAGTTTGTATCATAGCAAGTTCATTGTCATTCCAGAGTTCAGCTTTGCCCTTGTACTCAGTTGTGCTTTTTTCCCATTGGTTTTTGAGGTTTTGCTAAACTGTTGAATATTTAATGTGGGGACAGGAATGGACTCAGAAGAAATGTTTTTTATTTTGATTCTTACTAGTCTTGTAGGCAAACCTTCCATTACTTTTTATGCAAATAGGATCTAGTTGAATATTGTATATCGAGTAAATATGCGTCTCTCTCTGCTCTTTTCGTTGATATTTACATAACATTAAAAAGATTATACTTTATCAGAGATTCAAGCTTTTTCTTATGAATGAAGCCCTATAAATAAGAATATTTTGTTACAGGGATTTTGTTCTTTTGAAATTTATAACAATAAAGCTAAAAGTTCTCTAAGCTGTTTTATATTTTTTCTTATTTTTCAAAGTGTGAAATTTTTCTATCATCTGAAAATAAATTTTATGTAACTATAGTCTTAGAAATTTAATACATTTGAATTGTATATTTAGCCTCTTTAATATTTCCAATGAATACACTTCTTAAAAGTTTAATTAGGAATACAGTTCTTAGTTTTTGAGCTTTCTCTTTGTTGACTAAATTGAAATGTTAATAAATCATTTATAAATGACTTTTCCTTCTCTCTCTTTTCCTCTCCTAATTTATGCTCAAGGCCAGGTGATTTTATAGACCTTTATTCTGTGTAGTTTATATTACAAAATAATATGTTACATCTTGATTTAGAATTTACATTATAGTATCCAAAATGTTTTTGTCAAATGTGTGCTTTTATCCTCAGATTCCGGCGCCCCTGTGACTCAGAGTCACTTCTTTTTAGGTATGGAGAGTATTAACGGGGAGGAGAAATGATTCGTTTGAGATTTAGTTATCTATATAAAATACGAATTGTCAGGATATTTGAACCAAACTGGGTCATACAATTTCTGTGGCTATTTTGAATAGCCTTACAATGAATTAAGCTTACTAAATTCCTTGTACTTTTCATTTAATAGCTAGATGTTATTGTTTTAATTTGAATAATATTAAGTGAGCCATATTACCAATTAACCTGAATATAAACACTTGCTTGTTTTTAATCTGAGTAGTTTATGTCTTAAAGTATGGAATGGAACTAGTGGTCAATTTTTATTAATCTAAGTGTCTCCCATACTTCTTTAAGCTTTTGGAAAGTTTGGGAAGTTGTGATTTTGCAATGAATAATCTCTCCCCTTGGTTTCATAGGCAATTGAAAAGCTGCAGGCGGGTGCTCTTGCAACTGACGCAGTCACTGCAGCACTGGTGGAACTTGAGGTATTTCTTTTCTCTGTTTTATTGAAAATACTTGTGAGTTTATCTTTATTGTTCTTAAATGACATGAAACTGTTGAGTTAGTCAACCATAAATTATATGACCAGTGTTGCCCACCAATATTAGCACAGTTATGAAGAAGCCTATGATATTGTTGTTTTCATTGGTGACTTTTCTGAGTAATATGAAAGTTGGTTAAATTCCTTCCTTTTCTTGATTTTTTTTTTTTTGTGAGATTCATGAATACAAAAGTTAGTGACTGGATACTGAAGTTTCTCATTTTCAGTAGGAAAATCCTTGAAGTTAACCCCCAAAAAGTGATGTATGTTCTGTTGTTTAAAAATAAATTCCAACTGTCTAGAAGTGCCTAAAGTAGAAGGGGAAGATTCTTCACGAACCTAACAGTTAGATATATACCCTGAAATTGTGTGCTGTGAAGTGTGCCTTGTCCCAGTGTTATGGTTAGGTTTGTCCCCAGTTTACTGTGGACATCGAATAATTGAGTGGGGAGGCTCTCACGTTTGCCATAATTTTTTATACTCTAGAGTGAGGTCCTCTCAGTTCTCTTGATTTGGACCCTTGATGAATTTGTGCAGGGGATATTGAGGTCTTCAGAAGATTGACTTGCTGCTCGAACTTGGAGAAGATAGATTTGTATCTATCAGTTGAGAGGATTATCGTGAAAAATATTTTTCTGGTTGAGAATACTCCTTAGGGAATCAAGTAAGACATGATGACGAAACAATGATGAGTTTGAGGGAGGAGATGATAGTTAAAGGCGACATTTCCAGGTTGACTGGGTTGTGGCCCTTGTATTCAGGCGCTCATACCAGGGCACGCACCCTTTCATGCCTTTCCTTGTGAAAATTGCCCAGGTGTTTACCAAAAGTCCTAGCCGTGTTTTCTGTATATTCTCATGCTTAATTGTGGACCTGAGCTTTTGATCATGCTTTGTAGATTTTAATTTCTCTTGGTAATGTCAGATTGGTCCTAATGTAGTCAAGGAAGGTGAAAGAATATGGTGAGCACCTAGTTCTATTGAATCTTACATGGGGATGTGTGATGCCCTCCTAATATGACTGATACATTTCATGCCAGCTCTACCAGTCATTAGCCATGTGTCCATGGGTGTGGCACAGTCTGTCCTTGACTCAGTTTCCCTATTTATGAGGATAATAATTCCCACTTCACAGAGTTGTGAAGATTAACTGAGTTCATATATGACTAATACAGGACAGTCTCTTAGAACAGTGTGTGGTACGTAGTAAGCACCCATAACTGTTAGCAATTATTACAGTTATGAGGTGCTTTGGAAGTGGTATGTATGAGATGAATATTTATGGTAACTATTAATGACAAGTTTTACAGCATCAAAGAAAGTTTAATTATATGTTGAGGATCAGAGGAGAAAAATGACATAAGAAAGAAGATAGATGTATTTACCACCAAATGTTACCTTTACTCAAAACAGACACACAAAGAGGGCTTCATCTAACTTAACTAATTCAATTGTTAGTTGGAAATTACTTGCATGGAATCAGCATAGGTTTGGGAAAGAAGGTTATTGAGTAGCTGGAGAATATACTAGAATGGCAACCATGAATGCAAAACTGAATAAAATTAAGTTTCTCTTTTTATCTTAGAATAACTTTAATTTTCCTAAGTCATACTTATATATCATGTTTAATATTTCATTCTATTTTCCCCTAGTGTTGAATCTGACTTTTAAGGGATTTACTTATTTATACTTAAAAATGATAAGAATACATTTTGAAATAATGAGTTTCTCCTGAGTAAGTGGACTTATAGTTTTGGATAACTTGTGTTTTTTTAAGAGTGTGGATATGAATTTAAAGGAAAAAAATTTCTTGTTCTATTATTTTTGATTGGAATAAGTCATAAGGATAATGGTAGCATAGAATTCTTCCCCAAGTGACTTTAGAGCATCCCACACCTCAACTTTTAGTTATTTTATTTTATATATATATATATTTTTGAGATGGATTCTCACTCTGTAGCCCAAGCTGGAGTGCAGTGGTGCGATCTTGGCTCACTGCAACCTCTGCCTCCCAGGCTGAAGTGATTCTTGTGCCTCAGCTTCCCATGTAGCTGGGACTACAGGCATGCACCACCACACCCAGCTAATTTTTGTATTTTTTTTTTTTTTTAGTAGAGATGGGGTTTCACCATGTTGACCAGGGTGGTCTTGAACTCCTGAGCTCAGGTGATCCACCTACCTCGGCCTCCCAAAGTGCTGCGATTACAGGTGAGAGCCACTGTGCCTGGCCTCAACTTTTGATTATTAAATTTGTGGAAGAATTTCAATTATCTTTAACAATTAACTTTTCTATGGACTCTTTGATTGAAATACATGTTAATAGTTTAAGGTTAAGCTTACACTAACAGGAAGAATTTTCCTAAATCTTAAGAATTATGTTGGAAATCATGCTTATACTGCCCCCTGCAGTTTCTCTCACCTTGAATAATTGTGATTCATTACCTTAAAACAGGATAGGTTTTCAGATGGACTTCAGTTGGGGAAGTATTGTAATAGCTTGGGTCAATGGAAAGACGTAAGAAGATTGGATTCTAATATTTTTGTACTTAGAAAAATATAAGTAGCAGTATTGAGTCCTTTCAGAATACTGAAAAGTGCTGAGAAAAATTCTGGAGAGCCTTATTAATAATGCATTATGTTTAATTTGAGAATAAATACTTATCTTAGTTTTGGTCAGTCTATTCAGTTAAGTCATGTCTGGATTATTGAACAGATGCAAACAGTCATTGTTCTCTTCTCTTTAGACTTTGGGATATACTTTTTGATTTAAAAAATGATGTTCTTGCCACTGAGCTTAAGGAAACAATACATAAACATATTTTTAAAACTTGCCCGTTATATTATTACTTAGGCAGATATTAAAATTGATATGAATTCCTTAAATACTAATTGTGGATTGAAATGACTGAAATGTTTTAATGGTCTTTATTGCCTAGAAAGAGTATCTGGCTGTATATTTTAAAAATGTGATAATTTGTATTTTCCCAAATAGTGAAAAGTATACTGATCTTAACTCCATGCAGTGAAGGAGGAAGAGACAAGGCAAAAGAAATATGTGTGTGTGTGTGTGTGTGTGTGTGTAGTAGTGTGTTCCACACACACTAAAGGGAATTATGCAGACATATCATTTTTTAGCTTTTCTTAGAGACTGATAATTTTGTGTCGTTTTATTTTTCTTTACCACCGCTACAGACAAGTGATGTCATCTTAAGACTGTCACTTCTGGACAACAGAATGAGGTGTTTTCTTCATTTAAGTAAAGGAGGAGCAGGTGCAAAAGTTCCTATCTATTAAATTGACCACCTTCTCCCTTTAGAGTTTTGGGAGGGAAGGTGGCTGCTTCTGTATGAGAGGTTTTCTGCAGTGTGGAAATGCAAATGATATTACTCCAAAGTATATTTTGTTTATCTTCAAAATGTAGGGAAGGAAATGGAAAGGTCAGTTTATAGATCATATTTTAATGATTTATTGGTAAGTTGATTCATTCCTGTTGTTTCGTATAGCTTTTTTGAGATTATCTTAATAACTGATGAGAAAGTGAATTCTGTTCACTGGATGGTACAACTCTGGTTTCACTCACAGCAGAGAAGATTAATATTGTGAAAGAATTTGGTCTTCATATTTGGGACTATACATTTGGATGCCAGTTGCTTTTTTGGCTGCTTTTGAAATAGTTTTGGATCAAGTAGTGACAGTGGATTTAAGATTCCAGACCATAATTTTGCATATTTCAAATGGTAAAACTTCTAATGTGAATTTCTTTTTTGAGAAAAGTGGATATAGAACTGGGTGAGTCATGATGCTACCATTTTCTTAGGATTGTTTCTAAAATAGAAAGTGTTTCATGGATTCTGATAGAAAATGAACTATCTATAAAATACTGCCTGAAGCTCCTTTTGCACAATGGTGTTTTTCTTAAAAAGTACAAAGACCTGGTTTAAAAAAGTCTAATGAGTAATAATAGGTGCAATATGAATGACAGACTTTTGGAAGGTAATTTATAATCTTTTGTGAGAAAACTGATGAATTTCGCAGAGGTTTTGAAGATCTTGTTGTAACCTTTGAGAAATTTTGGTTAATTCATTCTGAAAACTGATTATTTTGGTAGGTAGAATACCGTGTATTAAGAATAGTGATAGGGGCTGGGCACAGTGGCTCACGCCTGTAATCCCAGCACTTTGGGAGGCCGAAGCGGACGCATCACGAGGTCAGGAGATCAAGACCAGCCTGGCCAATATGGTGAAACCCCATCTCTAATAAAAATACAAAAATTAGCTGGGCATGGTGGCGCGTTCCTGTAATCCCAGCTAGTTGAGAGGCTGAGGCAGAAGAATTGCTTGAACTGGGACCCAGGAGGCAGAGGTTGCAGTGAGCTGAGACTGCACTGAGACTGCACCACTGCACTCCAGCTTGGGCTACGGACTGAGACTCCGTCTAAAAGAAAAAAAAAAAAAAGAATAGTGATAGGAATAGCTTTTACGTTTTATGTAGTAAAAGGCAAATTATACAGGTTCCTTTGTTAAAAATCTTTTGTTGAACTTCTGTTATTAAAAATGGACTGTGAAGTTTTTTATTCACTTAATTCATGCTTTAAAGCTCCCTATGGTCAGGGGAGATGCTAATTCATGGTTAAAACTCGTTTCTTGTCCAAATGCTTTAGCGTTTATAGGGCAGATTATATTGGGCCAAGTTTTTAGTCATTCTGTTAAAAACAGTTCGTCGTCTTTGGATCTCTGTGTAATACAAATATTGCTTGCTTGTAAACTCTAGGGAAGTCCTTTAAGAATAACTTGTTCAGATGACTGATATTTTGGTATGTAAGAGAAAGAAAGTAGGTATTTTCATTATATATTTATATTATATATAATACTGTTATACATTTGTCTGTATCTTTGTTGTTGTTGAGACAGATTCTTGCTCTGTCGCCCAGGCTGGAGTGCAGTGGTATGATCTCGGCTCACTGCAATCTCTACCTCCCAGGTTCAAACGATTTTCATGCCTCAGCCTCCTGAGTAGTTGGGACTACAGGTGTGCGCCACCACACCTGGCTAATTTTTTTTGTGTTTTTAGTAGAGACGGGGTTTTGCCACGTTGCCCAGGCTGGCCTCAAGCTCCTGGCCTCAAGTGATCCATCTGCCTTGGCCTCCCAAAGTGCTGGGGTGACAGGTGTGAGCCACCGTGCCCAGCCAGGTCTGCATTTCTTTAAGGCAGGGATCTCCAGAATGGGAATGTTGGTCACACTTGAGTAGTTCATTGTGAGTGGACCCCAGCGCAGGCCTCTTGCGCAGCTGCAGGAATAGGCCATATTCTCTCCCCTGGGCTTTATACTTCCGGCTGGAATTGTCTGTGTGCCTCAGGGGGATAGAAGAAACTTCTACGGCCTGCCAGTCCTTGAAATGCCTAGTGGTCATGGAGATGGTGTGGCTTCCTGATGGCATATGGGCATACCTAGGATGGAAGGGGACATTGGGAAGAGCTGATACATTTCCCTTTTCCCTCACCAAACTTATAACAAGTTTTCTTGTGAGCAGATGCTTAACCACACCCTGCTCCCTACCCTACTTCAGTCATTTGGTTTTTATTGCAAAAAAGGAGGGGCATCTACTTTAAGGTCATTTCTGTGATTTGGGAAGTTTAAAATTATTTAAATAAACGAGCATCTCATTTCCTGTACGTTTTTATTTTTGTAGAAATTATATTTTCATAAGCAGAGTGGTCCCTTGCTCTTTCCCCAGCACCCCCTGCCCCCCAGTAGAGCTGACCACACTGGAACGACAGCTTGATGCATTTAGCTCACATTTACGTAAGTGCTCATTAACTATAATGTGGCTGGTGAGTCTAATTTTAGACCTACCACCCTTGAAAATCTCATTTTTCTTTTCCATTGATAATATCTTTTATTCTCTGTAAGGGGAGTGGGATGTGTTTCTATGTATGTGAAGTAGAATATTTACCTTTTTTCTTTTGTAGTACTTACAATGTTTTCATTGCATGAAATTGGAGTTTTGACCTTAGGTGCTCTTTTTTCCTTTTTTTTTTTCTTAACTTGGTATTATTGATGATTTCAAAGATCCTATTTTGCCTGTCTGTTTAGCAGTATTCCCAGTGGTGCTTCAGTATTTCTGTGTATTCCAGCTGTTTATGGAGTCTTTATGTTTCTCTGCATTTTTTATTTTTTGAGGTGTACACACACAGTTACGCTTCATGGAGTTGCATCCAGCCAAGTATCCATGTTCTTCTTGTGAAGAGGCAGAGAAAATCACCTCTCCCAAGAATTTCCACCTTCTGAACAAGGGAAATGTATCCTTAAGAGCTGTATGCAGATGGGAGGCAACTTGTTTGCTTGTTCTGCTGCTAGAGCATTGGTTTAATTAGAAGACAGGCTGTGGGTGGCCATGTGCAGACAAAGAAGCACCAGACAGAGCCCGTTTAGCCTGGGTCAGTAAGAGTAAGTTACACTCTTTTTAAAACACTTTTTTGAGTACTGATGCTGATTCTTGCCTTCAGTACTAAGGGGCAACTTGTAACTTACTGTTTGTGTTTACACATAGATACATCTGTTCTTTTTCTGAGACCCTAGAAATGACACATGCTCTCTAGCACAAAGTACCTGCGCAATGGAAAAGCAGTGATTTCTTCCCCAACCACCCTTTTTTTTTTTAAGAATAAAAAGAAAATGGAATCAATGATTACATTCTAGATTAATTTTACACTGTAGCAAACCCGGTGTTAGCGTTTGACCAAGTCAAAACACTTAAGTATAGAGCTTGTCATGCTTTTACTTTGTAGTAATGGGAACATGAGAAACGATTTTAGCCTTTTCCAGCCATTTCTTGATAAGGTATGTGGGTCTCATCAGATACATTCATCCAGGCCGAACCTAGTAGAAGAGAGGGTCCAAGATCAGACCTAGCAGTTCCTGAGGAGCATGGAACTCTATATGTGTGCCCTTGTTTTTCTCTGGGAGTTGTTACTCTCAAAAATATACTTCATTTTGGAATTCAGTTTTGAGCTACCTAAAGCCACATATGGTAGTGTGGTGGAGTTAGTGGAAATCCTGTGTTTTTGACTATGTGAAAGCAATTTAGACTTTTGGATTTTTGAGTGTACAATGTCTTCTAGTCCTATATTAATAGGGATATTACACAAAAGGGATTTAATTAGATTCATTGGTCCTAGGATTTATAGTGTTGTGATTTTTGAATCTGTGTGTGTGTGTGTGTGTATTTGTGTTTGTTTGGATCTGTATCATTTGTGGCATCAGGTTTATACCTTAGCATCTACTGTTTTGGTTTGTTTTGCTCTTGGTAATGAAGGAAGTAGGCTAAAAAGATTTTTCTATGTTTGGAAAATCACAGGCTGGTATGATGGTGTTTAATTTCAAAGACTACCTTTTGATTTTAAGTTTTTTTCCATCTCTCAAACCCACCCCTTTATTCAGAATCTGGAAAAGAATGAGGAAGAAACTTAAGTTACATAATTTTTAAGATTCTCGGCCTGGCACGGTGGCTCACACCTGTAATCCCAGCACTTTGGGAGGCTGAGACGGGCAGATCATGAGGTCAGGAGATCGAGACCATCCTGGCTAACACGGTGAAACCCCGTCTCTACTAAAAATACAAAAAATTAGCCAGGTGTGGTGGTGGGTGCCTGTAGTCCCAGCTACTTGGGAGGCTGAGGCAGGAGAATGGCATGAACCCAGGAAGTGGAGCTTGCAGTGAGCCGAGATCGCGCCACTGCATTCCAGCCTGGGCGACAGAGCGAGACTCCGTCTCAAAACAAAACAAACAAAAAACCAGATTCTCATCAAGATTCTAAATCTTGCTCTTCTCTCTTTCTTTCTCTTTCATGTGTTCATTACCTAAGTGTTAGAATAATGAAGGATTGTACCTCACTATAGAAATCAGCTTAAAGTTGAATCTTAGACATACCAATTGACAAAAGTTCTTTGGCCATTCCCATTGCCAGGCAGTTTTTACTGGCAGTCATTCTCACTCAGGGTCCAGCCTCCTGCATGGTGTACACATTTCCTGACAGCTCATGACACGCATGTACTGTAACACAGGACATCAACACTATAACACATTCATAGTGGGGAATTTATTTATGTTTAGTTTTTCTGGAGTATGTGCAAATGTAAGCATATTTTCTAGTGGGTTGGAAGTCTTTTTATTAAAAAAACCTTAGTAGAGGACTTAAAAGTTACTAGTATCCCTCTTTCCTCTCCAGTTCTGACCATGTCATTTGATAAAAGGATGGTTTAAATTATTATAATTCCATGGTCTGTTAGGTTCTTCTTGAGTGATATTTCCATATTATTGTCAATATGGTTAAAAGGTATAATTATTTAGGTTGAAGGGAAGTATAAGTAGATGTATACAGCAGATGGTAGCCTCTAGCTGAGATCCCAAGGAGAATATCCTGTTACTGGGAAAGGGTGATTATGTGTTTATTTAGCAAACACAAAGTGTTTACCATGTGCCAGGTACTCTTTAAGCACTTTACAAATATTGGCTCATTAGTTTTCACAAGTGCCCTGAGATGGGTACTGTTGTTAGCCCTGTTTGATGAGGATACTGATGCACAGAGTGGTTAAGTAATTTCCTCAAGGTCACATAGCTAGGAAGTGTTGGAGCCAGAAATGGAATCCTGCTGCCGTGACCCACTCAGTCAATTTTTTTTTTTTTTTTGAGACCGAGTCTTGCTCTATTGCCCAGGCTGCAGTGCAGTGGTGCAATCTCGGCTCACTGCAACCTCCGCCTCCTGGGTTCAGACGATTCTTCTGTCTCAGCCTCCCCAGTAGCTGGGACTACAGGCTCCTACCATTACACTGGCTAATTTTTGTATTTTTAGTAGAGATGGGGTTTCTCCAAGTTGGCCAGACTGGTCTTGAACTCATGACCTCAGGTGAGGCACCTGCCTCAGCCTCCCAAAGTGCTGGGATTACAGGCCTTAGCCACTGCTCCCGGCCCCTCATTCAGTTTAATCAACAAATGAACAGCGTCACTAAAGATCCCTCAAACTCAGTGATGAACACATCTGAAAAAGTTAAAGAAAATTAAGTTCAAAGAAGAAACTTTTCATTGTCACCATTGTCGGTGAATGTAGTGATCTAAAAATTCTCTTTATCATTGTGCTTTAAATAGTGATTTAGTTTTGATCTTTAAATGTCAATAGACTATTGATATTTTGATCTTTAAATATCAAATATGTATGGACTATGTGAATATTGAAAAGAAAATATGAACAGTCACTTTTACAGTTCGGGTTTTTGTCTTAAAATTTTGTTGTAATTTCTCTTCCTAATCTTAGATCTGTTTGAGGAGATGGTGCCTGTGTCAGTGTGGCAGTCTTTGGCTGCCTGTGATCAGAGGAAAGCCGATTTGTTAACAGATCAATTGCTCAGATGAGAGAAGCCACCACTTTGGCAAATGGGTAGGTAGAGCTTAATTTTAGAGCCTAAAGTTTTCCGTTTGGTTGTTCTTTAGTTTGTGAACATTTTAGTTTCTGAGCTTAGAGCTAAATGTCAAGAGTATATAAAATAGAAAATGTAGACACACACAACTATTTTTGGTGGACACTGTATTTGTGAAGCTCTAGCAAATATAGTTGGAAGAAATTATAGAAACAAGGTGAGGATGTTTGACTAAAAATTTGTATTTTAAGAGATATTTATTTGGGGGAAATGAGAAGTAGAAATGAACTCAGATACATGGTACGTTTAGTGTTCTGAACCAATTTTTGTTTCTGATGGATTGGATACTAAGAAAATAATTCATTGGTTTAAAAAATTTTTAGGTATATTTTGCACACACAAAATACACCTATTCTAAGTACACAGTTCAATTATTATTATATGTATATATATGTTTATGTGTGTGTATATATATATTTTTTTGTTTGTTTTGTTTTGTTTTTTGGGACAGGGTCTTATTGTCACCAGGCTGGAGTGCAGTGGTGTAAACATTAAACATGGCTCACTGCAATCTCAACCTTCTGGGCTCAGGTGATCCTCCTGCCTCAGCCTCCTGTGTAGCTGAGGCCACAGGTGCAAGCCACCGCACCTGGCTAATTTTTTCATTTTTTTATAGAGACGAGATCTCGCTTTGTTGCCCAGGCTGGTCTTGAACTCCTGGGCTCCTGGTCTTGAACTCCTGGGCTCAAGTGATCCTCTTGCCTTGACCTCCCAAAGTGCTGGGATTACAGGCATGAGCCACCATGCCTGGCTATTTAGTTAGTTTTGATAAATGTATGTACCCATGTAACCGGCACTATGATTAAGATAGAGAACATTACTGTTACCCTAAAAAAATTCTCTCATGCCCCTTTCCCAGTCCTTCTTCTCCTGGCCCCTGGCCACTATTGATCTGCTCCCTGTCTTAAGTTTAGTTTTACTTTTTATACAATTTAAAATACATGTAATCATTCTAGCATATACATATACAGTACTTACAGTATGTACAGTATATACTTAGAATGTGTTTTGCTTTTTTTCACTTAGTTACTGTTTTTGAGATTCATCTATATTATGTGTATCAGTTTGAGTCTTTTCTGTGGCTGAGCAGTATTCCATTTTATGGTTATGGAGTAGTATTCCATTTTATGGTTATAGAGCAGTTTGTTAACTCTTTCACCTGTTAATGGACATTTCAGTTTCTATGAACATTCGTGTATAAAGCTTCATGTGGACATATTTTAGTTCTCTTGGGTAAATACTTAGGAGTGGAATTGTTAGGTTGTGTGGTTAGCATATTTAATTTTACATGAAATTGCCAGGTTGTTTTCCAAAGTGGTTGTTCCATTTTATATCCTATCTGCACTGTTTGAGAAATACAGTTGTTCTGCATCCTCACCAATACTTGGTACCGTCAGTCTTTTTAGTTTTAGCTGCTTTCGTGTGTGTGTAGCAGAATCTCACTGTGATTTAATTTGCATTCTCCTAATTACTAATGATACTGAACAGCTTTTCATGTGCTTACTAGCCATTCATATCTTTTCTGTAAAGTGTCTATTGAAATCTTTTTCTCAGTTTTTAAAACTGAGTTTTCTTAATATTTAAAGAGTTCTTTACCTATTTTGGAGGCAAGTCCTTTGTCAGATACATACGATTGAGAATATAGTTGACCCTGAACAACATAGGGGTTATGGGTGCTGACCCCCCTGCACAGCCAAATCTGCATATAACTTCTGAGTCCCCAAAACTTAACTACTAATAGCCTGCTGTTGACCAGAAGCCTTACTGATAACATAAACAGTCAATTAACACATATTTTGTATATGTATTGTATAGTATATTCTTATAATAAATAAGCTAGAGAAAAAATGCTATTAAGAAAATCATAAGGAAGAGAAAATATATTTACTATGATTAAATGGAAGTGGATCATCATAAAGGTCTTCGTCCTTGTCTATTTCATGTTTGAGTAGGCTGAAGAAGAGGAGGAAGGAGGGTTGGTCTTGCTGTCTTAGAGGTGGCAAAGGTGAAAGAGGTGAAAGTCCACATATACATGGACTCACGTAGTTCAAATCTGTGTTGTTCAGGGGCCAGCTGTATTTCTCTCGTGGTTGGCTTGCCTTTTCATGTTTTTAGTTTTGATTAATGCATGGATTTTACCATCATTTTTCTTGAACAAGAAAGGAATGTAAGTTTACTCTAGCATATGATAAACAGGCAGTCTGAGATTTTACAGAGCTTCTTTTCTGAGGAGTTCATTGTATTCCATCATTTCATTTGCCTTTTTTCTTTACATAGTAGGTAGGGATATGTACCTCCCTTCCCCATCATGTAAATGAAATAACTGAGGAATCGTTAGTGTGCTACAAAACCGAGAGCAGATGAAGATTCTGTAATGAAGACTTAGATCATCTATCTTCTGTTGACATTTTGCCTAGATGATGTGAAATTATAATTATTGATTCTGTTGAAAGAGAGCAAAAAAGAAAAAAATACCTATTTTGTGTATTGTTTCTGACTCGTTAGAGATGCTGTAACAATCAAAAGTATAAAAGACTGCTTTTTTAGGATAGAATTTTTGACTTTTAATTACTTAGACTGAAACAAGTTTGAACTGTAAGCCAACGATACCTAATATATTTTAATGCGGTCATAATTTTTCGGCTTTTTTTTTTTTGTTTTTCCAGACTGAGTCTTACTCTGTCGCCCAGGCTGGAGTGCAGTGGTGAGATCTCAGCTCACTGCAACCTTCGTCTCCTGGCTTCAGGTGATTCTTGTGCCTCAGCCTCCCAAGTAGCTGGGATTATAGGTGCTCACCACTACGCCTGACTAATTTTTGTATTTTTAGTAGAGATGGGGTTTCACCGTGTTGGCCAGGCTGGCCTTGAATTCCTGACCTCAGGTGATCCGCCTGCCTTGGCCTCCCAAGTGCTGGGATTACAGGTGTGAGCCACTGCACCAGCCTATTTTTTGGCTTTTAATTCTGAATTGTGAACTTAATTTTTTAATGATTTTGGTTTAATTGTATCAATCACTGATTTTTTTGTTTTTCTGTTAATCTTTGCTTTGTTTTTCATTGATAGGGCTTATCCAGTTTTTCTGGGTGCTAACTCCATTGCTGTTGATTTGGTTATAGAAGATTAAATTAAATAAAGTAAATATTGATGAGTTAAATTGTTTTAGACTTCAATATAACATAGTATCTCATTTTTTCAGAGTGCTAGCTTCCCTTAATCTTCCAGCAGCAATTGAAGATGTGTCTGGAGACACTGTACCTCAGTCTATATTGACTAAATCAAGATCTGTGATTGAACAGGGAGGCATCCAGACTGTTGATCAGTTGACTAAAGAACTGCCTGAATTACTGCAATGAAATAGAGAAATCCTAGATGAGGTATGTTTTATAAGATTTGCTTTTCAAGTATAAACACTGTGATCCCTTGATGTCCAGCAGGGATTGGGACTGGAGACTTCCTCATGCTAGTGCTCACAGTGTAGTTAGTATTCATCACTTTGGTGAATTTACTGTGGCCCAGAGCCGCCTCTTTAGCATAAGAGTAATTCTGGTTGAGTGAGAATGGGTTTCATTCTTATCTTAAGGGTAAGTAAGTACACATTAATGAAACTCAAATGACCACTGTGTAAAACTAGTATACTATGAGAAATCAACTATCATATGAACCGTTCAGTCTTTGTAATTATTGATTTATTTTATACATAGCGTGTAGCAAGATTTTTCTTTTTAATTTAATTTGTCTTAACCTGGAAGGTTAAACCCTTTAATTTATCCCTAATTTCTTGAAATATATTAAGTATATTTATTTTATATTATTTATCTTATAATTCCAATGTCTGTGGTTTCTGTGGGTTTGATTCTATGATTTGTAATTTTTGCTGATTCTTGCTTATGGTGGCTTGTTTTCTCTTGTGTTCAGTTTTTTTGTTACTGTTTTTTAAAACTTTAAAAAATAGTTTCAGATTTACAGAGACTTTGCAAATTTAGTGTGGAAAGTTCCTGTATATTTTTCACCTAGCTTCCCTGAAAGTTAAAATCTTACGCGGTCGTGGCACATTGTTAAAACTAGGAAATTGACATTGGTACAGTATTATTACTCAGATTTTACCAGTTATTCCACCAACGTTCCTCCTTCTGTTCCAAGATCCAGTACAGAATACTGAATTGCATTTAGTGTTCAGTGAGTTTTGATTGTGCATTCATATTTCCTGTAATTTATTTGTGGGAATTCATTGAGATCTGGGTTTAAGGTGAATTCTAGAAAGAATTTGTGTTTGCTTCTGCCATAAAAAGGCATTATATACCTGGCACCTCCTCAAACTTAAGAGGCTTTTTCCTTTCTTTTATAATCTTTTAATTATAGTAGTAATTTATCTTAGGACTTTGTGTCACACAAATAGTGTGGTTTCTAGTCCCAAATTCAGGCTTTTGATCAGGAATCTCAGATAATACTTCTTTTTTTTTTTCTTTTTTCTTTAGAGCCAAGGTCCAGACAGGCATGTTTTCTTCTGTAGGGCCGTTTTCTGTTTTAAAAATTCATCCACTGAGAATCATCTATTTGGAAGTATACCAGTTTGAGTGTGGAGAGTGCTTTTGATCTGACCTCTCACCTTTTATTGTCCCTACCTATGTTTCTTGTTGACTTTTCATGTTCTAAATTCACAATGCAAGTCAATGGTGAACTACACAGCTGGTGAACTATGGATGGTGGGCTAGTGCTGGCTTGTGGCCTACTTTTGTGTGGTTCACTAGTTAAGGATAATTTTTATCTTTTTTAGAGCATTGTCAAAAAAGAAGAATTCTATGTGCCATAGACTGTGGCCCACAAAGCCTAAAATATTTACTCTGTGGTGTTTGACAGAAGTTTGCTATTCTTTGTCCTAAGCTATCAGGGATTGTCATGTATTGTTGGTGCTAGCACTGTGTCTACTGGTAGATTAGTATTTTCTTGTGTTTCTGGCCCCCTACTATCCTGTCATCTTATCTACACATTAAAAGGCATTTAAAAATATATTAAACATAATTTTCTGTTCGTTGTATTGGAATGAAATTCTAAATCTTTTATTTTTTAATGTAATTGATCAGTTTTTCCCCTTTGTTTATGGCTTCTATTTATCTATTTTAATCTTAAAACTTTCTTTAAATTGATACATGGATGTAAATAGTCTCATGTATTCTTCCTTTTTTTTTTTACTGAGAAAGGTGATAGCTAATTCAGCCTTAAATTTATAAGACTTTTTGTTAAATGCATTATAACTTAGATGTCTGCAAGAAAAAAGTCGATTTATATTCTAACCTAGTATTCCCATCTCACCAAATTCTCCCTTATATTGTGTATGAACATTTAATAATTGCATTAAATTTTTTAATCCAGAAATGACATTTCAGGGTTCTTTTTGCTTCCTTTTAAAGTCATTAAGGTTTTTGGATGAAGAAGAAGCAACCGATAATGATTTATGAGCAAAATTTAAGGAACGCTGGCAAAGGACATCATCCAATGAACTGTATAAGCCTTTAAAAGCAGGTAAAAATGTGTATAAATGACCTTCATTTGAATAAATTCCCAATTTGGACCCACATTTTTACTTGATTAAATTAGGCTCAGTTGTAAATTCGTTTTTACCGAAATTGTTTTTCCTCAGTTTTAGTATAAAGATTAAAAAAGTTCACAAAAGTAATCTGCCAATTGTCAGAAGTACAGATTCTTAAGAACAGTATAAAGGGAAAAGTTAAAATGGTCCTCCAACTTTCATTTTCTGTTCCAAGCTCTGTGCATATTTTATTTTATTTATTTTTTTTTTGAGACAAGGTCTCGCTCTGTCACTTAGGCTGGAGTGCAGTGGCAGGATCACAGCTCGCTGCAGCCCCAACCTCCAGGGCTCAGTCAATGCTTCTACCTCAGCCTCCTGAGTAGCTGACACCGTAGACATGTGCTACCACGCCTGGCTAATTTTTGTATTTTTTGCAGAGACGAGGTTTTACCGTGTTGCCCTGGCTCGTCTTGAACTCCTGGGCTCAAGTGATCCACCTGCCTCCACTTCCCAAAGTGATGAGATTACAGGCTTGAATCACCATGCCTGGCCCCTGCGCATATTTTAAAAACATAAATGAGAGCATATTATATTTATGGCTTTGTAATTTTTTTTTCATTTAGTAGTGAATCCTGGGTGGTAAAACGAAAATGAGCTTTAAGTTATTTTGAGGCCAAATTTATGCTTCTTAAGACTTTGATTATGAAGATTTTGTGCTTGCTGAGATAAATGCTGTCTTCATGGTGGCTGGAGATTAGTTTTATTTATCTTTGTAAAAAGTTTGTATATTATTGAGATTTTTCTAAAAATCTTTTTTTTTTTAAGTCACATTGCTCTTTTGAGAGAGGAATACTTTTAAAATAAATGGACCAATTTTTGGAGAGAATGATTTCTTCCTACATTCATGAGTTGTAGGAAAAGATTAATATTAATTAGCTTTTATTTGGCAGATAGTAACCACCAAATGTATTTTAAGGTATAGCTATGCTTTTGATTTTATAAGTGATTTTGTCATCTTTCCAAAAACGAGAACGCAAAGACTGTTAGGAGCTGTTTTTATGATTAAGTGAATTGGGGTCTAGAGAAGGGGAAGATAAGTAAAGTTGGAGACTAGAACTCAACATATAACCAGGCCATACACGTTGCTGTTAGAATCACTTCTGTGCTCTGCAAACCTATTTTCTCCCAGAGGGAACCAGCTTCAGAACAGTTTTAGATAAAGCTGTGCAAGCAGATGGACACGTGAAAGAATGTTACCCGTCTCATCGTGACCCCATCGTGCTTTTGTGTAAGCCAGAGCCTGAGCTGAATGCTGCCATCCCTTCTGCTAATCCAGCAAAGACCATGCAGGGCAGTGAGGTGAGAAGGGCACTTTGATGTGGGTTGTCATCTGCTTAAGAAAACCACATTCAAGCCATTTTATATAATGCACTGCCAATTCCTTATTGTCATCTTTAAAAAAATGCAGAAATAAATTGGGGTTGTTATATTTAAAGTAGTATATAGACTGTGTAATAGGAAATTATACTAATATTAACTATCCTGTAATAGTCACTTCCATTTATTGAATGCCCTTTTTTGAACTAAATTTTAGATACTTCATAGGTCAACAGTATTTAATTTGGGTTTTATAAAAGAGAGAAGCTTGGAAGTATAGAAATTTCCTGAAATGAAAGGACTGGGTATGGCCAGATACACAAATTCTTTATTTCTTCCATTGTTCTCTACTCCCTTCCACCTTGTTTCCCCGGGACTACCTTTGAAAGGAAGATTGGCAAGGTGTGCGTGTTAATAAATGGATAGCTCCGTCATGGTGTTTCTACTGATGACAGGAAAGAGAAAATTGAATAGTAGGGCATCTGATTTGGAAAGTCCTAAGAGAAAGTGCAACTATAATTTAATGGCCTATCATGGGGAGGTAGGGTAAGTTAGTAGGAAAAGATAGAGGTCCCAAATCTCTGCACAGGAAAACAAGCCAAAGGGCAAGAAATACTGCTGAAAACTTCTTGAAAAAAGTGAATTTCCTGGGATAGTAAGTTCTGAAAAGTATGAGTTTTGTTTCTTATTTGTCTTTCCACAGATGCATTTTATATGTTTCATATATGTATTCCAAGACCTACTGGATATCTGCTCTGTGTAAGGCACTATGGTAGGTACATTGGAAAATTAACATACAAATTATACACAGGCTTTACCCTCAATTTATGATCCATTGTGGAATATTAGTCATGTACAAGGATGACTGTAATATAGGGAAGAAGTTTAAAAATGTCACAGGGAAAGTATAGAAGTATGTTATGAGGATTTAGATGAAGTACTTAAATTTCAGTAATTTGGAGTAGTTCTCTTCAGAGGCTTCTTAAGAGATTGGCACATTATGAGGACAGAGTGGATAGGCAGAAAAAGTAAACGTGTAGGATCGGAGAAGGGCTGAGTAGTGGCTGTGTCTAGAGAGTTATCCGAGGCACAGAGGATCTGCAAACACAGCTTTTACTCCTGATTTCTCATGACAGAAGGTTTACAGACATGTTGAGAATGGCTGGAATCTGCTTGTTTATTTATTTATTCACCAAGTGTTTGAAGGCCTGCTATTCCAGAGCAGTGCTGAGCACCTTGGTCCCTAACATAAAGAGACAAAAAACTGCTCTGGGTTACCTTTAGTGTAGGGTAAATGCACAGGTACCGGGCACCTCTCAAAGGGAAGAGAAGGCTACGTAGTTGAATGTGCATTGAACCTGAATCTAACGGGGGAACCCAGTGGAACAGGGAATGTGAGTTGTTGCTTTGAGGACATAGCGGAGAAAAGGGAGGTGGTCAGAAGATTAACTTGTGAGCAACAAAGAACCCGAAGAAGAAACTGTAGACCCTTGGAAGAGCAATACATTCTGGTACCTTTTTTATTTTAGAAAAAGATCTCTGTTTAGTACTCTCTTTGTATTCTTTTTGGTGTCTTGTACGTGACTCAGAATTATGTGGCTTTTGCCCTTTGATTCTTCTGCTTTCAGTAGAAAAGTAAAAATGGTTTGTGCTAAGCAAAATCTGCATTAGTATGCACTGATTTGTTGATATTTTATTCAGTTGTATCAGTTTTATTAATCCTTACTTGTGTTACACAGGAGAAAGGAACTTTTATAGTCAATATGAAGTAATTTTTTGGAAGCTAGAGTTCTTGATGGGGTAACCACAAAATTTCAGTACTCTCTATATATTCGTTTGTCGTGTGCCTTAATCAAATAAGGCAAGCATCAGGTTTATCAGAGCTATTTCAGATGGTTGTCATAATAGTTGATGACGCATTTTAGCCAGAATTTTTATGATAAAAACTCAGTTTTTTGATTGCTGATTAGAGTGATGCAATGTATATGTTTTATTAAAAAGTCCAAGTTTGATGGTAGGGCTGTTTTTTCTTTTATTGTGAAGTAGCCTACTTTCTAGTTACTTATTTTCAGTCTCTTTGGGCATCTGGTTTTAGATATTGAGATACTCTGAAAAATTTTGCAGACTAGTGGTCATTTGTATTTCAAGATTTTTGTATTAAATACCTAGGATCACTGCTTGTGATTGGTTGCCTATGATCTACTGTGGCCTGAAGTCTGGTCTGTGGTTGGCTGGCCAAGCCTTGGCCCTAATGTATATGGGGCTGAGTCTAGCCAGGGGAAGGAACATCTATTTTTTTGCACAAGGATGATGTTCAATTTTACTCAAAGTGTTACATCTGCTGGAAGTAACGGAGGGGGTACCTTTAAAAAAAAAAAAAAACCCTTTATCTCCTTAGAGGTAGAGCATAAAGAGAACTGTTTAAAACTGTGTGCCCTCCCAGAGGAGTGCCTTTTTTGGATTCACAGACTAGTGGAGGATCTGCAAACACAGCTTTTACTCCTGATTTCTCATGACAGAAAGTTTATAGACATGTTGAGAATGGCTGGAATCTGTTTATTTATTTACTCACCAAGTGTTTTTTGAAGGCCTGCTATTCCAGAACTGTGCTGAGTACCTTGGTCCCTAACATAGAGAGACAAAAAACTCCTCTAGGTTACCTTTAGTGTAGGGTAAATGTATCAAGTTTCTGCTTTCGTTGGTGTAGACATAATTGCTTATTTGCCTTTTCTGAAAATAAAATGACAAGGTTATAAAAGTAAAATAGAAGATTTCATTGAGGGCATTTCTTTCTTTCTTTTTTTTTTTGGCCGTGGGGGGACGGAGTCTTGCTCTGTCACCCAGGCTGGAGTGCAGTGGTGCAATCTTGGCTCACTGCAACCTCTGCCTCCTGGGTTCAAGCAATTCTCCTGCCTCAGCCTCCCGAGTAGCTGGGACTGTAGGCATGCGCTACTATGCCCAGCTAATTTTCGTATATTTAGTAGAGACAGGGTTTCACCATGTTGGCCAGGGTGGTCTCGATCTCTTGACCTCGTGATCCACTTGCCTTGGCCTCCCAAAGTGCTGGGATTACAGGCATGAGCCACCGCGCCCGGCCCATTGAGGGCATTTCTTACGGCTTATATTGTACTTGGTGCTGTTAAATGCCACAGAGGGTTTTAAATCTAAAACTCGGGTCAGGAACCTGTGGCTTGTGGGCCGAATCCTCTGCCTCTTCTCTTTGTATGGCCTGGGAGCTAAAAATGAGTTTTACATTTTTTAAATATAAAACTCTACTTTCTACTTCATTTTTTAAATGGCTAAAAAAAAGTCAAACGAATGTTTTAATATGTGGGCATTATATAAAATTCAGATTTCAGTGTTAATACATTTTTGTTGAAACATAGCTGCGCTCATTCATTTACACATTGTCTTTCATACTACAAAGCAGAGTTAAAGAGTTGGAACAGAGACTGTGGCCTACTGAGGCAAAAATATTTTCTGTTTGGTCCTTTACCAAAAAAGTTTGTAAGTTCCTGATCTGAAAGACAAAGTATTGACAGCCTAGGTGATGCCGTTCCTGCCATTCTGTTTGACCTCATCTCCTGTTCTGCCTTTTGTTTACTATGCTTCAGCCAGAGTGGCCTTTTTTTCTTTCCTTTGATCCTGCCAAGCTTGTGCCTGCCACAGGACTGTTATATTTGCGTTTCCTTCTGTGCAGGGCTTTCTTCCCATTTCCATGGCTATTACCTCTTTTTCATTAGTCTCAGATGTCACCTCTTCTCCATCTTTGTCATTGTCTACCCACATTATTCTATTTTTGTGTATTTGTTTAATCCTCCCCTTTCCATATTTATTTAATCCTCTCTGGTCCCCAAATGAAGGAAAAGACTGTTTTTGTTAGTAGTCGTGTCCATGGCATCTAGAATGGTCCCAAAACAAAAAGCATTTGTTTGAATGGTCATCGCTGGCAGCCTTAACTTAATAAAGGGATACATTTAATTGCAGTTGAAAGGTAGCTGGAGCTGTGTATAAGAAATAAATATGCTAGGATTCTAATTATTTATATACTTTGATAACATGTTAAACCTCAAATTTGAATTTAGAAGAAAATTTAGGCAGTGGTTTTCTTATTATCGTGGTCATTCATTTGTGGAAGCAGTTTAATTCATTTTCTACTTCATTTACTCTGTTAAAATGAGGCGAGTGTCATATAATCTGAAATATGTTAAACTAGTGCACTGCATATGAATTTTTTTAAAAGATGTTCGTAATATAAGGGATCTCTATCTTTGTGTGGTAGTCCACAAGTTTGTTCATAAATTCGTTGTTTGAAATGGCATTTTTTTCCCCAGAAAGTTAGAATTATTGCATTTTTGAATATCACAGGATTTGTTAACTATTTGGCCCTCTGTATCAGTCTGGTTAGAAAGCTTCTGTATCAGTCTGGTTGGATACCATGGAAGTTGCGGTAAGCTTTTCTTCCTAATCTAGGTAATATGACTGAATACTTACCCTTTGTTAGAAGTTATGTTGAGCACTTTATATAGATTATCTCAGTCTTCACAACAGTCCTGAAATAGGTACTATTATGCCCATTTTGCAGCTGCGAAAATTGAGTTTTCTAAGTAGTAACCTGTCCTTGATTGCACAGTCACTAAGCCCATTATGGTCTCTAAGGGAGTATAGTCAGAGTTGAAGTGTTTTTAATTTTCTATGTAATTACGTTTTTTTTGTGTAATTACGTTTCACTTTGATAGACCATTAGTTCATTTGTTTCCATATTCAAGTTTTGACTTAATCTTGTTTTCTGAGTGTGTAAAAAATGTTCATGATTCAAAAGGTACATGCAGAGTAAGCCTCATTCCTTTTCCTTCTACTTCTTTCCTGTATACTTCCTGTAAGTAATCATATCCGTTAGTTTCTGGTTTGTCCTTACTGATTTTCTTTTTGGAAGAACAACAACAAACAAAAAACCCAACCTCCCCCAAAATTATGCATACATATGTATACATATGTACATATTATGTATGTGTATATTTATTTTCTGATTTTCCTTCTGTCTTACTCAAAATGCAGCACACTATATATGCTTTTGTACCCTTTTTTTCTCATTTAATAATATGTCCTGGAAGTCACTTGGAAGGAAACTTTTATTCACATCGTCTGATATCAAGTTCTACTAGGTCTTTAAACAGACTTTGTCATATCCACCCACGTATGATTCTTTCTCCTCCTCCTTCCTTTTAGAGTTTCTGTGGTTTGATGCTTTCTAGACTCTAGGAATCATATTTCTTTCTCTTTCCACAGCCTTCTCCCCTGTACCCTCTTCTTTCTCTCCCTCCCTCTCTCCTTCCCTTCCCCCTTCCTTCCTCTCTTGTCCCCCTCCCCCTTCTCTTCCTTTCCTTTCCTTCCATTTTAAAATTAGGATGTTTAGAAGATATAGATGTAAATGAGGCCAAAAAGGAAATTCGCCTACATTTAGCAGAAACCTCGAGTCTCTGGTCTTCACAAAGGGATGTTACTTTGGACGTTCCTATCAAGGAGTTAACTAAGACTGTGGAAGAAAGAGTAGGGTAGGAATTTTTAGAAACAGGCAGTTGGTAGGGGGATCATGGGAACTGGACTTGCTGCTGGTAATGAGAAAGACAGGGGTGGAGACAGGGCTCATGATGTCCTCTTCTTCCCTTTGTCTTTCCCCCTGTTTTCTTTCTATGAGCATCATTGGGGCAAGCAGAATAGGGAGATTGGGTTGATGTTCTTGGTGGTCCTAGCAAAGTATGAAGAGATGAGTGAAAGGGGCAGCTTGAAAGTGCTCATTAGAAGGCACTTGAACACTATGAATATAAAGGGGTATTTATGAATCAGGTGGGTATAAGTCAGAGAGTGTCTTGACTGAATACAAGAGATAAATCTCTGTTTTGTTTTTGTATTTTGTTTTGAGACAGGGTTTCTCTCTGTCACCCAGGCTGGAGTGCAGTGGCATGATCATGGCTCACTGCAGCCTTGACCCCCTGGGCTGAAGCAATCCTCCTGCCTCAGCCTCTGGAGTAGCTGTGACTGCAGGTACACACCATTGCACCCAACTAATTTTTTTTTAATGTAGAAATGGGGGTCTCACTTTGTTGCCTAGGCTGGTCTCGAACTCCTAGGCTCAGGTGATCCTCCTAAAGTGCTGGGATTGCAGGTATGAACCTCTACATCTGGCCTAAAACTCTTAATGCTATGAAGAGAGGCACAAGAACCCTCTTTCCTTTTCCTCTCCCGGTGTATAAAATAAATGTGGTATATACCTTTATATCTGTGTCTTTCTCTATTTCTTTCTCCATCTACCATGCTTGCTTCATAACTATCTCTATTTCTATCTTCACCTCTATTTCTCTATATCTCTGTCTGTCAGTCTCTCTAGGCAAAATAGGATATCTACTTACGTAGCAAAATCATACCTTCCCCTGCTTCACAGCCATGATTGGGAGGGAGTAGAGTGTAGAGTGGCTAAGAGATTGGTTTTGGAACTAGTCAGACTTAGGTCTCAAATTTCACCTCTGCCCCTTAGTAACTGTATAACCATGTCACTTAATTTTTTTGAGACTCGTTATCCCTATCTTTGGAAGAGAGGTCATAAATATATATACCCCATGGGGTATTGTAAGGAATACATAAAATTATATTTCTGAAGTGTTTAGCATGGTGCCTAACACATAGGAGTTCAGTAAATTGTAGCTGTTGGCTACTGTTATTAATGCTGCTTTTGTTTTAATATGAGTCAACTGAAGGTACAGTGTCTATCTACATAAACCTGATGTTCAATTTATATTTGGCTCTCTGAGAACTCATCTCTCTCTCAGCCCAAATGAACCTTTATATATTATTTCCTTCTTGAAATTGGCTTTTTTTTTCAGTTAAACTAAAGTGTCTTTTTTATTGTTTAGGTTGTAAATGTCTTAAAATCCTTATTGTCAAATCTTGATGAAGTAAAGAAGGAAAGAGAGGGTCTGGAGAATGACTTGAAATCTGTGAATTTTGACATGACAAGCAAGTTTTTGACAGCCCTGGCTCAAGATGGCATGATAAATGAAGAAGCTCTTTCTGTTACTGAACTAGATCGAGTCTATGGAGGTCTTACAACTAAAGTCCAAGAATCTCTAAAGAAACAGGAGGGACTTCTTAAAAATATTCAGGTGAAATTTATGTATTTAATAACATCTATGTTTTAAAAATTACAGAAAAGATATGTCTGGACTAAACCTATATTCAATTAGAAAAATGACATTGGAGAATATCTGTAGTTGAGAGTAGAACTTAATACATATATATTTTGTAAAATTAAACTTGGCATATCAGTTTTTTTTTTGTCTATGAAACCAAGTCCCTCCTTTTTTTTTTTTTTTTTTTTTTTTTGAGATGGAGTCTCGCTCTGTCGCCCAGGCTGGAGTGCAGTGGTGCGATCTTGGCTCACTGCAAGCTCCGCCTCCCGGGTTCACACCATTCTCCCGCCTCAGCCTCCCGAGTAGCTGGGACTACAGGCGCCCGCCACCACGCCCTGCTAATTTTTTGTATTTTTAGTAGAGACGGGATTTCACCGTGTTAGCCAGGATGGTCTCCATCTCCTGACCTCCTGATCCTCCCTCCTTGGCCTCCCAAAGTGCTGGGATTACAGACGTGAGCCACCACGCCCGGCAGAAACAAAGTCATTTCTATGGCTAAAATGTTGCATATTACTTAGGAGTGCTTGATACTTCTGATATTTTTCATGGTTTCAAGTTTTTAATAGCTTTGTTTTTTTTTTCCATACGGGAGGAAAATCGAAATTAGTTGGAATTACTGATACCTTTAATTATACGGCTAACATACATACAGACTTCAGTCATTTTTTAAAAAAATAATGCAAACTAAATATGTTGAGAAGTTTGAAGTTAGTTTTCGTGTTTACAGATAGGTAGTTTGGACTAACAAAGACTTGAAAGTTTGCCCTTTTCATAGTTAATGTGCAAAATTAAACATATATTTCTACTCCTAAACATTGTATCTATATATGATATAAAATATTCCAAAAGGTAAAATAATTTTCATGTTATATTTTTTGCAAGTGTTATATACTAATAGAAATCTGTGATCATTATTGGTTGTTTTGACTTCTATTGGATTTTTGAAATTTTTACTTAAGAAAGATTTAAAGCATAATGAGGCTTCAAAAGAGTATACTAGGTATTTCTAGTAATTTTGCATATGTATTTAATTACATATGATTTTCATAATTGGAAAAGATCAATAAAAATGTTATGAGCCATATTTTATAAGTAAATGTAAATACATAAATCTTTCTTTTAACAAGGTCTCACATCAGGAATTTTCGAAAATGAAGCAATCTAATAATGAAGCTAACTTAAGAGAAGAAGTTTTGAAGAATTTAGCTACTGCATGTGACAACTTTGTTGAACTTGTAGCTAATTCGAAGGAAGGCACAAAGGTATGAAGTACATGCAAAAGGAACCATAGCTAGCAAGTACAGATGTGAACGTATAGGTTGGAAGTTAAATGGTATTTCCAGTTGAACCAAATTACTCTTTGCCTGGAATGTTAGCTTTAATGCCATTGCCTCTGCGAAGTTTGTTACAGGAGGGAGAAAGCTTAATGAAGGTGGCAACATTTCATGGGAACCTTGAAGAATGAATTGCATATTTCAACTGGCAGAAAAGGGGTACAAATATTCCAGGTAGCAGGAATTAGCAGAGATGTCAATGACACCTTTTTAAGGGATAGGAAGTTGATTAATTTGATGAATTTTGAGGGGACAGGAGTAGTCAAAGCTGATTTGTGATGGAAAAGCTGGGCGGGCATGACTTTTATATTCTGTGTGGTGGTTTGCTGAGGACAGACTTGTGGCCTGCCCAAGTGTCAGAAGGCTTGCTGAATATGTAAGTACTTTCTTGCCTTGTCCTTTAAAAAGTTTAGGGAATTCACTTATATTTGTTTTTACCAATTTGTTTTTGAGGGAACAGTGATTTTTAAGTTTTCTCAGATGCATAATTCCTTTTGGTACTTAACTTCATAATAATCACTGAATAAAGTTACCTTGATATAAATACAGTAGCTAAAATGTAAAACCCTCTGAAGAGAGGGTGAAAATACTGCAAAGCCTTCCAAATAGAGAGGATGGTAAAATGCCATTTTAACTTGGTTTAAAATGCTTTGTTTAAATAGGTAAGCTGAGAAAACCCTCCAGAGAGCCTTTAGAAATTCTTTTAAGGGTTTCTGAAGTATGCTTGCATTTCTTTTTTTTTTTTTTTTTATACTTTAAGTTTTAGGGTACATGTGCACAACGTGCAGGTTTGTTACATATGTATACATGTGCCATGTTGGTGTGCTGCACCCATTAACTCGTCATTTAGCATTAGGTATATCTCCTAATGCTATCCCTCCCCCCTCCCCCCATCCCACAACAGTCCCCGGTGTGTGATGTTCCCTTTCCTGTGTCCATGTATTCTCATTGTTCAATTCCCACCTATGAGTGAGAACGTGCAGTGTTTGGTTTTTTGTCCTTGCAATAGTTTGCTGAGAATGATGGTTTCCAGCTTCATCCATGTCCCTACAAAGGACATGAACTCATCATTTTTTATGGCTGCATAGTATTCCATGGTGTATATGTGCCACATTTTCTTAATCCAGTCTATCATTGTTGGACATTTGGGTTGGTTCCAAGTCTTTGCTATTGTGAATAGTGCCGCAGTAAACATATGAGTGCATGTGTCTTTATAGCAGCATGATTTATAATCCTTTGGGTATATACCCAGTAATGGGATGGCTGGGTCAAATGGTATTTCTAGTTCTAGATCCCTGAGGAATCACCACACCGACTTCCACAATGGTTGAACTAGTTTACAGTCCCACCAACAGTGTAAAAGTGTTCCTATTTCTCCACATCCTCTCCAGCACTTGTTGTTTCCTGACTTTTTAATGATCGCCGTTCTAACTGGTGTGAGATGGTATCTCACTGTGGTTTTGATTTGCATTTCTTTGATGGCCAGTGATGATGAGCATTTTTTCATGTGTTTTTGGCTGCATAAATGTCTTCTTTTGAGAAGTGTCTGTTCATATCCTTTGCCCACTTTTTGATGGGGAGTATGCTTGCATTTCTGTAGTGAATTTGAAAACCTAATCCTTCCACTTAAATAGGTTTCATGTTATTAAACAATTGACTTTTCTCTAGGAATTAGGAAGATTTTCATGATCATGAAACTTTTAACTTGTTACATTTTTGATGATAATGTTCTATAAAAATGATTTTATTATTTTTATTTTCTTTAGGAGTCTTAGATCATATTTAATATTAAGTTGTTGGGCCTAGTAAATTGTATGGATGTATCTCATGCAGATCTCAGTTCTTCGGCTTTAACTGTCATTGACAAATTAGCTTTAGATCACATTACTCTCTGGATTAAAAAATTGTTCTTGTTCATTACTTGTATTTGTTCTTTGCTTATAGTTTTACAATGAGTTGACTGAAATCCTGGTCAGGTTCCAGAACAAATGCAGCGATATAGTTTTGGCATGGAAGACAGAAAGAGATGAACTCTTAAAGTAAGTCTGTTTTGTGTATCAAATTGTACTTAAGAATTTTCTTTTAAAAAATCATGTGGAGACTTTTGGTGTGAACTTGGTAGTATGAGAGCAGTTTCCCTCCTTTTCTCATGGAAGAAGGAACTAGATAGAGTATTTTACAAAGCAACAAGTAAACAGCTGCACAGTCTGGGAATGAAAGGATGAAAAGAAGCAGAAACTCTAGATGCAGGAAGTACAGTGAGGTCACAGAAATGATAAAACAGTTCAGGTGGCAGATCTCAGGAAGTGCCAGTAAATACAAGCAATTTATTTTGAAGTGGCAAATAGGTTCCTTACATAAAACTAGAGCTATAGAACATGGAGGAGACGCCGTGAATAGCTCAGAGAATACCAGCAAAATCACTTTCAGAGGAGGCTGCTGAGAAAGCAGGGCCAGTTAACATACGACTCATTTCCTGCTGAGTAATCAACACGGAGTAGCACAGCGCTGATAAAAGGTGAAAAACATTAACAAAATTTAATAAAACTTCATAGATGAAGAATATTTACCAAAATAATATTGTCACAGAATAGGTGAAAATTATGAGCAAACGTCTGACCATGAACTAAACAAAAAGAACAACAACAACAAATGTAAGAAGGCAGTCATTCTAAGGCCGGGGTCCCCAGTCCTGGGGCCATGGACTGGTACTGGTTCGTGGCCTGTTAGGAACTGGGCTGCACAGCAGGAGGTGGGTGGCAGACAGGCCGGCGGCTGGGCGAGTATTACTGCCTGAGCCCCACCTCCTGTCAGGTCAGCCTCAGCATTAGATTCTCATAGGAGCGCAAACCCTATTGTGAACTGCCCGTGTAAGGGATCTAGGTTGTGCGTTGCTTAGGAGACTCTGACTAATGCCTGATGATCTGAGGTGGAACAGTTTCATCCTGAAATCATCTTCCGCTCCCCTGTGGAAAAATTGTCTTGCATGAGACCGGTCCCTGATGCCATAAAGGTTTGGGGACTGCTCCTCTAAGGAACACTTGGAGCAGAAATTCCAGAACTGCAGGAATATGGTAAGAAAACAGGAAGTGGTAAGATGTGAGGTGTCAGAATTCAGGAAAGAAGTAGAAGGGAAGAATCAAACCACGACATGGGAAAGAGCACAAAGGGCGAGTAAACACTGAAGAACACACAGGAACACAGAGTAGAAATGAGGAAATTAAAATGAAACCAAAGTCAAGAAAGAATGAGAAAGGATTAGAGAGAAGATGGGCACAGAAGATCTAATATGGGCAAAACTGAATTTCTCTCAAAGAAGAAAAACCAGACAGAACAGTTATTTAACTTTCTGTAAACAGAGCACTTATTTCATGATACTCAAGAACATTTTCTTAAAACAAGTGAAGGTTGTTGAAAGAGGATATCACATGGTAGGGGAAATTGATCAAGAACTGTCAGCATCAAGGCATATAAATTATTGGCCTTAAAAGGTAATGGCAGAATCCTTTAGGCAGTCAGGCAAAACAATCAAACCAGTATATAAAAAGGTGAAAAAAATTAGGCTGGCAGCTCTGTATGCCAGAAGAGAGTGGAGTGATTGCTGTAATCTCAAGGATAGTAAATATGAGCTAAAGATTTTATATCATATAGTAAATACATGCTAAAGATTTTATATCCAAACTGTCCTTCGGGTGCATAAAAAGCCATATATTCATTAGTAATAAATATAAAGAGCTGAAAGAGTCTTATACCGATGACCCTTTCAGCCAACTAGATCTTTATTCATCTCTCTGTTCATGTTCATGTTCATTCACCTCTCTGCTCATGTTCATGAGAGAAGTTATTTTCTTCTACCTCTAAGAAAGAGCAGGTGAGTTGTTTTTAGAATATTTCTACTAAACCTATAAAAAGCAAATAATTAGAATGTTTTAAAAATGGTTCTAAATGTTTTAAAAAAGGTGACTTTTTTTTAGATAGAGTTTTGCTCTGTCGCCCAGGCTGGAGTGCAATGATGCAATCTTCGCTCACTGCAACCTCCGCCTCCCGGGTTCAAGCAATTCTTCTGCCTCAGCTTCCCAAGTAGCTGGCATTACAGGTGTGCACCACCACGCCTGGCTAATTTTTGTATTTTTAGTAGAGACAGGGTTTTGCCATGTTGGCCAGGCTGGTCTCGAACTCCTGACCTCAGGTGATTGGAATTACAGGTGTGAGCCACCCCCCCAGCCTAAAAAAAGATGAGTATTCTCCATATTAGTCTTAAAGATAAAAAAAACCTAACAAAGATTAATACAAAACAGTCTACAGACCAGTTTCAGTTATGAATATGGATGCAAAAGTCCTAAATAAAGTATTTGCCAGTAATAGTCACCAGGACGTTAAAAAATAATTATTGACCAAGGGGAGGGGGGCATTTATTCCAGTATTCAGTATTCAGTGTTTTCATGTCAAAGGAAAGATTACAGGCTTGTCTTAATAGATGAGGCAGAAGCATTTAAGAAAATGAGTGTTCTGATACTCAGTAAAATAAGAATAGATAGAAGATAGATGCTTCCGTAACATGAAAAAATATATATGTATGTGTGTGTATATATTTCTGCCCAAAACTCAGTACAGTGATTAATGGAGAAGCACTATAAACAGTTCCCTCTGAAGTCAAGAACAGACAACAAATGTCACTGTCAGCACTATTTTTAAATACTATACTGCAGTACCAGCCAAGACAATCACGTGAGAGAGAAATTTAAAAATTGGAAAGGAAGAAGTAAAACTAGCACTATTTACAGACATTATGATTGTACAACTACTTGAAAACCCAAGAGAACCCCAAAACTCTGCAAATAATAAAATAATTATTACTGAAGTTGTTGATCATAAAAATAATTTGTAGAAATCAGTGGCTTTCATGTAAATAAACCTATAGAGGATAAGATGAAGAGACCCACTTACGGTAGCAACAAAAAGGATAAAATATAAAATATAAGTTTGTCATATATGAGACCTGTGTGAAGAAAAAACTATTTCAAGGACACAAAAGAAGGCTTGAGCAAGTTAAAAAGCATGTTCTTGGATAGGATGACTCAACTTCATCAAGATGTCAACTCTCAGTTAACTTATGTATCAACTGGGCGTGATGGCATGCACTTCTAGTCCCATCTACTTGGGAGATTGAAGTGGGAGGATGGTTTGAGCCCTGGAATTCTAGGTTGTAGTGCGCTATGATTGTACCTATAAATAGCCACGGTACTCCAGTCTGGGCAGCAGTGAGACCCTATCTCTAATAACAAACATAAATAAAGAAATAAACATATACGGCCGGGCGCAGTGGCTCACGCCTGTAATCCCAGCACTTTGGGAGGCCGAGGCAGGCGGATCACGAGGTCAGGAGATCGAGACCATCCTGGCTAACACGGTGAAACCCCGTCTCTACTAAAAATAAAAAAAATTAGCCGGGCGTGGTGGTGGGCGCCTGTAGTTCCAGCTACTCGGGAGGCTGAGACAGGAGAATGGTGTGAACCCGGGAGGCAGAGCTTGCAGTGAGCCGAGATCGTGCCACTGTACTCCGGCCTGGGCGACACAGTGAGACTCCGTCTCAAAAAAAATAAATAAATAAAAAGAAATAAACATATGCATTCAACATGCTTTTGATTAAAAAAAAATCAGCTTTTCATTTGGAATTAGACAAGTTGATCCTAAAGTTCAAGTAGAAAAAGAAACAAGGTCAGCCAGGAAAACAATAAAAAGAGTAGTGAAGGGATACTAGTTCTACCAGATAATAAGGTATATAATACCATCTTTAATTAAAACACAGTGGTACTGGTACATGATTAGACAAAGACAGAATAGAAAATAGAAATAGATTCAAATACATGTGTGAATTTAGTGTAAAAGATCTTCAACCAACCAGAAGAGGTTGTAGTCAACTGCCCAGCCATTTAGAAAATAAAAGTTATCTTTATACCAGAGTAAGTTCTGAGTGGACCAAACTTGAAATTTGTAAATGAAATATAAAGTATAAAATAGAATGGAGGAGAATTCCTTAATAAAGCTGGGATGGGCAGGATCTAATAACTCCTACTTAAAATCCAGAAGCCATTAAAAAAAAGAAAAGAATAAGTTTCTCATAGAAATATGATAAACAGAGTCAGGATATGACAAATTGGGGATCCAATATTTGAAACTTATTCACAGGCAAAAGGCTAATTTACTTTATTTAGAAAAGAACTCCTAGAAATGAACAAGAAGAAAACCCAATAGACAACTGAGGAAAAGACGCAAATAGAATTTTGCAGACAAGGAAATACAAATAGCTCTTAAATAAATGAAAAAAAATGAATACCCTCATTCATTATAAAATACAAATCAAAATTAGTCTGAAGTAATATTTTTCAGATTGGCAAGAATCTGAAAGTTTGTTTAAAGCCTGTTCTGGGTCTTCCACATTCATTATTCTCTACGGTCAATCACATTCCAAGGATTGTTGCCTCCAATGCATGCCTTTTTCTCAATTTTATTTTCTCCCATCAGAGTCATGCACAGATTAGCTCCCAAGTGAGCTATTATAATGGCCTCCTAGCATCTAAACTCTCCTTTTTTCCAATTGATAGTTCTGCCAGAGTTGTCTTCTTAAAGCAGAGGTTAGACCGCATTTCTCTTAAGTAAATTCCAATGACACCAAAACAGTGATTCTTAATAAGAATTACAAGTAGGGAAATACAGATGGGAGAGTTTGCTTAGTAAATAAGTTCATAAAATCTAGGTTAAACAAAGTTAAATGGGGTTTGCTTTTTGCTGTTGCTTTGTTAATGTGCATTTGAAATTTCTAAAGTGGCATTACATATCCATAATTTCCCTTATCTATTTGACAAAGGAATCTGGTTTGTTTAGAAGCATTTTTTCAGAACTGTGATAGGTCAACCTTTCAGAAATTCCTCATTATCAACAGTCAAATCCAGATGTATTTTCTTTGGCTCTCACAACAGGCTTAGAGGAATTTCTAGTCTGTTCTCCTGATGTTTCATTATGTGCATCTTTTGCTTAGGCCTGTTAAACCTACTCAATGTGTGTATCTTCTACTCCATGTCTTTATTCCTACTGTTGTCTTAACAGGAAATCCTTGCAACCCAATTCATAGTTTTTGTTCTTTGGAAAAATCCAAATCATGTATCATGAATACATATTTTTTCTCTATTGGGATTTGCCTGTTTTTATGTATCACAGCCAGAAGTAATCACTGCATAGTGTATTTCTGTAGAAAGATAGAAGAGTTCTATTTTAACACAATATTTCCTATATACCCAGCAAAGGTCTAGGTATTTATACATACTATTGTATTTATTCATCTCATCAATGCAATGAAGAAATATTAATAAATCCATTATATATGCTAAAAGGTAGCGACACATATATGCTACATGTGCAGGTTTTCTCAGGTATTATTAGCTAGGGAAGCTGTGTTGTAACAATCTTCAAAAACTTCTTTCTATTGTTTACATGCTATTCCACATCATTTTGTTTTCATTTCTTTTGTAGTATCTAATGTATTCTACTAAAAAAAAAAGTAGAGTAGTTGGAAAACTTGTGAAAAAAACATATGTATTACATATATACCATTCTTCATGATTCTCAAAATTTTCATCATTATTAATGTTTTGTGTATATATATATATATATTGTGTGTGTATGTATGCATGTTAGATATATAATTTAAAAGAAAACAATAAGTTGGTGGCTTATGGCAAATTGTTCCTTAAGTCCTGCATTTGAAACATAGACACTGAGTGAATCAGCACATTTGATCATCTTTTAACTACAATAGATGATTATACATTAAAAATACATTAACCATCCAAATACATCTTTTTTCTTATTTATGTATGTATGTATGTATGTATGTATGTATGTATTTTTATTTTTTTGAGATGGAGTCTCTTTCTGTCGCCCAGGCTGAAGTGCAGTGGCGCAATCTCAGCTCACTGCAAGCTCCACCTCCCAGGTTCCCGCCATTCTCCTGCCTCAGCCTCCCGAATAGCTGGGACTACAAGCGCCCGCCACCACGCCTAGCTAATTTTTTTGTACTTTTAGTAGAGATGGGTTTTCACCACGTTAGCCAGGATGGTCTCGATCTCCTGACCTCGTGATCCGCCTGCCTTGGCCTTCCAAAGTGCTGGGATTACAGGCCTGAGCCTCGGCGCCCGGCCCAAATGCATCTTTAGGAAAATTATATTTAAGCTCTTCATGGAGACATTAAAAAACCAAGCTGCATTAATAATAAATAATTATATCATTCATTAGTAAGGAGTAAATAGCTGTTTTCTATTTGAGAAGTATTAATTGGATTGTCCATCTGTATGCAGGAACATCTGTTTTCTGACATGCTTTAATCACCATTTGTTTTGTACTTGTACCATAATTACACTTGTTTGTAATATTGAACCGAGACAATGATTAAAATCAACTTATGAATACGATTCTTTTATGCTTTTGTATTTCATTAGAAAATGTGTAATTCTGGTATGACATTTATAAGTATATATAAAAGAAAGTATTTGATTAACAAAATGCCTCAACAGATTATGTCAGTAAAATGAGTGTTATATCATGCAGTCTATGTTACTATTTTGGCATTTTTAAGGAAAGTTTATTGCTTCACGGAAGCTTTTTTTTAACTGACCATCTATGAATTTTCTGTATTCTTTATTTCATTGTGATCACATGGTCATAGAAGAGACATTTTTAGATCATCAGAAGTTGACAGTTTTCAGTGTAGTGTATGTGCTTAGTATAAGATGGAATTAAGTTTGTTGTATGGGTGATTGATGAATTTTTACTGAATCATGGATAACTGCTGTTCTATTAATGACATTTCATCAATTAACTCTTTTGGATATGGTTTATCACAAAATGTTGCTGATTTAATGTTTGTGGATTAACTGAGGTGAAAGTGATACCTGGTAGAAGTTTCATTAATACAAATTTTCCTCTCTTAGGAGTAGGATGGATTATATTATTTGTCGAAATGCCTTTGCATGTAAGTTCTTAACTGTCAGCTTTCTTGTCCTGTGAATCATATCTTTTCTGTATTTGCTGAAATAGAGACTTAACATTGTTAAATGATTTTTCCATGTCATGGAAAATGTATGCCTCTAAATCTGCGTTCCTTCCTACAAATTACAAGTTCAAAATGACTTTTTTTAAGAAACAAAAAAAAAAGATGGATTTCTCGTATTTTGTGGCAGGATAAGCTCCCTGTAGCCTATCTTAAATGTTGATTACGACTAAAACTATGAAAAGTACAATAAGCAACTAACTGAGGAATCTGAAAAGTAAATAAAAGTAGAATTATGAGTGATAGGCAAAATCTGGAGAAGCACCCTGCAGTAGTGTGAGCTTCCATTGTTGTATTTCTTTCAATCAAAACCAAAACAAACAAACAAAACAAATAAAAACCAGAAAAGAACCACCACCAACAAGAAAACACTCAAGGAAAATAGATATTGTGATAGAAACAGCAGAAATGTCGAGAAACAAAACCAGAAGGTTAGAATTATTAGAGAAAATAATATAAAAAGTAATTTTAAATATCTAAACAAAATTTTAAAAAGGAATTTAAAAAAATAAGCAAGGAGAAGACAATAAAAATAGGTTGATAATTCATTTGTTAGCATTTGTCTGTTTGGTATTTGTTGACCATTTTATTTTTAAAAAATTTGGCTATATTTGCTTTTGGTGTATTTCTTGTATATGTATTGTAAAATTTAGTATTTATTATTATTAAATATTTTATATTGTTAAATGATAATTTATTTTTATTGATAAGAAAGATGTAGTTTTCTGGTTGTTATTTTTGTAATTTTACCTGCATTTATATTTTTCTCCATTTATTTAGATAATACCTAATGGTTCCCCACAATGAGTGGCAATTAAATTAGACTCTGTGCTATTTTCACTTTCTCAACTTCTCCTGAACTATTTGATTTTTGTGGCAGGATATTTCTTAATATTTGCCTTTGTGCCACTTAATGTTTTCATACTATTATGGGCAAATTTTGAGATTTAAAATGAACCCATTACTCTCAGCTATTATAGACGAGGCAATCAGGGAGCTAATTCCTACTTTCCCCTTTCTTTTACTCTCTCCTCCTGGTTGTTACAGTTGAATCATTTGTACATTATCAGAATCATCAGTAAAATATCTTTTTACATCTTCTACACCATGTATCCCTTAAATCTATATATGACGCATTGAATGCTTACCTCTTGCCTTACTGGTAGTATTTTACCTACTCAGAACTAGGTTGATTGAACTTTGTCCTGTGGTAACTCTCTTAATAAGAACTTTCTGTAAAGTGTTCCCTGAATTATGGGTGCTTATAACTGTACACTTTATAGCTGATAGATATCTTGCAAGGATAAGGATAACCATTTGCTTCTCCCTTCTCTTCTTTCTCAATATTTCCCCCCATTTTCTGGTGTTAACTTTTGCTGTGGAAAACTCTGATGCCAAAATGATTTTCTTTTTCTCTAAGTTGACAATTTTTGCTTAAGCCCTCACATAATGCTTTCTTAATCTTTAAAGTCCTAGTCCCATACACAGATATATCTTGGTGTTGAACATTCTAATAACATACATAAGCATATACTACACAGTAATGTAAATATATGTGCTTATGATGATCTATCTTGTCTTAATATAGGCAATAACTTTTTTCTAATTCTATCCTATGTTTTACAGTTTTTGGATTTTTGGACGGGGAGAGGACTTACTACATATTCTTCTCTCACACCCTTTACGACCCTTACATTATTTGGGGTTCAGTCTCCCTTGTTCTCTTTACAATTTAGTTTTTTTTTTTTTTTCTACAATGATTTTGTTTTTAAATCCTATTTCTTTCATGGATTCTGCCAGTTGCTATTGCACTTTCTGGCTATCTCTTCCCCATTCTCTTGCATTTCACTTCATGGTCTCTTTATGTTTTATTACACCCTTAAAATTTATGTTGGAATGTATAAATGTTCATTCCTTTTTTCATCTGTTTTGTAGCAACATGTTTCTAGTTATTACAAGAGTTGATATATTCCTTTTTTATCTTTATTCTTAAGAGTATTTTTATGTGAATGCTGAGAAAATTCCTTTAGTATTTCTCATATGTGAAAGTTGAATTTCCTACAGGACAAAGGAAAGGGGTTGTAGAATGTGCCCCAGCCTGCTAGCTCAAGGGCCCTCTCATCATTTGCTACAGTGACAGACTGTTGCCTCATTTTGGGGACATTATGGAGTCACCGCTCGTTCTCCATAAGAGCATAAATGATTACCAGGTAGTTGTTACTGTCTTCTCTCCTTGATACTCATACATAACTCATAGCACATATGGAAGCAACCTTCTAAATACCCATGTTTTATCTTTAAAATGTTCTTTGTGTGTAGCTGCCCATTTGTTTTGTGCTAACTGACTGACCCTATTACCTTCAGTTGTAACAACCCATTTAAGGTAGAAACGAAGGACACTCATCTCCATGTGTTTTCAGAATTTAAATGAAAAAATAAAAAGAGGCTGATGTCACTTCCCAGTTTAACGCAGGGGTTTTATTTATTTATGTACACTCAATCAAACTATGACTATTACAAATGGTTTTACCGCTACAATAAAGATAGTTAATTCATAACTCAATAAAAATGAAGAGTGAAAGATTAAAAAAGGAAAGCAACAATTCTAAACTATAAAATCTACTTCAGAAAGCTACATACAGCAAAGCTCAATAAATAAATTATGAAAAAAAGAATAATATGGGATAAGTTTTATGGTTTAGGAGATACCTTCCTATAAGCCAAAAACCTAAAAAAAAATGCTAAAGGTATAGCTTGCTATAGTACGTGGTAGGAGAAATTAACATGTATAAAATCAATAACACTCACATTATGTGATAGTCTACAGCCAAAGAATAATAGAAAGCAAGTGAAATGCTTAGCATAGCTATTTAGTCTACTAAATTAGGTTTGTGAAAATGGGAATGCCAAATGCCTTAAGGCTTATGGCAGGTGCAAAAGCAAAACATCAGAGGTCAACCTAAGGATATTTTTAATATAAAATTAATGTACCTGCATTGTAAGCATTATTTTTTTTGTATGGTAGAAAGGAAAAAATTCTTGTATTATTCTACTATAAATGTGTATTCTTTGCTCTACTAAATTTGCATGTCATCGTCAGCCTTTCACTTTGTCTTCAGCTAACAAGAACCTCTTGGGTTCATCCTTTGGAGAACCTGATATGGAAAATGGACTGAACTAGGAGAAGAGCCTTTGTTTAGACCACATGCTGAGGTCTAGTGGCTTCAATTAAAAATATATAAATGTGGCCGGGCACAGTGGCTCACGCCTGTAACTCCAGCACTTTGGGATTCTGAGGCGGGCAGATCACGAGGTCAGGAGTTCAAGACCAGCCTGACCAACGTGATGAAATCCCGTCTCTACTAAAAATACAAAAATTAGCTAGGCATGGTGGCACGTGCCTGTAATCCCAGCTACTCAGGAGGCTGACGCAGGAGAATCGCTTGAATCCTGGAGGCGGAAGCTGTAGTGAGCCAAGATCATGCCATTGCACTCTAGCCTGGGACGACAGAGCGAGACTCCGTCTCAAAAAAAAAAAAAAATTATGTATATATATATATGCTTAATCTCTAAGCTTTGGAAGGAACAGCCTATCTACAGAAAAATTTAAAACTTGGTCATGACAGGTACAGAGTTGGGCCCCATTAATTTTGTTGACATTGAGGTCAGCAGATTCTGTAAATTTTCACTATACCTCTCATATGATCTGCCGCCACACCATTCATACTCTTAACTTTATTTCTCCTCACACCAGTAAATTACTAAAACTGCCAAGTTTTTTTTTCACAAATTAATATCTTTAGCATTCTCCTCCTTCAGCCTGCAATGAAATTATCTACTCCCCTCCCTCCTCCTTCCTCCTTGACTCCCGCTAATGCACATTTGTGTTTGGTTTCCACACCAAATGAGCTACCTTCAATAAGCATCCCACAACTCCACAGGGAACTTTTGTTTCTCTACCTTCTGTGCTGTCAAAGCGCTTGGCTCAGAATGAGAGATCTGTCTGCATTTCAGATCTACAAATTACTCATTGTGTGACCTTGGACATATCCCTAATATTTTTGAGCCTCAGTTTCTCAAAAATTAGAATAAAGATACCAAACTCCTGGGGTTTTGTGAGAGTAAAATGAGACGATGTGTGTAAGAGACTCAGTGCAGTGTCAGTATCTACCATGTGCTATGCACTCTGCGTTTTCTTTTTCTTTTTTTTTTTTTTGAGACGGAGTCTCGCTCTGTCACCCAGGCTGGAGTGCAGTGGCGTGATCTCGGCTCATTGCAACCTCTGCCTCTTGGGTTCAAGAGATTCTCCTGTCTCAGCCTGCGAGTAGCTGGGACTACAGGCCCATGCCACCACGCCTGGCTAATTTTTGTATTTTTAGTAAAGACAGCGTTTCACCATACTGGTCAGGCTGGTCTTGAACTCCTGACCTCAGGTGATGCACCCACCTCGGCATCCGAAAGTGCTGGGATTACAGGTGTGAGCCACCATGCCCGGGCCAACCCATAGCCTTTTGGTCTTCTCTCAGCCAAGGCATCCAGTGAAAATGCAATTTATTTTTCAGATTCCTCTGGAGAATTAAAAAGTCTCTTTTGCGGCTGGACACAGCAACTCACACCTGTAATCCCAGCACTTTGGGAGGCTGAGGCAGGCAGATCACAAGGTCAAGAGATCGAGACCATCCTGGCCATGGCCAACATGGTGAAACCCTGTCTCTACTAAAAATACAAAAATTAGCTGGGTGTGGTGGCACAGGCCTATTGTCCCAGCTACATGGGAGGCTGAGGCAGGAGAATTGCTTGAACCCAGGAGGCGGAGGTTGCAGTGGGCCAAGATTGAGCCACTGCACTTGCTCTGGTGAAAGAGCAAGACTCCGTCTCAAAAAAAAAAAAAAAAAAAAAAAAAAAGTCTCTTTTGCATCAAATTGCCATACTCTCTGCTCTTGGTCCTCTTTTCCATGTACTCATTCTTCAAGCATTTATTTTCTCATTGCCTGATCCAGATCATTGCAATGACCAAAAAATTTTCGAATGCTATGATTTTTGTGATATTCTTTTAGCAAGTTAATCACGATGTTGCATTCTTGAGTGTGCAAGTGTGGAGGTAAGTCAGGATGCATCTTTAAGACAAAAAGATGGGTCACGGCAGTGCCACACCACTCACGGCCACACCAGGAGAGCTGAAGGGGCAGTCACCAACGAAGATGCCTGACCCAGAAGCTGGCTGCCAGGGAGCCAAGAGCCAGGTCACTCCACAGGTGGCCAATGCCCGGGGGTGGCCCTCCACCGCCGAAGCTGCTGCTGCTGCTGCTGCTGCTGCTTATTATTATTTTGAGACGGAGTCTGGCTCTGCCTCCCAGGCTGGAGTGCGGTAGCACGATCTCGGCTCACTGCAACCTCCGCCTCTGGGGTTCAAGCGATTCTCCTGCCTCAGCCTCCCGAGTAGCTGGGACCACAGGCACGTGCCACCTCACCTGGCTAATTTTATTTTTTGAATAGACAGGGTCTTGTTATGTTGCCCAGGCTGGTCTTGAACTCCCGGGCTCAAGCGATCCTCCCACTTCAGCCTCCCAAAGTGCCAAGACTACAGGTGTGAGCCACCACACCTGGCCAAGTTCTACTTTTCTAATATTTAAAATATGAAATAGGCCGGGCACGGTGGCTCACACCTGTAATCCCAGAACTTTGGGAGGCTGAGGCGGGCAGATCACCAGAGGTCAGGAGTTCGTGACCAGCCTGGCCAACATGATGAAACCCCGTCACTACTGAAAGTACAAAAATTAGCCGGGTGTGGTGACAGATGCCTGTAATCCCAGCTACTCGGAAGGCTGAGGCACCTAAACCCGGGAGGTGGAGGTTGTAGTGAGCCGATACCATGCCACTGCACTCCAGTCTCGGCGACGCAATGAGACTCTGTCTCAAAAAAAAAAATAGATGATGTCAGTGATTTCTATTACATGAGATCTGGAAGCACTCTGTACCTGATTGCTCCACGTTTAGTGGTGCTAAGTTCAAATAATTCAGGTGGTGAGAAACTGACTTCCGTAGGAGTGCGGGTGTGCGTGCGTGCCGCGGAAATCCCGCCTTCTGGCGCCTGCGGTTGCCCCCTGGCCTCAGCCGGTAGGCTCCCAAGTAGGAAGATAAACCGCATTGCACGAAGCGGGAGAGTCCAGAGGAGCGGCGAAGCGCTCCTCTTCCCCATTGGCTGCGCCCACGGAGCCGCCTTGCGATTGGCCCTAAGCGCGGGTGGCTGGGGTTGCGAGAGGCATCAGGATCCCTGGCGGCGCCTGAGCCAGCGGCTGCTAGGAGGCTGTGTCCGCAAGCCAGCGGGGCGAGGCGCCTGGGCCCTGCGCGTCAGGTCCCGGCCTGGGGCACCGGGGCTGCCAGCGTCGGAGGAGGTGCGGGCGCGGGGTTGGCGGGCGGCCGAACGGGGGCCTGCGCGGACCGCCCGCGGCTCAGCCTCCGGTCTCTCTCCGTCTCTAAGTGGTGGTGGCTGTGGGTTTTTCTGCAGGTGATCCTTTTGAGTAATTTGTTTCACGCAGGCGCCCTGCTGTAGGGTAAAGCGGCAGATTCATGCTGCTGTCATTTGTCGTTCAAACTGTGGGCTTCTTGGCCAGGCGCGGTGGCTCAAGCCTGTAATCCCAGCACTTTGGGAGGCCGAGGCGGGCGGATCACGAGGCCAGGAGATCGAGATCATCCTGGCTAACACGGCGAAACGCTGTCTCTACTAAAAATACAAAAAATTAGTTGGGCGTGGTGGTGGGCGCCTGCAGTCCCAGCTACTCGGGAGGCTGAGGCAGGACAATGGTGTGAACCCGGGAGGTGGTGCTTGCAGTGAGCTGAGATTCCGCCACTGCACTCAAGCCTGGGTGACAGAGGGAGACTCCATCTCAAAACAAAACAAAAAACGATGGGCTTTCTGTCGTGTGTGTGTACCTTTTGGATTTGAGGGCAGGGGGATGACATTGTGATCTGGCCTCCTGAGAAACCAGGCACACCCTGCCTACCTTGGAAGGCGGCTTTCCCTTCCCCACCTCCCTCTCCCTCCATCTGTTCCCTCTTTCCCTCTCTCCACTTCACTCCCGTCCCCCAGCTCTTCTCTCCCATCTTTTTGTTCTCTGTCTCTTTTTTTTTTCCTGCATTAAACCTTTCGGGAGTGTCTTTGTAAAATATTAAGAAGCGTTAGGTCTTCAACATGTGTGTTTACTTGCAGGCCTGAGACCTGGGAGGAAGCTGGAGAAAAGATGCCCTCTGAATCTTTGTGTTTGGCTGCCCAGGCTCGCCTTGACACCGAATGGTTGAAAACAGATATACAGGTGGGGTTTGACATGTCTCTTTCTTGGTGTATTTCTGCTTCCATGTTTAAATTTCTCGTGTAAGGCTTTTTTTTAGGGTATGTAAGGGGAAGTCAGTTGTATCTTGCTATATTAGAGGAGCAGGTTTGTTTCCTGTAACTTAAAATGTAACAGTCTTTATGGCTGTTTTTGTAGATCGTGCGCGGCTGCCTTTTAATTAGTTTCTTGCAAGTGCAGGAAATGAGATTTATTAATAGGGAAAATTTTTTTCTTAATTATTATTACTGGTTGAGAAATCTGCTACACTCCTAACCATATCATGGTGACTGTTGTTTGTTACTGATAGTTTTTGAGCTGTTGAGTTAACTGTCGAGGGGAAAATTGGAGAAGTAAGTTGCAGTAATTATGGCTGCTAGAAACTCACTCCTTTTATGAGGTCTTGTGTTTGTGTTTCTGGAGAGAAAAGAGTTAGTTCAGTTGAGCTGTTTGTTTTGTATTTGTAACCAATACAAGGACTAAGGACAATTGTGTTGAAACTGAGGTCATAATGTTGGGATCTTAAGGGCCGAAGGTTCCAAACAAATGGTATGTATAGAGTTCTCTCTGACTTGAAATTTTCCCTTTCTGGACCTCCGGATGCTGAGGCTGGGAGTGTCCATATGACAGTGCCTTCCATGACAGGAGTCAGCAACCTTTTTTTTTTTTTTTTTTTAACACGTATCAGTAATTCATTCTGTATATTTTGAAAAGTTTTAACCTCTTCTTCCTAGCCCTCCAGTATTTGTTAATAAATTAAAACGTTTCCCAAAGTGTTTTTTGTGAAACAATAATTCTAAAAGATGCTCTAAGAAAAGCTAAGTACATGGAAAAATCCAAAGTGTATATTTTATTTATTACATTTCATGAATTTTTGTTTCTGTTTTTTCCTCTTGAGAGGGAGTCTTGCTCTGTCTCTCAGGCTGGAGTGCAGTGGCATGATCTTGGCTCACTGCAACCTCCGCCTCCTGGGTTCAAGCAGTTCTCTGCCTTAGCCTCCAGAGTAGTTAGGATTACAGGTGCCCTCCACCACGGCCAGCTAATTTTTGTATTTTTAGTAGAGACAGAGTTTCACCATAGTGGCCAGACTGGTCTTGAACTCCTGACCTCATGATCCACCCTCGGCCTCCCAAAGTGCTGGGATTACAGGTGTGAGCCACTGTGCCTGGACCACATTTGATGACTTTTTTTGTCCTTTGTTCTTTTAAAAATCATGGTTAGAAAGCAGAGCATAATTGTTCTTTATGTAGAATCCAACTGATTGGGGTTTTTAGGGAGATGTTTTGACATTCAGTAAATGTTTTTGTTTTCCATTATTAAGACTATGAATTTTTTATTTTACTTTCTGAGACAGGGTCTTGCTCTGTTGCCCAGGCTGGAGTGCAGTGGCGTGATCTTGGCTCACTGCAACCTCTGCCTCCTGGGTTCAAGCAGTTCTCCTGCCTCAGCCTCCTGAGTAGCTAGCATTAGAGGTGCCCGCCACCACTACCCTCCGCCTTTCAGGTTCAAGCGATCCTCTGCCTCAGCCTCCTGAGTAGCTGGGATTACAGGTGCACGCCAGCATGCCCGGCAAATTTTTGAATTTTTAGTAGAGACGAGGTTTCACCATGTTGGTCAGGCTGGTCTCGAATTCCTGACCTTGTGATCCACCCGCCTCGGTCTCCCAAAGTGCTGGGATTACAGGTGTGAGCCACATTTTTAGTAGAGATGGGGTATCACTATGTTGGCCAGGCTGCTGTGGAACTCCTGACCTCAAGTGATCCCCTCACCTTGGCTTCCCAAAGTGCTAGGATTACAGATGTGAGCTACCACGCCTAGCCGTATTTTGTATTTTTAGTAGAGATGGGGTTTTGCTGTGTTGGCCAGGCTGGTCTTGATCTCCTGGGTGCAAGTGATCCTCCCACATTGGCCTCTCAAAGTGCTGGGATTACAGGCATGAGCCACCACACCTGGCCAATGGGAGGTCTCGCTTCCCTTCTCTGCAGCATTCCATAAGCAATGTGTTTGGGTAGTATGTGTTCGATTTTCTCTATGTATACTTTGAACCCTACAGTAGTGAAAGGAAGAGTAGACAACTTTGAAGTTGATGTGGTGTGGTCTTTGAGCTGGTGGTGCTAATTACTCTTGGTTGTTTTCGTGGCCTCCAGTGACTTCATCCTGCTTTTGCTGTTGTAAAGTGTTGTAATTTATGCTCCTGAGAATAACTCTTGAGGTGTACTTAGGGTTCTTGTCTGCTTCCTGGTGACTGTCGAAGCTTTTCATCTTGAAGAAGGGAGATGAGCAGTGTTCCAGTGTACTGAGATTAAAATTAAGAATGTTGCATTTTTTTAATATGTAAAATTTATAGCCAGCTGTAGGGTAGGGGTGGCCTACTTTCTCTAAAGGGCCAGATAGTAAATATTTTAAGGTCTCACTGGACCCTATGGTCTCTGTCATAGCCATGAGACCTTGCAGATTTAGTGCCAAAGTAGCCACAGACAATACCACGTCAGCGGGCAGGGGACGTTCATTCTGTAAAGTGTATTTATGGACACCAAAAGATGAAGTCCACAGAATGTTTGCAAGTCACAAAATACTGTTTTTCTTTTGATTGTTTTTCAGTTATTAAAAAATATAAAATACAGTGGCCGGGCGTGGTGGCTCACATCTGTAATCCCAGCACTTTTAGAGGCTGAGGCAGGCGGATCACCTGAGGTCAGGAGTTCGAGACCAGCCTGGCCAACATGGTGAAACCCCATCTCTACTAAAAACAAAAAATTAGCCGGGCATGGTGATGCACGCCTGTAATCCCAGCTCCTCGGAGGCTGAGGCAGGAGAATCACTTGAACCTGGGAGAATCGTTTGAGCCTGGGAGGCAGAGGTTGTGATGAGCCAAGACTCTGTCTCAAAAGAACAACAAAAATAAAATACTTTCTCTGCGTTCAGACCATACACAAAGAGGCTGTGGGCTGGGTTTGGCCCCTGGGCTGTGGTTAGTGACCCCAAACACACACACACATACACACACGTAGGGCAGAGTCTGGCATTTAGAGCCAGCACCTGTGTTCTCACCTGAGCTGTGTTCCTGGCTGGGTTCTGCTGTGTATTCTGTGACCCAAGATGTCTATCTACCTTGGTAAACTGGAGACAACAAAGCCTGCCTCCTTCAAGGTTGTTTGTAAAGATTTAAAAGGGTAATGTATTGTTGTTAGGCCAGATGCTTTGCATAGTACATGTTAGGTTATTTTCACTTTTTTTTTTTTTTTTTGAGACAGAGTCCTACTCTGTTGTACAGGCTGGAGTCCAGTGGCGAGATTCCAGCTCACTGCAACCTCTGCCTCCCAGGTTCAAGCAATTCTCCTGCCTCAGCCTCTCGGGCTGCTGGGATTACAGGTGGCTGCCACCATGCCGGGCCAATTTTGATATTTTTAGTAGAGATCGGGTTTCACCATGTTGGCCAGGCCAGTCTCAAACTCCTGACCTCAAGTGATCCGCCCACCTCGGCCTCCCAACGTGGTGGGATTACAGGAGTGAGCCACCACATCTGGCCCATTTTCACTTTCCATTAGCTGCTTTTTTCCCCCATTCATTTCCTACCTTTCTGTGTATGATTTCTGAATTAAATGTATTTCATGTCTTAACCTTCTGAATTGTTTGTCCTCTCATTTTCCATGCTGTTAAGGAAAATAAGAGGCTAAGTGAGACGTATTAAATTTGCATGTAGTTTCTCAGATCAGGATAAATGCTCACCTGTTGCAGAACGGGACTCTGCTCTTGCTTCACCCAGGATGCCTTTCCTAGTTCCTTCCTAGAGTGGGGCCGCACCCTGCTCCAGCCCTCCAGACCCAGCTCCCTGCTCTGACATGATTCCACCAGACTGTATTCCAGCTGTCCTCCCTGGACCTAGATATTTTCCTTCTTCTTCTTTTTTTTTTTTTTTTTTTCCTGAGATGAAGTCTCACTCGGTGGTCCAGGCTGGAGTGCAATGGTGTGATCTCGGCTCACTGCAACCTCCGCCTTCCAGGTTCAAGCCATTCTCCTGCCTCAGCCTCCCAAGTAGCTGGGATTACAGGCACGTGCCACCAAGCCTGGGTAATTTTTGTATTTTTAGTAGAGACAGGGTTTCACCATGTTGGCCAGGCTGGTGTCGAACTCCTGACCTTGTGATCCACCCGCCTCGGCCTCCCAAAGTGCTGGGATTACAGGTGTGAGCCACCGCACCCCCCCAGCCAACATATTTTTATTAAAAAACTTATATGAAATTTATTTTATTGTGGTATGTAGTTCAGTAAATTTTGACCTCTATAGATTCATGTAACCCCCATCATCATCAGGATGGAGAATTTTCTTCACCCCAAAAGCTCCCTTGTGCTGCTCCTTTTTATCACGTGTTCCCTGGTCTCATACCCTGGCAACCACGGATCTGTTCTCCATCAGTATGGGGTATTCTTTTTGAGAATGTCATGTGAGTGGAACCATATTTTAAGTAACATTTTGAAACCATCTTCATTTACTCCCAGTTATATGTTTGAGATTTATGTGCTGTTCTGTGTATTAATAGTTCTTTTTATTGCTGAATGGTATTTCATCATTTGGATGTACCACATGGTGTTTATCCATTCTGCCATTGTAGGACCTTGTGGTTGTTTCCATTTTTCTTTCCCAATTGTAATCCTGCTGTGAGCATTACTATACAGATTTTATGTGAATATAGTTTCCATTTCCCTAGGATAAAGACCTAGTAGTGTGAAAGTTGGGTCATGTGCTGAACTGTTTTCCGAAGTGGCTGTTTTAGTTTGCATTCCCACTGGCAATCTGTCACGTTTCTGTTGCTCTGTGTCTTTGTTAGCACTTGGTGTTATCAGTGTTTTTTAGTTGAGCCATTCTAACAAGTCTAGTGGGATCTCATTGTGGTTTTAATTTGCACTTCCGTAATGGCTAAGAATGCTGAATATCGTGTTCTTCTTTGCCACTCTTGTATCCTCTGTGAAGTTTCTGTTCAGATCTTTTGCACGGAAAAAGCTGTATCATGGAACCAGTAAAATAACCAAGGAGAGGTTGATTAAAGTTCTGTTTATAACCCTAGAAGATTCCTGCCCTAGGGATATGGGATGGCTGAACGTAGGACACCGACACTGGACAGATGAAATAGCAGTTTATTAGTCACGCATGCTCACAGCCCTGGGGTGGGGGACACCGCATGCCATTCAGTTAATCATGTGTGTTGTAACTTTTCGGGGAGGGACATTTGCAGAGACTAATGGTATGACATTCTGAAAAGCGGTGACAGATTAAGAAATTTTTTAATTCTGCAGATGGTAGTGTCGAACCAAGTGGAACAAAGAAAGAAGATCTGAATGACAAAGAGAAAAAAAATGAAGACGAAACTCCTGCACCTGTATATAGGGCCAAGTCAATTCTGGAGACCTGGGTGTGGGTCAAGCAACCAGGTAATCTGAGTTTTGGCACTTTGGAAAGCTTGATCTGACGCTCCTTTTCTAAATAACTTGGATGGATTATTCGTATTTTTTGGTAACAATTTTAAAAAATGTAATTAAAAAAATTTAAATATCGTGGTAAAATATACATACCGTAAAACTTGCCATTTTAATCATTTTTATGTGTACAGTTCATTGGCATTAAGTATATTCACATTATTGCCCAGCCATCACCACCATCCATCTCTACAACTTTTGCCCTTTCTCCAACTGAAACTCCGTATCCATGAAACACTAACTCCTTCTGTCCCCAGGCAACCACCATTCTACTTTTGTCTCAGAATTTGACTACTCAAGGTGTCTCCTATAAGGGGAATCATACAGTATTTGTCCTTTTGTGACTGGGTTATTGAACTTCTTAGGTGTTTGGGGTTCATCCGCATGTGTCAGAATTTTCTTTTAAAGGCTCAATGCTATTCCATTATATATGTAAGCCACATGTTATCCCTTCATCAGTGGGCAATCAGGTTGCTTTCATCTCTTGACTGTTGTGAGTAATGCTGCTATGAACATTGGTTTACGAGTGTCTTGAGTGTCTGCTTTTAATTCTTTGTGTCTATACCTAGGAGTGGAATTGGTCAATAATGTGGAATGCTTACATATTTATTTTTTTTGAGATGGCATCTCGCTGTCACCCAGGCTGGAGTGCCGTGGCGCCGTCTCAGCTCACAGCAAGCTCCGCCTCTCGGGTTCACGCAATTCTCCTGCCTCAGCTTCCTGAGTAGCTGGGACTACAGGCGCCCGCCACCATGCCTGGCTAATTTTTTTGTATTTTTAGTAGAGACTGGGTTTCACCGTGTTAGCCATGATGGTCTCCATCTCCTAACCTCGTGATCCACCCGCCTCAGCCTCCCAAATTGCTGGGATTACAGGTGTGAGCCACTGCACCTGGCCAATAATGTGGTAGTTAGATTTATGTTTAACTTATTATTGTTGTTTTTGAGATTGGGTCTCACTCTGTCGCTCAGGCTGGAATGCGTTGATGTAATCATAGCTCACTGCAGCCTTGAACTCCTGGGCTCCAGTGACCTTCTTGCCTCAGCCTCTCAAGTAGCTAGGACTAGAGGCGCAGGGAATTTCTCATCTTCTCTCTACTGCCTCTGAGTTGGAGATGTCAGAGGGAGCCATGGCCCACTGTAAAGTAACACAATGTCCTCACCCACAGGGTTAGAACCCCTCTTCTGGTGGCAGCTCTGAGGGGAGCAGTCACATGTGGAGAGTGCAGGGCTCTGTGTCCAGCTGGGGGAAGGAGGTTACCAAGGGGATTGACCCCCCTCTGGCCAGGTGGCTGCCTTCTGACACACCAGTCTCTCTCTCTAGCACGGTGGCCCCTACACACCCAGCCTGTCAAACCTACAGCCCTCGGGAAGGCTTTGGCCAAATCCATGAGCGGCTCCCTCTGTTAAGAAGGAAGCACAGCTGAAGCATGAGGAGGGCAGTAGAGTGTGTATGCTCCGCCGCGTCTCCCCACAGTCTGACCAGAAGGAAGGGGCCTTTCAGCCAGGCTCGCCCAGGCTGGGGTTGGAGTGTCAGTATCAAGCCAATGTCTTCTTGCTTAATGAGTGAGCCCAGGTGCTCCCGTGCAGCTGCCACCGTAGTGAGGGTGAACCGGCAGGAGGCTCCACGGCACTTTCAGGCTCAGGCTGCCTGGTGAGATCTACTCTGTGGGCTCTGTAGGCTGGTAGAGGCTTCCAGGAGGAGGAGGGGATGCAGCCACCAGTCCCCACTCCTGGGAGTCGTATTTCTGAAAGCTTGGGTATACAGTAAATATTAGGCTGTGGGCTGGTTTATCTATGGATTTGATGTGGGAGGGTTATAGGTACAAGCAGTTTAAAGATGGAAATTTTGAGAGAACCCTTAGTGCTGGGTAAGGCAAGCAGGCTTGTCAAAGCAGCTCTTTTGGGGAGGCCAGAATCCTGTACCAATGTCCTCAGCATGTTCATCAGCTGCTGGGGGAGTGCCGGACAGGATGAAAGCACAGGAGAACTTTGTGGATGATAAAATGTTCCATATCTTCAAAGGAGGTGGGTTACATGGGTAATGCATTTGTTAAAAGTCATCAAAATGTAAACCAGATCTGTGCATTTCACGGAATATAAATTATACCTCAAATTAGAAACATTTTTAAAAAGACAGATGGGCTGGATGCAGTGGCACACGCCTGTAATCCCAGCACTTGGGGAGGCCGAGGCGGGTAGATCACATGAGTCAGGAGCTCGAGACCAGCCTGGACAACATGGTGAAATCCCGTCTCTACTAAAAATATAAAAATTAGCCAGGGGTGGTGGCATATGCGTGTAATCCCAGCTACTTGGGAGGCTGAGGCAGGAGAATTGCTTGAACCCAGGAGGTGGAGGTTACAGTGAGCAGAGATTGCACCACTGCACTAGAGCCTGGGCAACAGAGTGAGACTCCATCTCAAAAAAAAAAAAAAAAAAAGGTTTTCAACATTCATTAAAGGCAGAGTAGCTTGTTATAGACTAGCCTCCCCACAGGAACAGTTAGAAAAACTGGACAAAAATGTGTCCCCCCTTCCCCCCACCATCAAAAACAATTGTTGGAAGGTAATTGGGGACCTCAGCCAGGACTTGAGTGACCAGGCCTAGGAGGTGATCCTGACAGTCCTTAGTGCTTTTCCCACATTTGGTGATCGGTCAACAGTAGAGGGCTAAGAGGCTAAGAAACTGAGTATGAAGTGATAGTTAAGAGGCTGGAGAGCCTAGCTGAATGTTTGGCACTCTCACAGGGCTGAAATGACATAATGAGAATTTGGGTCCCAGTAAGGAGATGAGACCTTGGTGGGGATCCTGGAAGGGCCACCCCTAAGAGTCCAAAAGAATAAAAAATAGACCAGCTGTCACAAAAACTAAAACCTGCTTTGAGCCAGCTTAGTCCCAAACTAGATGAAGGCGATCTGCTTGAACGCCAATTGTGTGCCATAAAGTCAAAGTCAGTACTCTCTGGAGGCAGATAAAACTTTACTAGGCATGCCATAAGACAAGACAACGCAAGACAAAAGGAGAAAACAAACAAAAAAAACAATAGAAACATACATAGATATTAGAGTCCTCAGGTAGAATTTTTTTTTTTTTTTTTGAAATGGGAGTTTCACTCTGTCACCCAGCCTGGAGTGCAGTGGTGTGATCTCAGCTCACTGCAACCTCAACCTCCCACGTAGCTGGGATTGGTGATCCACCCGCCTAGGCCTCCCAAAGTGGTGTGATTACAGGTGCAGGCCACCGTGCCCGGCCAGTATTTTGCCACAATTTAAAATAAATTTTCTTTTTTTCAAGTTTGTTCTCAGACTGTATTCACAAGGTCACATGGCGGCTTACACTTCTGTAGGCCTTGTTGACCGTTCTTTTTAGATACTGATGATCTTGATCTTTTTCTTGTCTCCTCCGTAGAAGAATGGGATGCAGGAGGTGCTGCCTAAGCCTGGGCGCTCCTGGGCGTTCTTCATTCCAGGGGGCAGCTGCATGATCTGTGCAGTGCGGTTGTCATGGGAATAACCCTTCCCGGCCTCTCGTGCAGGCTCCAGGCTGCCAGGGTGGCTCATATCAGAAGGATATTTGGAGGGAGGGAGGCAGGGCTCTGAGCACCGCTCCTCCTGCGTCTTCTCCTGCTCTCCCATCCTCTCCTTCTTCTCCCGCCTCTTCTCCACCTGCCTCCGGATCTTCTCCTCCTCCTCCTGCATCTTCTCATACTCATCCCACAGCCTCTCCTCCTTGAATTGCAGCCTCTCCACCTGCTTCCGCATCTGCTCCTCCTGCTCCCCCATCTGCTCCTCCTGCTCCCCCATCTGCTCCTCCTGCTTCCTCATCTGCTCCTCCTGCTCCCCCATCTGCTCCTCCTGCTTCCGCATCTGCTCCTCCTGCTCCCCCATCTGCTCCTCCTGCTTCCGCATCTGCTCCTCCTGCTCCCCCATCTGCTCCTCCTGCTTCCGGATCTGCTCCTCCTGCTCCCCCATCTGCTCCTCCTGCTTCCTCATCTGCTCCCCCATCTGCTCCTCCTGCTTCCACATCTGCTCCTCCTGCTTTCGCATCTGCTCCTCCTGCTCCCCTATCTGCTCCTCCTGCTTCCACATCTGCTCCTCCTGCTTCCGCATCTGCTCCTCCTGCTCCCCTATCTGCTCCTCCTGCTTCCACATCTGCTCCTCCTGCTTCCGCATCTGCTCCTTCTGCTTCAGCATCTGCTTCTCCTGCTTCCGCATCTGCTCCTCCTGCTCCCCCATCTGCTCCTCCTGCTTCCCCATCTGCTCCTCCTGCTTCCGCATCTGCTCCTCCTGCTTCCGCATCTGCTCCTCCTGCTTCCGCATCTGCTCCTCCTGCTTCCGCATCTGCTCCTCCTGCTTCCGCATCTGCTCCTCCTGCTTCCGCATCTGCTCCTCCTGCTCCTGCATCTGCTGCTCCTGCTCCCGCAGCTCCTTCTCCTGGTCCCGCAGCCTCTGCTCCTGTCTCCACATCTTCTCCTCGTGCTTCCGTAGCTTCTCCTGATCCCGTAGCTCCTCCTCCTGCCTCCACATCTTCTCCTGCAAAGTGTTGGTTTGAACCTCAAAAGGAAATAGAGTCATAAGCTAGGTATATAAATGTAATCTATAAAATAACGGTTTTCGTCTATGATTCTTTAAAAAGAAATTTTAAGCCGTAACCCTGAGGTTCTGATTTCCCAGGCATGGTCCCAATTTGTAGATTTTTAGCACACTCTAGAGGATTCTGTGGTGGGACCAGAACAAGGACCCAAATTTTCCAGCTCTTGGCTGGAGCCTCCCCACACCCTGCATGATCCCTAGACCATGTCCCAGCCGGATGCGGCTCCCACACCCCCGGGGCTGCCGCCGCTCACCTGTGGCAGCGGGATTTTGTCCGTCTCCAGTTTCCTTTTTAGCTCCTTGATGTGGAGCTGGATCTCAGACTTTTCAGTTTCTACCAGTCGAAGTTTTTCTTGTAGTTCGGCATTTTTCTCCTTCAGCTCCTTATTGGTTATGCTATGGCCGGAGGCAGTAGAGAAAGGAATGAACGAAGAACAGAAAGGACCGCTTTGGTGATCGACCCTCTACCCTCGCCCCACAACCACAGAACCGTGGCACTGGAAGGGACCCCAGGAATTAAAAGTCCCAGGTGGCAGGCCAGAGAGAAGACATGAGTTGCCTGAGGCTACCCCATGAGTCAGTGGCACAGCCGGCACTGGAGCTTCCCTGCACACACATGTAAACCTGTATGACCCCCTACCATGCTCACCTGTACCCCCCACCTCCCAGCACACCACCCACGCTAAGGGCTCTCAGACCTCCCATCCCCCCCTCCCCTATCCTACATGTTCCTGAACAGCTCCAGACTCATGGCTTCCCTCTCCTTTGTTAACTCCTTGATGTACTGCAAACAGAGAAAGGTCAAGTCAGGATACAGCAGGCAGAGGAGCAGCTGGACGACCAGTAACGACAGCTACACTGATACTCCACAGTAACACTTGCTCCTCTCCGTCACACCCGACATGTTCTCAAGGCGTTTCCAAACCCGTGGTGTCATTTGTTTTTCTTTTCTTTTTTTTTTTTTTTTTGAGATGGAGTTTCGCTCTTGTTGCCCAGGCTGGAGTGCAATGGCGCGATCTCACCCCACCGCAACCTCCGCCTCCCGGCTTCAAGCGATTCTTCTGCCTCAGCCTCCTAAGTAGCTGGGATTACAGGCATGTGCCACTGCACCTGGCTCTCACTTGTTTTTCGGAGAACTCAGTAAGGGTGGAAGGCACAGAGAAAGAGACTGAATTGATAGCTGGCTAACAGGGGCCCAGAGCGATCAGATAATATTGTTATTGCTATTACTGTTATTATTACCACTGTTGGAACCTTTCTTGAGTGCTTCACCAGGCACTATGCTAACAATCCCATTTAATCCTCACAGCCACCACAGGAGACAGTTATCATTATCACCTCTATTGTGTAGATGAAAAACATGGGGTATTAAAGGTTAAGTGCTTGCCTAAGATCACTTAGAGCTGGGATTTCAACACCCAGGTATATCTGATTCTCTAAGCCCATTCTTTTGGTTGGGGGTAGGGGCACAGATAAGGAGGAGGAAATTAATCCTTTGTTGATTTTTGAAAGAATGATACATTGGCATAGTCCAAACCTCAGAAGGTACAGAAGGGAAATATCTTCCCCCAACACTGTTCCTCTCTCCTGAGTTTTTTATGAATCCTTACAAACATGTTTTATGTATATTACCATAATACGTACGTACACACACACACACACACACACACACACACACACACACACGTACATGTGTTCCCTCTCTCTACACAAATGGTAACATACTAAAGATACTCTTCTGTACCTTCATGGTACAAGTACCCTCAACTCCGCCTAGGATTTGACCAAGGCCACAGCCAAGTATGGGTGGGGTGGGCACTTGGCCTCCGAGCTCTGTGTCCAGTGCTCGCTCCCCACAGCGCCCCGCAACTCACCCACAGCAGCTGACTCAGCCCCAACCTGCCTCTAACAACCACGCACAAAAGCAGCAAGAAATGGCCCATGCTGTCTTCTGGGCAGGACACTGCATCCTGCAGAAGGGACCTTTAGGCTCATTCCTCCATCTGCGAAGCTGGGCTCCCAGGGGACCGGGTAGGTGGTTGGACTCACCTTGTCCGCCCTCTCGTGCTCTGCGGACATAGCAGAGAGAGCCCGCTGTAACTCTCCTGCAAAGTGCCAGGAATGATGCAGGCGGGCTGCCAGATCCTTGGAATCTTCTGGAATGAGAGAGGTTGAGCTGCAGCCCAAAGGCCTGTGAAAGTGCCAGGTTGAAGGATGACGGGGTGCCCAGATTCCCACCTTCAAATTTCCTGGCAGCATCCTGGCTGTCATGGAGCGCTGTCTCCAGTTCAGTTTTCTGACACATAAGGATTCGTATGGTATGATCCTGGGCCTTTGGGAGACAAGAAAAGCAAGTGCTGAAAGAGAAGCAAAGAAACCTTCTCCAGAGGACAGGAGGGAACTTCACACCCTCCACTCACCTCTAGCTGCCTCCTTAGGGCTTGCTGATGTTGGTGGCTTGCCTTATTTTCCTATAGAAAAGAAGAGGAAGACAGAGCTCTTACTAGAGGGAGGCAGAGATGGCACAGCAAGAGACATGCCCCCAGAATGGCCCCACTGTCCCAGGACAGGCCCACCCATGGGACCAGGTTATCAGGGACCCTGTGGGGATGGGGTGGAAGCTGGGAGGTGAGCCTTCCTCCCCAAGCTGGGAGTAGGCGAGACGAGACTGGGGCCTCTACATCTGAGTGCCCCCCAAACCCAGCGGTCATGTCGTGAGCAAAGAAAGAAACCATGTTACCTCTTTCAGCTGAGCTCGGTTCTGTTGTTTCTGTGGGGAGAGTCAAAGGAAGGTGACTGAGGGTGGTCCCTCGACTCTATTCCCCAGGCCAGGAAGCGGTAGGCAGGGGTCAGGAATGGATTTTAAGGGCAAAGTTCTCAGACCCAATGGGAACACAAACTGGTCAACTTTCCTTAACGCCCAAAGAAAAAGGATTTGGGTCTTTGTTGGCTTTTGCCCACAGCCACAGAACTGAAAGTCTGAAACTAGATTCTCTGGAAAAGACAGTAACATAAACCTTCCGACATAAGAGTGTGAGAAAAGCCCACCCTTCTGCCAGCTTGTGATGGAGAAAGATGTGTTCATTCAACAAGCATTGAGCAAGCACATAGGGGCCGGGGACGGTTCTTCACTGCTGGGATATAGGACGGAAAAGGCAGACAGGAGCCCTTGGCCCCAAGGTTTCCATTCTAGTGAATCTTTAAATCTCAGACTCTCAGAGCAAACAGAACCTCTGATACTCTAACTCTACCTCCTCAGGAAACGGAAGCCCAAAGAGGAGGGGAGCTTACAGCAGGCCCTGGACTAGGGATTAACACAAAAACAACAGCAACAAATCTGATTTAAGCTTCACACATGTAAGTAAAACATTACCATCCCCATTTTACAGATGTGAAAAGAGAGGCCCAAAGAGCTCGAGCAATTTTCCCTAAACCGTGTCCCTCGCAGTTGGAGAGAGAAGTAGGACTCAAACCCAGAATTCTTAGCCAGTACCCAGCAGTTCTTCCTTCCACAATCTTAACAGTTACCCTCGACCTCCCCCTTGTGCCCCTTGTCCTCAGGAGACCGGCCAGCCAAGACTCACATCCTCAGGCGAGTGGCAGCCCCCCGAAGTGGTTGTCTCAGGGTTAGCGCCATGATTTATTTTCTTCTTTTTGGTGTCGGTTGCTCCGGTACCAACACCAGCACTGTTCCACTGATGATAGTCTGTAAACTGTGGAAAAGAGGAGCAGTGATACTCATGAGAACTACAAGCTCCTACAGTCACTTTACAGTTTATACAAAATACTCTCATAGACGATCTGACTTAATGCCACCAACGACTGTACGAGGTGTTGTCGCAATCACTTAGTGACTGAGAGGGATTGATACCATGGCTAAAAGAAAGGCAATAATGGAACTGAAACTCAGTCTTCTGACTCTGAGCTCTGGGGTGTTGCCACAAATCAGCAGCTGCCAGAGACCAAAACCAGAGGCAGAGGTAGAAAAGTAAAAAGTAGGCAGGAAGGTGTACACTGTGTGGTTTACAGTCGTACATCCTCTTAGAGTCATGTATCCTCAGGGCAGAAGGCAGCCTTTCTGTTAAATGTGGGAATTAAACAGAAAGAGGACAACCCAAGCTGCATTTCAGAGAGAAGTCTTGTATACTCTTTGAAATCTATGTGACTATCATCCCTAAGAACATTAATGTTTTGTGTCTCCCACGAGAATCAAGGAAAACTGATGCTTCAGAAAGATGCCCCATATGTATCCTGTGGCACTCAAAGTACCCCAGGTTGAGATGAGATGAGGAAGATTCAAGTTGTCAAGTCCAGTTTCCCAAGATCTCTTGCACAGAAGATGAGCAAATCTCACTTCAAAGATCACTGACTGATGGGCACTCTGGTCCCAGAACCATGGAGAATTCAAATATGAAGTGGAGAACTTAGAAAAAACTGTTAAAGTCTCTCTGGAGAGTAGAAGCCTGGGAGAAAACCAAACCAAACCCATTATCCCATCAGTGCTGTGCCCAAGTTGCCTCTTTGAGATTGGCATGGGGTCACAGGGTTGGGACCCAGGTACTTGGAGACGTGAGCCCAAAGAGCCCAGGGAAGTCAGGCTTGGGGCAGCGGTAGGTGAGGGCCGAGTATGGAGTGGGGAGCCCCAGGAGTCACCTGCCCAAAGTCACCCTGGGGTGACTGGTGAGGGCAGGTGCTGGGGCATCCGGTTCCTTGGGAACGTGAGCCCGAAGGGCCCAGGGAGATCCATTTTTGGACAATAGGAGGTGAGGGCAGAGTACAAAGCAGGGAGCCCCACGAGTCACCGGCTGAAAGTCACCCTGGGGTGACCGGTGAGGGCAGGGGCAGGACTGCTGAGGGGTTGGGGCTGACACAAGATTTTGGTTGGGGGAGCCCAGAGGCACTGGGGGGGGCCCGGCCCTGCGTGCCTCTGGAGTGACACGGATTCTGGCAGCTGTTCTGCCATCAGAGGGGACCTGGGGCTGGGTTGGGGTTGGGGTGCTGCAATCCGATGCGTTTTACCTTTTTCTTGGTCCCAGCCAATTTTCTTTGTTGGGTTTTTTCGGACATCATGGGGTGGGGAGGGTGGTGGGGTTGGGGTCACATTGGCGTGATCCAGGCGAGGACAGTGATATGCCTCCAGTCACGTACCACACAGCTATGTGACTGAGCCACAGGAGGCGTCACCGGGGCTGCACTAGAATGCGGAAAAGGGGCGTGGCCTTAATGCTCCAAGCCCATTGGTCAATGAGAAAGATGAAAGGGAAAGGAGGCGGGGCCAGGCAGCTGCGGGTCATGAAGGTCCTGTGATGTCACAAGGAAAGCCTCCCATGGAACTGCTGTCCCCGCCCACTCTGGGAGAGGGGCGGGGCTGGCTTTCACTTACTTTTTTTTTTTTTTACATATATAACTTTTTATTATAATTTAAGGTATAGTCGATAATATAATGTTTTTTTTTGTTTTGTTTTGTTTTGTTTTTTTTAATTGATCATTGGGTGTTTCTCGCAGAGGGGGATTTGGCAGGGTCATAGGACAATAGTGGAGGGAAGGTCAGCAGATAAACAAGTGAACAAAGGTCTCTGGTTTTCCTAGGCAGAGGACCCTACGGCCTTCTGCAGTGTTTGTGTCCCGGGGTACTTGAGATTAGAGAGTGGTGATGACTTTTAACGAGCATGCTGCCTTCAAACATCTGTTTAACAAAGCACATCTTGCACCGCCCTTAATCCATTTAACCCTGAGTGGACACAGCACATGTTTCAGAGAGCACAGGGTTGGGGGTAAGGTCACAGATCAACAGGATCCCAAGGCAGAATAATTTTTCTTAGTACAGAACAAAATGAGAAGTCTCCCATGTCTACCTCCCTCTACACAGACACGGCAACCATCCAACCTCTCAATCTTTTCCCCACCTTTCCCCCCTTTCTATTCTACAAAACCGCCATTGTCATCATGGCCCATTCTCAATGAGCTGCTGGGCACACCTCCCAGACGGGGTGGCGGCCAGGCAGAGGGGCTCCTCACTTCCCAGTAGGGGCAGCCGGGCAGAGGCGCCCCTCACCTCCCGGACGGGGCGACTGGCTGGGCGGGGGGCTGACCCCCCCACCTCCCTCCCGGACGGGGTGGCTGGCCGGGCAGAGGGGCTCCTCACTTCCCAGTAGGGGCGGCCGGGCAGAGGCGCCCCTCACCTCCCGGACGGGGCGGCTGGCCAGGCGGGGGGCTGACCCCCCCACCTCCCTCCCGGACGGGGCGGCTGGCCGGGCGGGGGTTGACCCCCACCTCCCTCCCGGACGGGGTGGCTGCCGGGCGGAGACGCTCCTCACTTCCCAGACGGGGTGGCTGCCGGGCGGAGGGGCTCCTCACTTCTCTGACGGGGCGGCTGCCGGGTGGAGGGGCTCCTCACTTCTCAGATGGGGCGGTTGCCAGGCGGAGGGTCTCCTCACTTCTCAGACGGGGCGGCCGGGCAGAGACGCTCCTCACCTTCCAGGCGGGGTCGCGGCCGGGTAGAGGCGCTCCTCACATCCCAGACGGGGTGGCGGGGCAGAGGCGCTCCCCACATCTCAGACGATGGGCGGCCGGGCAGAGGCGCTCCTCACTTCCTAGATGGGATGGCGGCCGGGAAGAGGCGCTCCTCATTTTCCAGACTGGGCAGCCAGGCAGAGGGGCTCCTCACATCCCAGACGATGGGCAGCCAGGCAGAGACGCTCCTCACTTCCCAGACGATGGGCGGCCAGGCAGAGACGCTCCTCACTTCCCAGACGGGGTGGCAGCCGGGCAGAGGCTGCAATCTCGGCACTTTGGGGGGCCAAGGCAGGCGGCTGGGAGGTGGAGGTTGTAGCGAGCCGAGATCACGCCACTGCACTCCAGCCTGGGCACCATTGAGCGCTGAGTGAACCAGACTCCGTCTGCAATCCCGGCACCTCGGGAGGCCGAGGCTGGCAGATCACTCGCGGTTAGGAGCTGGAGACCAGCCCGGCCAACACAGCGAAACCCCGTCTCCACCAAAAAAATACGAAAACCAGTCAGGCGTGGCGGCGCGCGCCTGCAATCGCAGGCACTCGGCAGGCTGAGGCAGGAGAATCAGGCAGGGAGGTTGCAGTGAGCCGAGATGGCAGCAGTACAGTCCAGCTTCGGCACAGCATCAGAGGGAGACCGTGGAAAGAGAGGGAGAGGGAGACCGTGGGGAGAGGGAGAGGGAGAGGGAGACCGTGGGGAGAGGGAGAGGGAGACCGTGGGGAGAGGGAGAGGGAGAGGGAGAGGGAGAGGGACTCACTTTCTAAACTTTAAAACTTTATCACCTTAGTTGAGGTACAAATCCTGTTGTAATGGAAAATTTACAGCGTGCTTAATGATTAGTAAAGCAGATTATATTATCCAACATTCCAATAAGATAAAATAATCACAGTGATTTCTCTTTTTTGGAAAAAGTTTCTCTTATTCTCCTACATTATTGTTAAGTTTTTTTTTTTTTTAAACTAGAGATATGTCTAATATATTTTAAAACACAAAGCTTTTGAGGTGGGTGTGGTGGCTCATGCCTGTCATCCCAGCACATTGGTAGGCTGAGATGGGCATATCACCTGAGATCAGGAGTCAAGACCAAAATTTTAGTATTTTAGTGTGTATTTTAGTATTTATTTTAGTATTTAATACATCATTTAGGGCTACATGTAGCCACAGAAAGAATAAATCTGATTCAGTGACTTAAAGAAATATAGATTTCATTTTTGTCACTTAAAACGTGCAGAGGAAGGCAGTCCAGGGTTCTTTTCAGTTTCCTGATACTTCCTTAGCCTGGTTTCTATTCTTGTGGTCACAATGTGGCTGCTGTTTTTCCAGGCCTTGGATTGCCTTCCAAGGAGGGAAAGATGAAAGGTCAAAAGGCTGAGTTTGTCTCTTTTTAGCTGAAAAACACAGATTTCTCAAAAGTTGTAAAATTATACTGCAATTCAATTTTCATCCTTTTTTTTTTTTTTTTTTTTGAAACGCAGTCTTGCTCTGTTGCCAGGCTGGAGTGCAGTGGCACAATCTCGGCTCACTGTCATAATGTCCGCCTCCATGGTTCAAGTGATTCTCCTACCTCAGCCTCCCTAATAGCTAGGAATACAGGCGCATGACACCACGCCCGACTCATTTCTATTTGTATTTTTAGTAGAGACGAGATTTCACCATGTTGGCCAGGCTGGTTTTGAACTCCAGACCTTGTGATCCGCCCACCTCTGCCTCCCAAAGTGCTGGAATTAGAGGCATGAGCCACTGCGCCTGGCCTGCAATTTTCATCTTTTGGCTGCAAATAAGTTATGTCACTATTCTCAGCTGGGGGAGTGTTTAACTCACATGTTGCTTCCTCTCTGTTACACAGGTTTTAAGATTTATGAATAGGTACTGAATTGTATCAATTGCTTTTTTCTTTCTTGATTGAGCAGTGTTTTTTCTTATCTTTTTATGTTGATAAGGTAACTTAACAGTGATTGGCTTTTGAATGTTGAACATTGCATTTTGGAATTAAATCAACTTTGTTGTGATAAATGATTAATACCATATTATATATGGTTGAGATGGGTTTGCTCCTAGTTCATTTGGTAGTTTTGTACTTACGTTCACAAGAGAAAGTGGAGTCTAAGTTTTTCTGTGTGTTTTTTTTTTTTTTTTTTTTTTTTTTGCCACGGAGTCTCGCCCTGTTGTCCAGGCTGGAATGCAGTGGCATGATCTCGGCTCATTGCAAGCTCCGCCTTCCGGGTTCACGCCATTCTCCTGCTTCAGCCTCCCGAGTAGTTGGGACTATAGGCGCCCACCACCACCCCTGGCTAATTTATTGTATTTTTTTAGTAGAGACGGGGTTTCACCGTGTTAGCCAGGATGGTCTCGATCTCCTGACCTCGTGATCCACCCGCCTCAGCCTCCCAAAGTGCTGGGATTACAGGCGTGAGCCACTGCACCCAGACTTGTGAGGTTTTAATATGAAGTATTAAAGCTATGCTGGTTAGACAATTTGAGAAATGTTTCTTCTCCTATTTCTGACAGAGTTTATGTAAGATGTGTGCTATTTCTTCCTTAAGCATTTGGAAAGAATTCACTTATTAAGCCATGTGAGACTGTAGTTTTCTTTATAAGGTGTTTAATTACAGGTTCAATTACATATATATGAATATTCATTTCGGTAACCTGTGTTTGCTGAATCAATTTGTTCATTTTATCTAAAATTTCAAAGTTGTTCTATTATTCATTTATCTTTTTAATACTTATAAGGTGTGCGGTTAGAATTTGTGCCTTTTGTCTGTTTTGTTAATCAATCTTGCTGGGGGCCATCAATTTTATCAGTGTTTCAAAAAAGCAAACTTTGATTTTATTCATCCCTTTACCATACTAAAAATGTTTTGCTTAATTTCCAAACTTACACTTCCACTGTGATTAAATATTTGTATAACTAAAACTCTTTGGAATTTGTGTCTTCTCAATGATTAAAAATATGATTAATTTTTATAAATATTGCTTCTGCACTTGAAAAGGATATGTATTCTGCATGTTGAGCGTAGTGTACCACGTATCTCAATTAGACGGAGCGTGTTAAATGCATCCTTTAAAGATTCTATTTCCTTACTGATGTTTGTCTATTTTTCAGTGGCTGAGACACAGATATGAAACTTTCCCACAATCATCGTCAACTTATTTCTTTTTTTCGTTTGTTAAGCTTTGTTCTGTGTGTTTTAAGGTTAAGTTACCAGGCATAAACACATTTAGAATTCCTTTTTCTCCCTGCTGGTTGCACCCTTTTATCATTAGGAAATACCCTCTTTATCTCTCATATACCTCTTTCATTAGAGTTTTTTTAATATGTAAAAGAAAATAAAGTCTTGGAACGCCAAACCTGTTATGGTAAGGGAGACGTAAGTTTGGGAGCTTAGTCATGCAAAACTGCCATTCTTTCTCCCCAAAGAGATAGCTGCCATTTCACAACCCTGTGTGATGGCATTAGACATAAGCCAGGTCCCCACTACCACAAAAGGCCACATACCTCTCCATATGGCCCCCCTTACAAACTGTTCACAGGGACATTCCCTGCTAGCCCCTAAATCTTTCAGGATCCATGTCCCCCTATAAAATAAGCATATGCCAGTTGTAACCCTGGCTCTGCAACCTCAGTTTAAGATGTGACACTGAGTTCTATTCAATCTGACACTGACAATGTTGAATACAGGTTTATCTTCCCAGGTACAGAACAAGAACATGAGATCAAGCACTCTTCAGGCTATCCTGAGATGGCTTCATAATTGACTCTTTCCTCCCTCTTTTCAAATGTTTACCTCGTCTTATGTAAAATGAAGATTTACTGAGCACTAATTAGAGCTTCCTAAGAATGTAACCACCCCTTCACTGCCTGCTCCCCCTCCCTTTCTTCTCTCCTGCCTGCCTTCTCCCCTTACATACTGAGTTCCCAAAACCCTCTTTGGAAAGCACGGGTCACAGTAGTTTCTGTGGCTTGTGTTTTTTCCGGGGGTGTCGTCAAATTGTAGCTCCACAAAGCTCTATAGATGCAGGCACTTGCCTCAGTCGGTGGCTCATTTTTTGTTGTTTTTTTTTTCATTTAACAGCTATAAATACAGTTACCCTTGTTTTTATTTACTTAGTCTTTGCTTTGTCAGTCTTTGACTGTCAATTTTTCTTTTTTAAAAATAAATTTTCTTGTGTATAGTTAAAGCTTACAACATGATGTTAAAAGTTATATATAGATTGTAAAAAGATTCCTATACTGAAAGAAATTAACACACCAATCGTTTCACATAGTTCCCCATTTCCTTGTTGCTTTTGTGGCAAGAGCGGTTGAAATCTACTCATTGAGCATGAATTTCACATACAGAACAATTTTGTTCCCTGCAGTCCTCATGTCATCCATTACATCTCTAGACTTGTTCATCCTTCATACCTGCTACTTTGTGTCCTTTGGCCTCCATGTCCCCAATTCCTCCCCTCTCCTACCTCCCCTGGTAAACAATGTTTTGCTCTCTATCTCTGTAGATTTATTTATTTACATTTTTACATCCCACATATAAATGAGTTTATGCAATATTTGCTTTTCTGTGTATGCTTTATTTCACTTAGCATGACGTCCTCCAGCCTCATCCATCTTGTGGCAAATGGCAAGACCTTGTTTGTTTTAGGGCTGAATAATATTCCATTGTGTGTGTGTGCCACAGTCTCTTTATCCATTTATCCATTGATGGACACTTAGATTGTTTCCATATCTTGGCTATTGTGATTAAGGCTGCAATGAACATGACAATACAGGTATCTTTACAAAGTAATGATTTCATTTCCTTTGGGTGCATGTCCAGAAGAGGGATTGCTGAGTCATATGGTAGTTCTATTTTTAATTTCTCTAGAAATCTTCATACTCTTTTCCAGAATGGCTGTATCAATCTACATTCTCATCCATAGTATGCAAAAGTTCCCATTTCTCCACACTCTTGCCAACATTTATCTTTTGACGTTTTGATAATGGTCATAAGGGGTGTGAGGTGGTATCTCAGTGGGTTTGATTTGCATTTCCCTAATGACCTACAATGCGGAACACCTTTCAGATACCCACTTGCTATTTTTATGTCTTCTTTAAAGAAAGGTCTATTCGAGTTCTTTTTTAAAAACATTTTAAAAATTGGGTTATTTGTTTTGAGTTGTATCAATTATTTATATATTTTGGATTTTATTTTTTTTGAGACAGGGTCTGCTCTGTTATGCAGACTGGAGTACAGTGGCACAATCACAGCTTACTTGACCTTCTGGGTTCAAACATTCTCCCATCTCAGCCTCCCAAGTAGCTGTGACTAGAGGCGCACACCACTATGCCTGGCTAATTTTTAAATGTTTTGTTGAGACAGGGTCTCACTATGTTGGCAGGCCTGGACTCAAACTCCTGGGCTCAAGTGATCCTCCCACCTCAGCTTCTGAAAGTGCTGGGATTAAGCAGTGAGCCACTGCACCTGGCTAAATGTTGGATATTTACTCCTAATTGGCTGGGTGTGGTGGCTCACACTTGTAATCCCAGCACTTTGGGAGGCTGAGGCGCTTGGATCACTTGTGTTCGGGCATTCGAGACCAGCCTGGCCAATATGGTGAAACCCCATAATGGACTTTTGGCTTCTTTAACTGGGAAATGAGGATCGTGACCATCCCTGCCAAACAGGAGAGGAGATGGACTGATGTGTGTTGTGAGGCCCAACATGGTGAAACCCCATTTCTACTAAAAATACAACCAGCCAGGCATGGCGAGGCTGAGGCAGGCGAATTTCTTGAACCCGGGAGGCGGAAGTTGCAGTGAGCTGAGATCCCACCATTGTACTCCAGCCTAGGCAACAGAGCAAGACTTCGTCTCAAAAAAAAAAAAAGAAAAAAGAAAATTCACTTCAATAAATGGTGAGACCAGCTTTGCAAAGATGACAGTGAGAGAAGTCTAGCATGGCCGACTCCATCTTGCTTCCAGTCTCACGGGTCTGCTGTCTTTGCTCATTCCTGGGCATAGGCCAAATCAGCCATGGGAGAAATTTAGTTCATAGTCTAACGTTGCCATTTCCAGTCCTCGGGGGTCCCCTCTTTCCACTCCACGCTTAGTTATCAATTTGTTACTCTGCTTTAAAATGTATGTTGTTTTTTTGTAATCCCAGATACTCGGGAGACTGAGGCAGGAGAATCGCTTGAACCTGGGATGCAGAGGTTGCAGTGAGCCGAGATCGCACCATTGCACTCCAGCCTGGGCGACAGAACGAAACTGTGTCTCATAAAACAAATATAACTGAAATGGTAATGTGTTTCTTTAAAACTGAAGAAAATGTGCAAGGTGGATGTCTTCCTGTCACTTCGCACAGCCTACTGCCATAGCACCTGAGCCCCAGACCCTAAACTCACTGTCCTGCTCGGGGACCCCAGACCACACTGGCCATTGAAGGCACCCCAAGTACTCTCCTATCCTCACCTCGCTCCTGCAGTAAATGGCTAAATGAATAACTCAGAAGTGAAGCCAAAAAAGAAAAAGAAAATGCACATGGGGAACAGGAGAGGCGAGCAGAGGCCAGTCTGGAAGCCTGGGCTGATACGCTGTGAAGAGATGTCTCCGGGTGCTGCCTGCGGGGCGCAGTCTGCCATTCAGAACACACCTAGAGAAGTCCTAACCATTAAAGAGCACCCATTCCTGAGTCCCCTGCCTGCCCACAAAACTTTCCTTGAAACACCCTAACCTCTGAGCCTTTGGGGAGGCTGATTTCAGTGATAACTCCAGTCCTTCCATGTGGCTGGCATTGAGTTAATTCAACTCCTTACTGCAATACCATGGCCTCAGTGAACTGGTTTTGTCTGTGCAGCAAGCAGGAAGAACCCACCAGGGAATTACAATGGTATTGGGAAAACTGGATTTCCACGTGCAAATGAATGAATGATGTTACCCCAAGTGGTTGGGGATGCAATCATACGGGTGTGGAAATAGTCCTTATGCACTGAGTCCACATCTGGGTGGGGCCACAGGTTGAGTCCAGGTGGGGTAAGTCTGAGAAACATCCCAAAAGGCCAATTTTAGGTTCCACAATAGTGATGTTATCTACAGGAGGCACTGGGGAAGACACAAATCTTGTGACCTCTGGCCACATGACTCCTGAGCAGTAAGGGGTTACAGAAACTATGCCTGTATTTTCACAGAATTCAGGCCCCCACGCACCAAATCCTAATCTTGTGGCCTTTCATTCATCTTACAAAAGTGGGTTCAGCTCCTGGACAAGGACAGCATCAGTTTTAGGGAGGTTCTATTATCATCCTTGCTTCAACGTTAGCATAGCAGACAAGCGCAGAACCAGAAATTAACACGTGGGAAATTATACACCACAAATAGTACAATCCATGGAAGAACCAAGGGAATGGCGATAGCAGAATGTCAGGAAAGGACTTTGTAATGTGTAGGCCTTAGAGAAATAGGGAACTGAGACAAGAATCTATTTGAATTCTTGGAAATAAAAAATGTAATTACCATGTTGGCCAGGCTGGTCTTGAACTCCTGACCTCAGGTGATCCACCTGCGTCGGCCTCCCAAACTGCTGGGATTGCAGACATGAGCCACTGCACCCGGCCAAGAAGTGACTATTGTTTCTCCATTGTGTCCTCTTGATGCCCTTGTCAAAAATTAGTTGACCAGATATGTTTGGATTTATTTCTGAGCTCTCTGTTGTGTTACTGTCAATTTTTCCATATCCTGCTTTTCTTTTTCTTTTTTTGCTGCAAAAACTTTCTTCCCCTTTGGTCCACGGCTTGGGAGAAGGCTGGAGGGTGGTTAAAAAGCTGCCTACTGGCTGGAGAGAGAGGGTCAGGCAGAAGCCCTGATACCAGGAGGTGCAGAGGAACCCCTCAAAGGCTGCTGGGCTTTGGAGGCCCTGGTTGTGCTTGTGGGTAGGCTTTTGGAAAAGAGACTGGTGCAGGTGGGCCTGGGGGCTGGCCGGCCAGCAAAGGTAACTGCGGTGGTTGCCCATCATCTTGAAGAGTTTCATCTTCCCATTTAGGAAATGGCTGTCCTGAAAGTCACAGAGATGAAAGTCTGTGTGGGCAGATCCCAGGGCATGCGGATCCATAAGGGCCTGGTTCAGATTCTTCTCCAGGCAACGGTGGCTTTGATGGCATCCATGATTTTCCCCACTCATCTAGAGATGGCTTCTGTGCACCTTGGAAGATGGTGCAGCTGGTTTTGCACTTCCAAGAGACACACTGTGCCCTTGTGCTTCTATTGAACCAACTCATGGAAGAAGCAGCCAAAGCGCTCCAGAGCCACTCATTGTGGTTGAAATAGAAGCCCAGGGAATGGTAAGTGCAGGACACCCGCCGATGCACATGGACCAGGCAGCTGACTGCAGCTTCCTCCTCGGTGGAATCATTCTGACGAATCTGGGAGCTTGTGGTTGGTTGGCAATAAGGAGCTAACCTTATTTCTAACACAACGGTGTTGGCTGGTCCTGGAAGCAGGAGATGGCTGAGAAGATGGTCCTGGAGGTTGCAATTGGAGAGAAGATTGGAGGTTAGGAGAGGCTGGAAGAAAGGGAGTCCTCAGGTCTGTCCTATCCTAACACTGTTGAATCAAGGGACAGATGTGTGGGATCACTGGGAGTGCTGCCTAGACCTGCAATTTTTTTTTTTTTTTTTTTGAGACAGAGTCTCAGTGTGTCACCCAGGCTGTAGTGCAGTGGTGCAATCTCGGCTCACTGCAACCTCCGCCTCCTGGGTTCGAGCAATTCTCCTGCCTCAGCTTACCGAGTAGCTGGGAATACAGGCGCCCACCACCATGCCCGGCTAATTTTTGTATTTTTAGTAGAGACGGGTTTCACCATGTTGGCCAGGCTGGTATCCAACTCCTGACCTCAGGTGATCCACCTGCCTTTGCCTCCCAAAGTGCTGGGATTACGGGCGTGAGCCACCATGCCCGGCCTGGACCTGCATTTTTAATGTGTGTTTTTAATATGCAGAATATAGCTAAGAAATGAAATCCAATATATTTTGATTTTTATGTTATTTTGTTGTTTGGTTTTGGGGTCTTTTTTGAGACAGGGTCTCACTCTGTCACTTAGGCTGGAGTACAGTGGCATGATCATAGCTCACTACAACCTCAAATCCTGGGCTCACGCAATTGTCCCACCTCAGCCTGGGGCTATATGTGCACACCACCACGTCTGGCTAATTTTTTTATTTTTAGTAGACACGAGGTCTCGCCATGTTGACAAGGCTGGTCTTGAACTCCTGAGCTCAAGCGATCAGCCTGCCTCGGCCTCCCAAAGTACTGGTGTAAGCCACCAAGCCTGGCCTGATTTTCTCTCTTTTTTTTTTTTTTTTTTTTTTTTTGAGACAAGAGTCTTGCTCTGTCACCCAGGCTGGAGTGCAGTGGCGCGATCTCGGCTCACTGCAAGGGTTCTCCTCCTGGGTTCACACCATTCTCCTGCCTCAGCATCCTGAGTAGCTGTGACTACAGGTGCCCGCCACCACATCTGGCTAATTTTTTTGTATTTTTAGTAGAGACGGGGTTTCACTGTGTTAGCCAGGACGATCTCCTGACCTCGTGATCTGCCTGCCTTGGCCTCCCAAAGTGCTGGGATTACAGGTGTGAGCCACCATTCCCGGCCCCTGATTTTCATTTTTTTAATGCATTACTTATCATCTTTTCTCCCTGACACCTTTTTTCTCTTTTTCCTTGATATTCTGAAGTTTCTTTCTGTATGAGTGCGTGAGCATGTGCATACAGGCACACACACAACTCTGTACAAGTTCTGTCCAGCTGTCAGTTCAGTAATTGCTGAATTGTTAATTTCAGTCACTATATTTTTTATTTCCAGGGATTCAAATTGATTTTTGTCTCAGTTCCTCCTCTATTTCTCTAAGGTCTACATATTATAAAGTCATTTCCTGACATTCTGCTATCACCATTCCCTCGGTTCTTCCACGGATTGTCCTGTCTATTTGTGGTATATAACTTCCCCACGTGTTAATTTCTGGTTCTGCCCTTGTCTGCTATGAGAGGCTTCTCTAGGTGTGTTCTCAATGGCAGACTGCTCCCCACAGGCAGCCCCTGGAGACATCTCTTCACAGTGTATCAGCCCAGGCCTCCAGGCTGCAGATGGCTGTGGCCTCTGCTCGCCTCTTCTGTTCCCCATGTGCATTTTCTTTTTCTTTTTGGCTTCACTTCTGAGTTATTCATTTAGCCATTTACTGCAGGAGCGAGGTGAGGATAGGAGAGTGCTTGGGGTGCCCTCAATGTCCAGTGTGGCCTGGGGTTCCCCGAGCAGGACAGTGAGTTTGGGGTCTGGGGTTCAGGCACTATGGCAGTAGGCTGTGCAAAGTGACAGGAAGACATCCACCTTGCACATTTTCTTTTTTTTTTTTTTAAAGAAAGACAATATCAAGTCCACAGGGGTCCCCTCTTTCCACTCCATGCTTAGTTATGTATTTGTTACTCTGCTTTAAAATATATGTATTTTTTGTAATCCCAGCTACTCAGGAGACTGAGGCAGGAGAATCGCTTCAACCTGGGAGGTGGAGGTTGCAGTGAGCCGAGATCATGCCACTGCACTTCAGCCTGGGTGACAGAACAAAACTCTGTCTCAAAAAACATATATATATATATATATAAAATCCATGTCTAATGATGTTCTATAGAAGAAAGAGATGTAACGTGGTCACGCTGCCATCTTGACAGTGGAATTTTTTTGTAGTTGTTTTTTGTTTTGAGACAGAGTCTCACGCTTATGGCCTAGGCTGGAGTGCAGCAGTGCCATCTCGGCTCACTGCTACTTCTGCCTCCCGGGTGCAAGTGATTCTCCCACCTCAGCCTCCTGAGTAGTTGGGATTACAGGCGTCTGCCACTACTCCCAGCTAATTTTTGTATTTTTAGAGGGACAGGATTTCGCCATATTGGCCAGGCTAGTCTCAAACTCCTGACCTCAGGTGATCTGCCTGCCTTGGCTTACCAAAGTGCTGGGATTACAGGCATGAGCCACCGTGCCCGGCCAACAGTGGACTGCTTTTGTCTGTCTACTCTGTGAAATAGTAAGACCTCGCAGGCCAGGAGCTCAATATGGATCCAGACCGGAGTGAGGATGGCAGAGGCGCAGCGGCGTCAGGGCCTGAGTCCGGGTCCTCCGGCTCACTCTGGCCACACCGCGAGGGTCTTCTCTTGTGCCTAATCAGCCCTCCACACTGGTGTTGGCTGAGGTGTCCACTCCTTCCAGGGTTTTGGATCTCTGGTGCAAGTTCCATTGTCTCAGCATCAACTTGTCCCGGGCCCAGCCTACCCAGCTGGCTGTGTCCTGTCTTGGAGTGGCCAAGCCACTCCCACGAGGGCTGCAGGCAGTTCTGTGAGGCCGCTGCCTGAGACCACTCAGCCTCACTGTCTTTACTGACCCCACGTGATGGCCTGGGGATTTCTCTCAGCCCTAGGATGTCAAAATTCAGTGGTTCTCAAAGGTCAGTTGTGCAATCGAACCACCGGGGGAGTTTTTAAATTACAGATTTCCTGGCACTGCATCCCAGAATGTCTTATTCTGCGTAAGTCTGGAGTGAGGCCTAAGAATGTCCATGTCTGTCTGTCTTTCTTTTTTCTTTCTTTTTCCTTCCTTCCTTCCTTCCTTCCTTCCTTCCTCCCTCCCTCCCTTCCTCTTTCTTTTGTTCTTTCGTTCTTTCGGCTCTTGCTCTGTTGCACAGACTGGAGTGCAGTGGTGCGAACATAGCTGGCTGCAGCCTCAATCTCCTGGGCTCAAGAGCTCCTCCCACCTCAGCCTCACAAGTAGCTGGGACAACAGGAGCACACCACCACACCCAGCTAATTCAAAAAAAAATTTTTTTTTTTTTGAGACTGAGTCTCACTCTGTCACCAGGCTAGAGTGCAGTGGTGCAATCTTGGATCACTGCAATCTCTGCTGGCTGGGTTCAAGCAATTATCCTGCCTCAGCCTCCTGAGTAGCTGGGATTACAGGCGCCTGCCACCGCACCCTGCTAATTTTTGAAGTTTTAGTAGAGACAAGGTTTCACCATGTTGGTCAGCCTGGTCTTGAACTCCTGACCTCGTGATCCACCCACCTCGGCCTCCCAAAGTACTGGGATTACAGGCCTCAATGAGCCACTGACTGCGCCCGGCCTTCAAAAACTTTTTGTAGAGATGGGGTCTCGATATGTTGCCCAGGCTGGTCTCCAACTCCTGGCCTCAAGAGATCCCCCAACCTTGGCCTCCCAAGCTACTGGGATTCCAGGCACGAGACACTGGGCCTGGCCCTAGAATTTTCATTTTTAACCAGGTACCAGGTGAGGCCAGTGTTGCTGGTTGAGGGACCACAGTCTCAGAACCACCACCCTAGAGAGAGGAATAGGGAGCTGTTTTTCCTGTTTCTCTCTTACCTTGACTTTGGAAGAATCGAAGCCAGGACTTTGACATATTTATTCTCCGGTTTCACTGGCATGGGGATCATGCTCACAGCTAATGGTGTGAACTGGAGGATGGGGAGAAGTGTGGGCTTCTGGGGGAAAACCCACTAAATGACCATAATACCATTGGTTAAATTTAGCTGGTATTTAAGGGGATGGTCTCTTTTATCCAAGAAGATATATACACATATAATTTTAGAAGTTACTACTTCTTTCTTTTTTTTTTTTGTGAGATGACGTCTCACTCTGCAGCCCAGGCTGGAGTGCAGTGGTGCTATCTCGGCTCGCTGCAAGCTCTGTCTCCCAGGTTCAAGCGATTCTCCTGCCTCAGCCTCCCAAGTAGCTGGGACTACAGGTGCCTGCCCCCACGTCCAGCTAATTTTTTGTATTTTCAGTAGAGATGGGGTTTCACCTGTTAGCCAGGATGGTCTTGGTCTCCTGACCTCGTGATCTGCCCGCCTCAGCCTCCCAAAGTGCTGGGATTACAGGCACGAGCCACCGCACCCAGCCCCTACTTTCTTTTTTGTAGTTACTCCCTCTGAGATCCCTTCGACAGCAGACTCTGAGAGTTGGATGGGATCTAGTACAGGCACCTAGAGAACATTAATACCACACACCTGGATCAGAAGGCCCCATAGAAGTGAAAAACTGAAGAACTTCAGATGCCTCAACTGACTTCACAGGCTGCAGATGGAAGAAAACCAATTCCAGGGAGCCCTGTCTGCCTGTGTTGTTTGTGTGAGTTACTTAAGCAGCCAGATCAAGGGCTGGCCGCCCCTCCAGGTGATTCCCAGCCTCCACCACCTTCTCTTGCAAATGCTCCCTCAGTACTATGTAGACAATCAGAGAAATAATCAACATTTTATAGATGGCCTGACATACTCTTTGTGTATGTGATTTGCTAGCTTGGTATTTTAAATATGCTAAATCCAAGACATGCGTTAAAATTTAAAACCCCGCTAAGGTGTAGGAGGAAGGCACGGCGTATAGTAAATGTAAGAAGTTAATGGTTCTCATAGCAACAGCAGAAAACATAGTTGAGCTTTTCCCACAAGCCTGGCCTTCATTCAGCATTGGATGTCTCAGGGAAGGGCACCATCTTTCTTCAAGATGCAAGAGTCAGAGACTGAAGGCCAATGCTGGCACTGCCTCTCCCTCGGCAACTTTCTATCTGAGAGCACGTGTGCGCAGGCGCGCACACACACACACACACACACACACACACACACACACACACAGGGCTCACAAAGGCCTCTTTTTTGAGCCTTTCAAACAGCTCTCAGTCCATGTGCTGCACTCCATCTCCCCATCCCCCTTCATCTGTGTGCATCCGCTGTGGTCCACACAATCCAATCCATTCTGCACTCAGCAGCCAGTGTGATTTCTTTTCTTTTTTTTTTAACAATAACCTTAACACAGATAATGTTAGTAGCTCTTAAGCATGTCAGGAGATTCTCTACCTCACACATAAGAAGGGCAGGACAGGCCGGACACGGTGGCTCATGCCTGTAATCCCAGCAGTTTGGGAGGCGGAGGCGGGCGGATCATGAGGTCAGGAGATTGAGACCATTCTGGCTAACATGGTGAAACCCCGTCTCTACTAAATATACAAAAAATTAGCCGGGCGTGGTGGCGGGCGCCTGTAGTCCCTGCTACTAGGGAGGCTGAGGCAGGAGAATGGCTTGAACCTGGGAGGCGGAGGTTGCAGTGAGCCGAGATCACACCACTGCACTCCAGCCTGGCGACAGAGCTAGACTCCATCTCAAAAAATAAATAAGTAAATAAGGGCAGGACACTCTCAGGTCTCGCTGAAATGCTGTTTCTCCATGGTCAGACTGGTGACATGAAAACATTTGATGACACAGCTGACAATTGTTGGGGAAGCAGACACTCTCATCTGCCGGTCACAGCCATGAAAACAAGGAAGCCTCTATCCCACCATACCTTGTCATGGGAGTTGGATAACATTTATCAAAGCTAGACACTCATATGCTTTTGGACCCACTTCTAGAATCTATCTGATCACACAACATGTTATATAGTGATGGTTATTCAGCACCTTTGTTTGTAAAATAACCTAGGTGTTCATCAGTAGGGGATGGGTGAAAAGGTAGGAGGATACATTCATATAATGGAATTCTATATAGCTGTGAAAAACAATGAAGGAATCTTCTACGTACAGACACAGAATGTTCTTTAAGATAAACTGTTATGTGAGAAGAGCAAGTTGCAGAATGGTATTGAGAACCAATACATATTTGCTCCCACTTGCATAAAATCTTTCTGGAAGGGGACAGCAGAAACTGATGATATGAAGCCATACTAAAGGAACTGGGTGTCTGTGGAGAGGAGACTTTTTCCTATGTCCTTTACTGTTACTTTAGAATTGTATTTAATTACTTTTAAAACAGAGACAGGGTCTTGCTATGTTGCCCAGGCTGGTCTTGAACTCCTGGGTTCAAGTGATTCTCAAGCTTTGGCTTCCCAGAGTGCTGGGATTACAGGTGTGAACCACCCCACCTGGCCTGAAATGTTAAAACCACATTCCTGTGTTACCCATTCAAAATATAACTACACAAAAATGTATAAAATGTATCATGTTGATATAGCTTGCACATGTGTCCCCTCCAAGTCTCATATGGAAATGTGACCCCTAGTGTTGATGGCTGGGCCTAGTGGGAGGTGTGTGGGTCATGGGGGCGGTTTCCTCGTGAATGACTTGCTGCCTTCCCTGCAGTCATGAGTTCACAGGAGAACTGGTTGTTAGGAGACTGGGACCTCCTCCTCTCGTTCCTTCTCTCACCATGGGACACACCTGCTCCCCCTTCGCCTTCTGCCGTAAGTAAAAGTTTCCTGGAGCCTTAACACAAGCACAAGCAGATGTTGGTTCAATGCCTTTTTTTTTTTTTTTTTTTTTTTTTTTTTTTTTGGGAGAGGGAGTCTTGCTCTGTTGCCCAGGCTGGAGTGCAGTGGCACGATCTTGGCTTACTGCAAGCTCCACCTCCTGAGTTCACGCCATTCTCCTGCCTCAGCCTCCTGAGTAGCTGGGACTACAGGCGCCTGCCACCACGCCTGGCTAATTTTTTTGTATTTTTAGTAGACACGGAGTTTCACCATGTTAGCCAGGATGGTCTCAATCTCCTGACCTCGTGATCCACCCACCTTGGCCTCTCAAAGTGCTGGGATTACAGGCGTGAGCCACTGTGCCCAGCCCCATGCTTCTTATACAGCCTGCAGAACTGTCAGCCAATTAAACTTCTTTCCTTTATAAATTACTCAGTCTCAGGTATTTCCTTTTTTCTTTTTTCTTTTTCTTTTGGGATGCAGTCTCTCCCTGTCACCCAGGCTGGAGTGCAGTGCTGCGATCTCAGCTCACTGTAACCTCAGCCTTCCGGGTTCAAGTGATTCTCCTGCCTCAGCCTCCCAAGTAGCTGGGATTACATGCATGTGCCACCATGCCCAGCTGATTTTTGTATTTTTAGTAGAGACGGGGTTTCACCATGTTGGCTAGGCTGGTCTCGAACTCCTGACCTCAGGTGATCCGCCTGCCTTGGCCCCCCAAAATGCTGGGATGACAGGCCTGAGCCACCATGACGGGCCAGGTAATTTTTCATAGCAACGCAAAGTGAACTAATACACATGTCAATACCCACAATGTACCTGATATATAGCAGCCCGTCAGTATTTGTTGAAGGAAAGAAATATGCCACCCTGGCCGGGCGCCTTGGCTCACACCTGTAATCCCAGCACTTTGGGAGGCGGAGGCGGGTGGATCACGAGGTCAGGAGATCAAGACCATCTTGGCTAACACGGTGAAACCCCATCTTTATTAAAAAAAAATACAGGCCGGGTGCGGTGGCTCATGCCTGTAATCCCAGCACTTTCGGAGGCCAAGGCTGGCGGATCATGAGGTCAGGAGATTGAGACCATCCTGGCTAACACTGTGAAACCCCATCTCTACTAAAAATACAAAAAATTAGCCGGGCATGATGGCTGGCACCTGTAGTCCCAGGTACTCAGGAGCCTGAGGCAGGAGAATGGCGTGAACCCGGGAGGCGGAGCTTGCAGTGAGCCGAGATCGCGTCACTGCACTCCAGCCTGGGCAACAGAGCGAGTCTCCATCTAAAAAAAAAAAAAAAAAAAAAATAGGGCCGGGCGCGGTGGCTCACGCCTGTAATCCTAGCACTTTGGGAGGCCGAGGTGGGCGGATCACGACGTCAGGAGATCGAGACCATCCTGGCTAACACGGTGATACCCTGTCTCCACTAAAAATACAAAAAATTAGCCGGGCGTCGTGGTGGGCGCCTGTAGTCCCAGCTACTCGGGAGGCTGAGGCAGGAGAATGGCATGAACCCGGGAAGCGGAGCTTGCAGTGAGCCGAGATCACGCCGCTGCACTCCAGCCTGGGCAATAGAGGGAAACTCCGTCTCAAAAAAAGAAAAAAAAAATTTCAGAAAACTTAGCCCGGCATGGTGGCAGGTGCCTGTAGTCCCAGCTACTCAGGAGGCTGAGGCAGGAGAATGGCGTGAACCCGGGAGGCGGAGCTTGCAGCGAGCTGAGATCGCACCACTGCACTCCAGCCCGGGTGACAGAGTGAGACTCCGTCTCAAAAAAAAGAAAAGAAAAGAAAAGAAATATGCCATCCCACTCCGGAATATGCTCTGTATTCGTTACCTATAGCTGCATAACAAATTACTCCAAAACATGGCAGTTAAAACGATGTACATCTATTATCTCCCAGTTTCTGCTGGTCAGGAATCTGGATGCCTGTGGCTCACAGTCCTTGGCAGGTTGTAGTTAAGCTATAAGCAAGGTCTGCTGTCACCTGAAGGCTCACCTGGGGCTGGAGAAGCTCCTTGCATGCACATGGAAGTAGTGTTCACAGGGCAGTCCTCATGAGATCCATGTCCAAGTTTACTCACCCACCTGGTTGCTGTCAGGCCTGGGTTCCTCAGTATCTGGGCCACCCCACAGGCTGCATGAGTGTCCCCACCATGCAGCAGCTGGTGAGTCAAGAAAAAGAGAACAAAAGAGGGCATGCAGAAATGGAAGTCATAGTATTTCCTTTGTAAACAAGTGTCAGAATTCACATCCCATCCCTTCTGGAGAATTATTATTATTATTATTATTATTATTATTATTATTATTTTGAGACAGAGTCTCGCTCTGTTGCCCAGGCTGGAGTGCAGTGGCGTGATCTCGGCTCACTGCAAGCTCCGCCTCCCGGGTTCATGCCATTCTCCTGCCTCAGCCTCCTGAGTAGCTGGGACTACAGGCGCCCACCACCACGCCCGGCTAATTTGCTAAATTTTTTCGTATTTTTAGTAGAGACGGGGTTTCACCGTGTTAGCCAGAATGGTATCGATCTCCTGACCTCGTGATCCACCCGCCTCGGCCTCCCAAAGTGCTGGGATTACAGGTGTGAGCCACTGCGCCTGGCCCCCTTCTGGAGTATTTTGTTCACTAGAAGTAACTCAGGTAGTCCAGCACACACTCAGAGGGAGGGGATTACACAAGACCATGGATCTCAGGAGGCATGGGCCATCAGGGCCATTTTCACGGCCACCTACTACCTTCTCCAGAGGCTTTACTGTTCTTCCCTGGGATGCCCTTCACACACCCTCCTGCCTCTCCAGCCTCCTCTGCATGAGCCTCTCTCAAATTCCTCAAAAGCACTTTACTCCTGACAGCTCCAGGTCTTTGCACATGCTGTTCCATTGCCTGGAATGCCAACTCAAATGGAAGGGAAGAACACCCACTCTCCCACGAGGAGTTTTCACAGTACCGCGTTCCCATCCTTCCTTGGGCATGCCTCATTTGTAATTTCCCTTTGAATGGTCATTGGATTAATAGCCATCTCTCCCAGAAAGCTCTGAGGGGGCAGTGAGCATGTCTAGTTTTGCTTCAATGACATCCCCAATGCCTAGCATGAATTTCATGGTAACTACCCAATAAATATTAGGTGGAGGAATCCATTCTCTTCCTTGAATCAGTCAGAGTCCCAGTAGAAAACAGATGGTACTTTCAGATGGGATAAATGAGGAGTCTTTAGTGAAAGGACTATTTACAAAGGCGGGGCAGGGTTAAGTGCCATCAACAAAATAGCCCCTTGGGGCTAGCACCACTGGAGAGCTATGAGCACTCCCAGGCCTAAAGGAGCAAGTGAAGGGAAGGATTACTGGAATCCAGCGAGGCCTGCAGTTGGGGGAGAGAGCTGAGTGCAGGAGCTAGAGTCTCTGGTAGGACAACAGGGCCAATTCATAGTGCTAGGGAAGGAGGAGAGCTAGGACCACATGCACCAGCATCACCCTCCACTCCCTGCAGTCTTTTTCAGTATCTCCCACTGGGCAAACCCAGCTGGAGGCCAGAGGGCCAGGGATCCCATGGGTCTGTCCTCAGAGGTCAGTTTTTCAGGTGCAGAGCAGTGGGGAGGTCTGGAGAGCAAGCAAGGAGCTACCCCATGCAGCCACCACCATACCCTCCTGCCCTGCGTCTGGAGGAAGTCTCATCAGTACCGTATTATTGCACAATTGTGTCAACTCAGTCGCATTCTCACTTGGAACCTAAAATGTTAACCAGTTTTGTTCATATGAGGAAATGGGGAAAAGAAAGAGTTAACTAACCCAAAGCATACTAGGTGTCAGGGACTATGCTGTTTTGCTCTAGTCTGGAAACACATCTGGAGTATTTCTAAGCCATCTCTGAAATGACAGCTGCAATTGGCGCCACTACCAGGTCAAGCTTATGACCATCTGTTGTCATTTTCCAAGATTCATATTCCATCTACACAGGGCAAAGAGGGGGCCGTAACGGGTATCCCACCCCGCTCTGTTCCAGGCTGTTGTGGTGACAATGGTGTCTGAGGCTTCCCTGCACACAGCGCCTCCTGGTTCACTAACCCAGGAGGGAGGAGCAGCTCTTCGGCCCTCCCTACTATAATGGCCCTCATCCCATGGGTCAGGGCAGCCCATGCGGGGACTCTTTTTTTTTTTTTGAGACAGAGTCTCCCTCTGTCGCCCAGGCTGGAGTGCAGTGGCGCTATCTTGGCTCACTGCAAGCCTGCCTCCTGGGTTCATGCCATTCTCCTGCCTCAGCCTCCCGAGTAGCTGTGACTGCAGGCACCCGCCACCATGCCCGGCTAATTTTTTTGTATTTTTATTAGAGACAGGTTTTCACCATGTTAGCCAGGATGGTCTCGATCTCCTGACCTCGTGATCCTCCCGCCTCGGCCTCCCAAAGTGCTGGGGTTACAGGCGTGAGCCACCGTGCCCAGCCCCCATGTGGGGACTCTTTGAGAGGCCGCACTTATTCATTCCCAAGATACATCCCAGAACTGGGGCATAACCATGGGGTAGACCTGCAGACCTGCTGGGCCCACTGTGAGTCAGATTTGGAGCAAAACTCCATTATCACCTGACTACCATAAACCCCGACTTTGACTGATAGCACACACTGGCATTTTGCTTCCTAAGAATATTCTAAAAATTTCATAATTTTTTTTTTTTTGAGATGGAGTCTCACTCTGTCACCCAGGCTGGAGTGCAGTGATGAGATCTCGGCTCACTGCAACCTCCGCCACCCAGGTTCAAGTGATTCTCCTGCCTCAGCCTCCCGAGTAGCTGGGATTACAGGCACCTGCCATCGCACCAGGCTAATATTTGTAGTTTTAGTAGAGATGGGGTTTCACCATGTTGGCCAGGCTGGTCTTGAACTCCCGACCTTGTGATCTACCCACCTCGAACTCCCAAAGTGCTGGGATTATGGGCGTGAGCCACCGCACCCGGCCAAAATTTCATAAGATTTAATGTCATTTTAGAGCCCATGTCCAGAAATCCCCCAAAAGGTCGTGGCATGTCCTTTTTTTTCCACGCACACAAGACCTCCATACATGGCCAAATGTCCCTATGGGGAAGAAGTGGACGAAGATTTACAGCACATATTTGTGACAATGTCACAGTGTCCTTCCTTGGGACACTGAGCCTCCTCTTCAAATCAAGGGACTCTGAGTCTGTGAACTAGTTTCAATGTGGAAATTTGCTGTATGTATTTCATTCCTTGAGGCCCATTAGCAACTGGCAAAGGTCATGTGGGTCAAAGCGTTCTGGTGATCTCTGTCTTCCTGCCCATTACAACGAATACACCCCCTTGTCTTTGGTGGTTCAGAACTGCTACCTGCCGTTGTGGAATTCCACCATCATCCATGAAACCAGGGGAACCATCTCAATAGTGACGCTGCCCACTCTCAGACCTGGTCCAGGGAGGAGAGCAACCACAGGGTATTTAAGTAAGAGCTGTATTTAAGTATTTAAGCTCTTTAGATATGGGAGAGCTGGCAGTTTCCACCAGCAAAGCAAAGACGTGGGTTCAGACAGGCTCAGGGTTCAAGATTCGCAACTCCACCTGCGTCTACTCAGATGAATGTGGACAGCCTCTAGAAGCTGGAAAAGGTGGCTGCATGTGGTGGCTCACACCTGTAATCCCAGCACTTTGGGAGGCCGAGGCGGGTGGATCACGAGGTCAGGAGATCGAGACCATCCTGGCTAACACGGTGAAACCCCGTCTCTACTAAAAATACGAAAAAATTAGCTGGGCACATTGGCAGGCGCCTGTAGTCCCAGCTACTCGAGAGGCTGAGGCAGGAGAATGGCGTGAACCTGGAAGGCAGAGCTTGCAGTGAGCCGAGATAGCGCCACTGCACTCCAGCCTGGGTGACAGTGTGAGACTCTGTCTCAAAAAAAAATAAAAGAAAAAAGAAAAAAAAGAAGAAGCTGGAAAGGGTGAGGAAGTCATCTCTCCTAGAGCCTCCACAAGGAAGAGAGTCCTGCCATCACCTTGGTTTTAGTCTATTGAGACCCATGTCACACTTCTAACCCATAGAACTGTGGACTGATCCATTTGTGTTTTAAGCCCTGGAGTTTGTGGTGATTTGTTATAGCAGCGGCAGGATACTGATACACTCACCTTCCCCTAGAACCTAGGAGATGGCTCCAGGGAAGTCTTGCCTCAACTCCTCTCCAGGAGTCGTGTCTTCTGCCATCTGTCACATACCAGGAAGTGGCACTCTGAGTAGAAGTCCTGAATAGCCCTTCTCTCGGAATAGCTCAATCATTTGCCCAAATTATCTCAGATGTTCAGTGACTTATGGGCATGGATGTCCAATGATTAAGTGGGGAAGATGCCAGCCTTAACCTCTTGTTGTTATTAATTCATTATATACAAACAGTCATTGTCTATGGGGAAAATCTAGCTTGGGAGGCTTCGTGGGATGAGCTTCAGACCTGTGGCTGCAGTTGGTCCTGAGGCTATAAATGATATATTGAACAACTCCCTCCATGTTACAGGTTAAGTTTTGTCCCTATAAATATTCTTATGTTGAAGTCTTAACTCCCAGTATCTCAGAGATAGGGTCTTTACAGTGGCGATCAAGTTAAAATAAGGTCATTTAGATGGGCTCTAAGCCAATGACTGATGTCCTTATGTAAAAAAAGAAATTTGGATACAGACACAGCCAGCCTGTCACTTCAGAAGGCTAAGCCTACGCTCCATCAGGCCAGAAACTTCTGGCTGGTGTGGAATCTGGCGGGAGCATGGGTGTGGACCTTATGGCCACGTTCCCATTGCTACGCTGCCCTTGCCAGAAAGGCAGTCATGGGTCCGAGGATCCCACGTTGGTAAATCCTTAACTAGTGGTCCTGGCAAAAAATGCAAATCTATTTCTGGAATATATGGCGACCCCAATCAGGGTGAATTGTAATTTTCAAAGCTGAAGAGGTCTCGTGTAATTGTTTTGCCATTGAGTGTGCTATGGTCTGAACGTTTGTGTCTCCAAAAAGTTTGCATGTTGAAACCTAATTCCCAATATGATGGTGTTTATGAGGTTGGGCATTCAGGACTTGATTAGGTCTTGATGGTGGAGGCCTCATGAATGGGATTCGTGTCCTTACAACAGAGGCCTCAGAGAGCTGGCTTGCCTCTCTAACATGTGAGGGGATGGCTAGAAGGCGCCATCTATGAATAGAAATCAAGAACTCACCAGGCACTGGATGTGCCAGCACCTTGGCCTTGGACTTCCCAGCCTCCAGAACTGTGAGAAATACATTTCTCTTGTTTAGAAACCACTCAGTTTATGATAGCTTGTTACAGCACCCCACATGGACTAAGCAGGCTGGTTGGTGGTTTTGAGGGGTGGTGGCTGACAGGGGCTCAGCACGGTCTGTGATGCTGACAGATCGGACATTCTGCAGTGATAGTCCTGGCTCAGCTTTGGTGGGAGGAAGTCCATGCTGTTGGGACATCCATAGCCTCCTTCTCTGCCACCATGGCCACTCTTCACAGGCCCCTTGTGCAAGCCTTGGGCTGCCTGAGGGGGAGGCATTGGTAGACATTGACCCGATGAGTCCTCTTGCCTGCCTGGTTGGTGGTTTCATGTTTCTTCTCTGGTGGGCATTGATGTGCAATATCACGACCTTTTACGTGGTGCTCACTCCCAGGGGTCCGTCCACATGTGGCCACCTTGTCAAAAATGTCCAGCCTTATTCCTTAGACCCTGACTAAGCAGCCAAGCTATTTGCTATTGCCCATAAATATAGCTAATCTTGGGCCATTCCTCACTCCATTCAAAGTGACTGACCAGGCGCTCTGCCTGAGGCTCTGCCCATGGGAGGATTCTATTTCTCCACTGTCTTTCAGGGCCCCCCCGAAAGGAGGCTCCACTTCTTCCCTATCAGAGTCCTGACTGGCATGGGAGAGTGCTGAGGCCGTGTATCTGGCCATCGCTGAAGTCCTGCTTCTCTTCACATGACCTGGGCCAGGTCTCCTCCTCCAGCTGTAGGAGTTCACATGCAGCCATGTGCCTTCAGTGGGTTGTCAATCAACCTGAGCCTATGCTGTTCTCTCACCTCCCTCCTGGCTTCAATCATCAGAAATATTGCCCCATTCAGGGCATGCCCTTCCACTTGGCTTCCAGCTTGGCAGAGCTGCAGCCAGGGGAGCGTGCTGGAGTCTCGGCCCTCCACTCACTGCTGGGACTCAGGCCTTCCTGCCCTCTGCCTGGCGAGTCACCTGTCTCTAGAATCCCAGCCTCAGAGTCAGCCTCACAGGCCACTTCCTTACCAAGGTTCTTGGGTCTGTCTGGTGCCCTAGAAGCAGAACCAGAGATAAACATCCCAGTGCAAGTAACTCCCTAGAGAAGCAGGACAGATGGTAGAAGAGACTGAGGAAGGTGCGATTCCCAGCCTTGCTTGATCCCCTGGGGAGCTCCGGAGTCAGTGACTGCTCAGCGCTTGTCCCACCTCAGGGTAAGAAGGCTTCCATGTTCCTCCTCCCATTCCAGGCCTGGGGGCAAAGGAGCTGTATACTCCCAGGAAATGCCAGCGTTCTGCTGGTGAGGGTGGAGCCACTGCAGTCGTGTGAGGGGTAATTATCCAAGGAGAGTGGAGGTACAGGCCTGGAAGAAAAGCTGGCAGAGGGTGCCCACAGGATGGGGCAGGCAACACTGATGTCGGCTGCCAGGTGGTGCTGGTGCCTTCGTTTCAGAGATGTTGTCTGGTTTTCTGGGGCTGCCAGAACAAAGTACTGTGAACTGCGGGCTTGAACAGCACATGTTTATTATCTCACAGTCCTGGAGGCTGGAAACCTGAGATCAAGGTGCAGACAGGGTTGGTTCCTTCTGAGGCCTGCGGGGAGACTCTGCTCCAGGCCCCTCTCCTGGTTTCCGGTAGCTGCAGAAGTTCTTTGGCTGGTAGACAGCATTCTCCCTGCATGTGTCCACTCTGTTTTTTCTTCGTGCAACTGTCTCTGTGTGTTCAAATTTCTCCTTTTTATAAGCATGCCAGGCAGATTGCATGAGAACCCACTCTCATGACCTCAACTTCACTCAATCATCTACAAAGACCTTCTCTGCAAACAAGGCCACATTCACAGCTACTGGAGGGTTAGGACTTTGATTTGTGTGTGTGTGTGTGTGTGTGTGTGGACACAATTCAGCAGGTGCTAAAATGTAAAACATAGAGTGTCTTAAAATTGATGACATATGGCACAACCTGGACTCTCCTGAGCCGAGTAGTAGTTAGCACGTGTCTTTATTTTTATTATTGTTATTATTTTTTGAGACGGAGTCTCACTCTGTCGCCCAGGCTGGAGTGCAGTGGCACCATCTCGGCTCGCTGCAAGCTCCACCTCCCAGGTTCACACCGTTCTCCTGCCTCAGCCTCCTGAGTAGCTGGGACTACAGGTGTCCGCCACCACGTCCGGCTAATTTCTTTTTCTATTTTTAGTAGACACGGGGTTTCACTCTGTTAGCCAGGATGGTCTCAATCTCCTGACCTTGTGATCCACCTGCCTCGGCCTCCCAAAGTGCTGGGATTACAGGTATGAGCCACTGCGCCTGGCCTGCATGTGTCTTTACATAAAATTTCTGACTTGGTCTCCTAAATGCACAAAATATTCCCAAGCATAATACAACCCTGTGGTTATGTACAGGATTAAAATAGCGACAGATTCTCAATTGAAAACTTGATCCTGGCCTGGCATGGTGGCTCACACCTGTAATCCCAGCACTTTGGGAGGCCGAAGCAGGAGGATCACGAGGTCAGGAGATCGAGACCATCCTGGCTAACACGGTGAAACCCTGTCTCTACTAAAAAAAAATACATAAAATTAGCCAGGTGTGGTGGCGGGTGCCTGTAGTCCCAGCTACTCGGGAAGCTGAGGCAGGAGAATGGCGTGAACTTGGGAGGCGGAGCTTGCAGTGAGCTGAGATCGTGCCACTGCACTCCAGCCTGGGTGACAGAGGGAGACTCCATCAAAAAAAAAAAAGAAAAGAAAACTTGATCCTGAGTGGTCCTATTGCAGTGGTTGAACTGACACCTCCAGCACCTCTGAAAAGGTGTCGCTCAGTAACAGTCGGGTTGGGGGGGACCAATAATTAGAATGAGCTTCAGACAACTCAAAAGACTCCACCCTTTCCCCAGCGCCTCCTGCCAGAGGAAGCATGTGTCTGTGACTTGAAGGCATCTGGAACTCACAAGGTGAGGCTCGTTCTTCCCATGTCCTCTCTCTTGCTGCCTCCACACCTATGAGAACGATCTCATCCCAACATGCCTGGGAAGGCCTATTTCTAAGGCACATGCATAAGGTGAATGCCTTCACAGCAAAATAAATGAGGCCTGGGATAGACTCTTCCAGTATTCCTGCTGCCTGGGAAGTTGGTGAGACCCCAGCCTGGAGTCAGTCCCCGCCCCCATCCAGTTCCCCAGGAGAGGCTGACAGCTTGGAGTCGGGTGAAGCCCTGCAGTGCAGCACCAAGTCTGGGTCTGAACTCTTCACCTGTCCCCAGTCCCTGCCCCATCTTCTGTCCTCTCTGCCAATCTTTGCTGAAGCCCCTGGGTTCCCACTGAGCTTATGAATCAACCTATGATCCATGATGGAAGGGCCCAGCTGGACACAATGCCTTCTCTAAACAGATTATCAGCGGTGGGAATTGAAGGCACTATGCAAGGCTGATAAGACAGATCTTTGGGAACAAGAAGGCCTTGAAGTGCTTCTGAAATATTTTTCTTCATTCATTCATTCAGTCATCAGAACCTATACTTAGGGCCTCCTCATATCTGGGCATCGTGGCATGAGCTGTGATGCGTGGGGTGGGGGGTCCAAGCAGGTACAGTCCCTCTGAAGGAGGGAGAGAGAGAGAGAGAGAATTGCTAATCATGCAAATAAAGGATTGCAAGCTGTGGTAAAAGCCAGGGAGGCCAGTGCAGGCTGGCATGAGCACGCAGCCCTCAGGACTGGGCCCAGTGGGTTGGCAGTCAGTGAAGGATTTCCTGGAGAGCCGAGGGCCCCGTGGGAAGCACGCTTAGGGCAACAGCTCCCGGCACTGAGAAGGCTGTGAGCGGGGACCTCACGGAGCAGTGGGGAGCAGGGCCACTGGCCTCCCTCCCCTGCCTCGGAGCCTAGGGTGGTGGGGAGCGCCACTGCTGGCCCATTTGGAACTCCCAGCCTCCAAGGCCTGGCTTTCTGTGGGGGGTGGCTTTGACAAAAGCATCTTTGAGAAAGCATCAAAGAGACCACAGCAGAGAGAAAGCAACCCCGCTGCAGGGGAACAATGCCGCAAATCCTTCGCTCTGGAAACTCTAAGACGGCTTCCTGGGGTCACTAAATTCTGTGTAAAGGGTTCCAGGAATGCTTTCAAGACAGGCAGTCAGACCCAGGGAGATGAGCCCAGACCCAGTGTGGTCATTGGTGCAGGGTGAGGGTGGAGGGGGGGGCACTGGGGAGGAGGTGGAGGCACAGAGCCCAGGACAGGGCAGTGGAGGAGGAGCAGGAGGGGTGGGCTCCACATTGAGAGCCTGCACACTTCCTCCAGGAAGCCCTCCCTGCAGCTTTTCTCTTCACCGGGTAACCACCTATCTGTCATCTGCCCTAATGCAGGCATCAGGGTTGTCCTTGTCACCCAGCACTGCAGTCCCTCAGGCCTGGCCAGGCAGAGGCCCTGGGCCTCGCCCAGTGGATCAGGCACTCAACTATGCCCCTGGGAGAAGAGTGCATGCACGTCCCCTGAGCCCTCTCCTTTTCCCGGTGGGGGACAGCATCTGCTGTTGGATCTGGGATGATCCTCTCCAGGCCTGGGTTGGGGGTACCGAGAGGGAGGATAGGCATGGGATGGCGGATATGACTTACAGGTGCCTACTCTGCTCAGGAGCAGCGGCGCAGGACGACTGGGCAGACTGCATGGGAGCCCTGCCTCATCCAGGGTGGGCTTCCTGCAGAGTCTCTGGCTGGACCCCCAAGGCTAGGGCCACAGCCCCATCACTACCTGGGTCTCTGTCGTCCCATGCTGTGGAAATATAGCAATGTTTTTTTCTCGTTCTAAGTCATTCACTACGTGTGATTAACTTTTATATATTTGGACTTTCTGGCCTGGTGCGGTGACTCACGCCTGTAATCCCAGCACTTTGGGAGGCCAAGGCGGACGGATCACAAGTTCAGGAGATCGAGACCATCCTGGCTAACATGGTGAAACCCTGTCTCTACTAAAAATACAAAAAAAAAGTTAGCCGCACTTGGTGGTGGGCATCTGCAGTCCCAGCTACTTGGGACGCTGAGGCAGGAGAATGGCGTGAACCCAGGAGGTGGAGCTTGCAGTGAGCCAAGATGGCACCACTGCACTCCAGCCTGGGCGGCAGAGTGAGACACCATCTCAAAAAAAAAAAAAAAAAAAAAGACTTTCTTCCATGTAAATAAATGGACATATTTGAAGATACTATGGCAGTGGAGCTGGGTGCAGTGGCTCACGCCTGTAATCCCAGCACTTTGGAAGGCCAAGTTGGGAGGATCACCTGAGGTCAGGAGTTCAAGACCAGCCTGGCCAACATGGTGAAACTATGAAAATACAAAATTAGCCAGGCGTGGTGGCGCTTGCCTGTAATCCCAGCTATCTGGGAGAATTGCTTGAACCTGGGAGGTAGAGGTTGCAGCAAGTGGAGGTTGTGCCATTGCACTTCTGCCCGGGCAACAAGAGTGAAACTCCATCTCAAAAAAAAAAATGGCAGTGGTTCTTAATCTCAGCACATCTTGACATGATATCTTGGCTTAGACCAGTTCATTGAGTGGGTGGGCACCTGTCCTCTGTATTGTAGGATGTTTAACAACATCCCTGAACTCTACCCACCAGATGCTGGTAGCATCACTCCCCTAAGTTGTGACAGCCTAAAACATCTGCAGACATTTCCAGATCATTGCAAAATCGCCCCCAGTTGAGAGCCACTGACATACAGGGTCAGGCCCCAAGTTCTCAGATGAGACTAGGAAACGTGGTGTCTTTTGTATAAGCCAAGCGCGAGCAGGACTGAAGAACAGGTGAGATGAACTGGGAGCCTGGGGTGAGGTCATTCAGGTCACGGTCTCACGCCCATGGAGAAGCCACATTGTGCAGTTGTCCTTAGAGTTCCCACGTGTGGCTCACCAGGGCCATCAGGCGAGCTCCCGCAACGTTGAAAGCCACTGTGCAGCCCAGCACTAGCCATTGTGAAGCTGCTCCTTATGGCACCCTTCCACATCGTGGACCCCTCTGCAGCACTGGCCCCAGCACACTTCTGTGTCTCCCCACATGACAGCCAGTCCAGCCTCGGAAGGCAGCTCTCGAAAAAGCTCCCTGAGCCATTACTGCCACGCGCTTAATGCACCCAATTCCTTCCGTTCCTTCTCGGACACGTTCTAAGGCTCCAGGAGAGCTGCTCACATCAGATTGTTTCAGGAACTGAAATAGGCACTGTGACCATGAATGCTGCTGCTCTTTCTGGAACCCCACAGCTTTGTGTCTTCCTACTACCTATAGCTACAACAAATAACCACCATGATTCTCACTATATCAGTGAGGACTCTTTTTTTTTTTTCTTTTTTTGTGACGAAGTCTCACTCTGTCACCAGGCTGGAGTGCAGTGGCGTGATCTCTGCTCACTGTAACCTCTGCCTCCCGGGTTCCAGTGATTCTGCTGCCTCAGTCTCCTGAGCAGCTGGGACTACAGGTGCGCGCCACCATGCCCAGCTAATTTTTGTATTTTTTAAGTAGAGACGGGGTTTCACCATGTTGTCCAGGATGGTCTTGATCTCTTGACCTCGTGATCCGCCCACCTTGGCCTCCCAAAGTGCTGGGATTACAGGCGTGAGCCACAGCGCCCAGCCAGTGAGGACTCTTAAGGTTACAGGAGATAGGAGCTCAACTTCAACTGACTTAAGTAACGCAAATGTCTAGAGGAAGGGAGATCAGGCAGGGTTGGACCCAGAGCCACAGATGCCGTCCACCTTCAGCTCTGCTTCCCTCTGCTGTAGCCTCACTCTCCCACCAGCGCCCTAACAGGGCAGCTCCAGGCTCGAATTGTCCTTACTGCTTACAATCTCAGTGGAGAGAGCGCTGCCTTGCCAGTGCTTCCAGTGAGGTCCTGGGATGGAATCTTGAGGGTCTTGGGTCCCATACCCACCCCTCAGCTAAGCCCTGGAGTCAAGGGGATGGAATACATGGAGTGGCCAGGTCCAACTCATATGCCCACCCCAAGTGACGGAGGAGGGTTGAGTGGGGCAGAGGCCAGTTCTTCTAAACCAGGAGGCTGAGAATGAGGGAGGACAGATCTGGGGGTGCTGCTTCGTTCTCTTTTCTTGTTAATCGCTGACATGCTGCCTGCCCTACCAGCAGGAAGCCATCCCATCCTGGGTTGAAAATGCTCCTTGCCGTGGGAGTTCAGTTCCCTTCCAAACGCCCCACGGCCATAGGACAGGGCTGTCAGGTCTTGACAGTGGAAGCCCCTTGATGCCCACAGGCAGCCTTGCAGATGGGTCGTGCCTGCCCTTCTCCGGCTCCTTGTTCCCTACTATGGTGAGTCACACAGCGGGCTCTGCCCGGCTCACAGCTCTGCTCCTGGTCTGCGGCCATCCCTGGCCACTTGTCCCCAGACACATCCCTGTGGGGCTAGGATCAGAAAAGTTTCCAGCATCCCCTCTGGCTCTGCTCTCTGGAACTTTCAGGCTGGGTCCTGGGGTCCTGCCTGGATGCCCCTTCCTCTGGGGAATATGTATCACCAGCCTGTCCGCCCTTCTGTGCCTCTCAGCTCTGATCTGGGTCATCCTGGCCCCCCAGGAAGGTTTCTTGTGCTGTATCTTGGAAAGGAGCAGTTGCCGTCTTAGTCCTTCCCTCCCAGGAGGCCTGACCTCCTGTGAACACTGACTTACCTCCAACACTCTGCTGCGGATCAGACTCACACAGGGGGTATTGGAGGGCAGCTTCGTTCCTATCACTGTCTGGCCCACCAAGATACTTGTAGTGCTGACTCGTTCTATGTCCACATAACTAGACATGCTCAAGTGCCTGTCTAGACCATATTATACAATAAGAACTTTGCTCTTTCTTCTACATACCGTCTATACTATAGATGCTACCTATAGCCACACCTAACGATCTCTGTGACCTTCACTCTGTTATCTACACAAAAGAGTCTCTAGGATAAAGACGGTCGGCACTGTGGTGATTTTCCAACCCTACCTACCTTTACTAAAATGCAGTTGGTGGCTGGGCGCGGTGGCTCATGCCTGTAATCCAGCATTTTGGGAGGCCGAGGTGGGCAGATCACTTGAGGTCAGGAGTTCCAGACCAGGATGGCCAACACGGTGAAACCTTGTCTCTACTAAAAATACAAAAATTAGCTGGGCATGGTGGCGGGTGCCTGTAATCCCAGCTACTCTGGGAGGCTGAGGCAGGAGAATCGCTTGAGCCTGGGAGGCAGAGGTTGCAGTGAGCCGAGATAGTGCCACTGCAATCCAGCCTGGGAGAAAGAGCTAGACCCTGTCTAAATAAATAAATAAAATGCAGTTGGTAACTGATCTCATGAAAAGAACAAACCTCTGCTGTTGCAGCACACCAGCACCTGCACGGTGGGTCCCTCCTCACAGGCCCTCCCGGTGGGTAAGGGCTATACTTCAGGCTCCTCCACAGACAGTCTGGCCTGCTGACTGTTCTACGTGGCTCCCAAGGCCAGGGTCAGGTTTCCATTGTTTACAATTATCCATTTATTTCTACAAAGCCTGGATTTTGAGCCTTGAGATCAGCCAAATAAATCAATGGTATTTACTTTTCTGGAAGATACTAGCTTCTACGGTTGTCAAAGACATTTCCATGCTGTCTCTGTGTCTTCCAAAATAAAGCAGTGGGTCTTGGAAAAACCTATTAGAGTGTGATCTGGTTAGTGATTTTTCCACTGACTTAAATCCTGAAGGCAAGAAAATCAGACTCCCACAGGGGTGTTTAGCATTTCCTTCTTACACACCCTGGACCTTGGGGATTTTCTAGGCCAACTTCCTCACCGAAACCCAGGAGGAAACTGTACCATGGAGGCCCCAGCTGATTTACTTGAGTCCCCCCGCCTGGCTGGTGCCTTAGCTGGGACCAGAATGTAGGCCTCTTGACTCTTGGTTCAGGCCACTTTAGACTCCACAAGGATAAAATGAGCAGTCAGCAGGAGGAGCCTAAGAGCTTGATATTCCCAGGCCCAACAAGGCCTGTGCCAAGCAGTAACTTTATGAGAAGGAAGTTATTCTGCCATCCCCACAGAGAGAGGACATGTCTTTATTAATTAAGCACATTTTTACAGTCAGCCAAAGAGTGAAGGAAAAATTAGTATTCTGTCATTTGGAAGTTTTGTAAAGGAACATCTTGTTCAGCTTATAAAACAATGCATTAATCTTCTGTCCTATATAGGAAAGTCATATGTTATTTTTAAAAAATAAGTTAGGGTGTGAGGAGGTGACAAGTTTCCAACTCCACTTGGTAACACCTTGTAGGAAATCTGGCCTGGTCCAGGAGCCCCTCTAGGCTGAATGGTATCGGCATTAAGCATGCAATTCATGTATGCTGTCACTAAGTGGTGGTAGGGATCACAGCCATGTGCTCCAAACATATAGTCACAGACCTTCCTTGTTCTTCTTTTTCCCCCTAAAACAATAGACAAAAGATTTCAGAGATCTTTTACCCTCCAAAGGGTTAAAAACCAGGGTTAAGAATGATAATTACATTTTTTTTTTCAGAGATAGATAATATCATATACTTCAAAAATTAAAAATTGGCCAGGTGCGGTGGCTCATGCCTGTAATCCCAGAACTTTGGGAGGCCGAGGCAGGCAGATCACGAGGTCAGGAGATCGAGACCATCCTGGCTAACACAGTGAAACCCCGTCTCTACTAAAAAATACAAAAAATTAGCCGGGCATGGTGGCGGGCGTCTGTAGTCCCAGCTACTCTGGAGGCTGAGGCAGGAGAATGGCGTGAACCCAGGAGGCGGAGCTTGCAGTGAGCCAAGACAGAGAGCTACTGCACTCCAGCCTGGGTGACAGAGCGAGACTCTGTCTCAAAAAAAAAAAAAAAAAAAAAAAAGAAAAGGAAAAGGAAAATCACTGAAAAGTTTTCCTGTCACCCCCGCCCCAGACACTACTTTCTTTCCCAAGGGTGACAACATTTTTCAGTTTACTGTGATCCTTCCAGAAAGGCTTTATTATTGTATATGAGCATCTATAGGCTCACCCTTTTTTCCTTTTTGCTTTTTTTACTCACATGGTGGCATACTACACACATCTTCTGCCCTTTGTTCTTTCACTTAACAATTATCTTGGAGAACTTCCCATGTTAATTTATCATGCGTTTCTTCCTTCTTTTATGGCTGCATTCTATTTCAGTGTTGGGAAGTGCCCTCATGCATTGAACAGTGCCCTTTTCATGGGTATCAAGATTGTCTGCAGTCACTTACTACAGAAACATAGCACCATGAATGATTCTACTCATGCCTGTTTTGCACGTGTGATATACAAGTCAAAAAATTCCTAGAAGTAGAATTCTTAGGTCAAAGAGCTTGTGCATTTGTAATTTTGATAGACATCATCTGATTTTCCTACACAGAAGTTGTACTGATTTACACTCCCATGGGCAGTGTGGGTATCTGCCAGTTTCCTCTTGCTTTCTGGAATATATTGTATTACTGAACTCCTGGGTCTCTGATCAGTGAACACAATGACATCTCAGCATAGTTTTAATTTGCATTTCTTTTTCTTTTTTTGAGATGGAGTCTCACTCTGTTGCCCAGGCTCAAGTGCAGTGGTGCGATCTCAGCTCACTGCAACCTTTGCCTCCCAGGTTCAAGCGATTCTCCTGCCTCAGCCTCCCAAGTAGCTGGGATTACCGGTGCTCACCACCATGCCCAACTAATTTTTGTATTTCTAGTAGAGACGGGGTTTCACCGTGTTGGCCAGGCTTGTCTCAAACTCCTGACCTCAAGTGATCCACCTGCCTCGGCCTCCCAAAGTGTTGGGATTACAGGTGTGAGCCACCATGCCTGGCTTAATTTGCATTTCTTATTATGAATAAGGGAGGACAGCTTTTCAGATGTTTAAAAGTCATTTGTATTTCCTTCCCTGTGAATTGTCTGCTTCTTACCCTTTACCTGTTTCTTTGTCTTTTCTGTTAAGAGACAGTCTCATACTGCTGCCCAGGCTTAGTGCATTGGGATGATCATAGTTCACTGCAGCCTGGAACTCCTGGGCTTAAGTGATCCTCCTGTCTCAGCCTCCTGAGTAGCTGGGATTACAGGTGTGAGCCAAGGTGGGGGCCTGGTGATGATCCGTGATGCCTTCTTTTGATTTTTTTTTTCTTATCAATTTCTAGATGCTATCTATGTGTTAGGGAAATTAGCTGCTTGTGATATGAATTGCAAATAATTTTTTCCCCTTTGTTGTAGACTTTGCTTATGGTAGTGATTGCCATGCCAGAGTTTCTTTGAAGTCAAACTTAGCTGTTTTTTTGTTACCACTTTTTGATTTTGTTGCATACTTAGAAAGGCCTTTCCCATTCCAAGATACTTTTTTTTTTTAAATTTAAAATTTTAAGTTCCCAGATACAAGTACAGAACGTGTAGGTTTGTTACATGGGTATATGTGTGCCATGGTGGTCTGCTGCACCTATCAACCTGTCATCTAGGTTTTAAGCCTCACATGCACTAACTATTTGTCCTAATGATTCTTCAAAAATTCTCTGAATACTGGCAGTTGGCTCAAGCTCACCAGATTTAGGAGTCCTGAGTGAGGCTGGGGGCAGGCCTGTACCTTTATTTTTAAATTTATTTAATTTATTTCATTTTTTAAAATGATAGGGTCTTGTTCTGTCACCAAGGCTGGAGTGCAGTGGCACGATCACAACTCACTGCAGTCTTGAACTCCTGGGCTCAAGCGAGCCTCCTGCTTCAGCTTCCCAAAGTATTGGGATTATAGGTGGGAGCCACTGTTCTTGGCCCTAGGCCTATACCTTTCATCTTGTGGACTGAGGACTTCAGCCACTATCACTCCCGGGTGCTGCGATGGGGTTTAATTTCCAGTGACTGGCCCAGAGCCTGCTCATGGGAAGATCTCAAGGGAGGCTGTTGAAGGAACAGCATGCAACTTACCGGCCCACACACGTTCACACAGATGGGGGTGGGGGTTTGAGGAGGTGGGGGGTGTTGTGTGGATCAGCTTCAGGCACAGGTGTCTGGTTTCCTATGGGATGTGACCACATAACAGTAAGGCAAGAAGATGACTGCATTTATCTTCTCAGAATCACTTCTTCTTAATTGTTGCTTCCCACTATTGGCATTGGTGAAAGGCTGGGCCACAGGAGGCTGGATGAACTTTGTGTTAGCCAGGTAAGCAGAATGTCTATGCAGGTGGAAAGTAGACAGTGAAGGTGTGCTCATCTGAGTACGGAGGGGCATAGGTCAGGAACCTCGTTGGCCTGCCCTGGCCTTTGCCCCTTTGTTTGGCCCTGTGGCTACAAAGCTCCCCTACCAGGAGCAGCCCCCACTGGCGGCTCTGGCCCTGGAAACCTGTGAATGTTTGGTGGGGGCAGGGTGTGGAGAGGCCAAGTCCACAGTGTATCTAACCCTAGTCCATCTCAGGATTCGGCTTCCCCCAGCCCCTTCTCCTTAGGGTCTCAGCTCGGGCCCTCAGGGCAGCAGGAAGATGCGCTGTCCTCACTCGCAAGTCCCCCTGCCCTTCTGTGCCTTCTGGCCTGGGCAGAACTTCCCATGCCACAGCTTCGCCTAATCCAGCCACAGGAGAAAAGAAAACGAGGGCAAATCACCACGATTTGGGGGGAGGGAGGCCCCTGGGCCCCCGCTCTGCCCAGACAAGGCATCCTGTGCATCTCCCATGGCTCATCACATCTGCCTGGGACTCAGTGAAAGGGCCAGAGGGCCAAAGGTGACACCGGAGTCTCCAGCACGACCTTCGAGGGCCTCCAGGGCATTTCTCGCGCTGTAGGGGCGGAAGACTGGCTCCCCTGGGGATGCATGTGAGTGTCTAGGAGTGTACGCTCCCCAGGGCCCCGCGGAGGTCAGGGTTCTCTCCATTTAGGACAGCAAGGAGAGAAAGCCCTGGAGTGAGGCCCTGGGGCTGGGGGCTAAAGCAGCACAGAGTATCAGAAACGGGGTGCTGGGATGGTTACCGGGGACCGCCAGGGAAGACTTGGGAGTCCAGCATGCGCCTAGGGGAGCTGCGGTGGGGAGGCAGCAGGGGGCCTCCTCTGCCGGATGGGGCCTTCGGAGGCCGCGATCCCCGAGAGTTCTTCGCTCGAGGGTTCTTCGCTCTAGGGTCCCCCATTACAGCTGCGCGGGGCCGAGCAAGCAGGGCGCGGCGGCCGGGGCAAGGTGCGGAGCCTCGCGTTCACCGGCTCTACCTGCGGAGCCTCGCGTTCACTGGCTCTACCTGCGGGACCAGACCCCTGCAGCTCCCCAGCCAGCACGGCCGGGGCACGCCCGGGAATCTGTGTGCTCCCCAGGGCCCGGGGCGTTCGGGGCGCCGCGCCTTCCAGCGCCTGGGTCCCAGCCCCGATCCCGGAGACCGGCCCGGGGGGACCCGGGGTCCCGAGTGCACCCTCCTGCCCTGCAGACTGTCCCAGCGCCGGGGCCAGGGGGCGCAGGACCTCGCGCACGCCCGGCACGGACGCATCTTTGTCTTCCCTCTCTTCACGGCGCGCGATCTAGCCGGGAATCGTTTTCCGGCCCCAGTGTGCCCGGCGGGGGTGAGGCGGAAGCGGCCGGGGCGGGGGCGCAGGCCCGGCAGCCGCAGGCCGGTGCGGGATGCGCCCCGCAGCCGCGCCGCGTGCGCCCGGCAGAGGCGGCCCTGCGTGCCGTACGCTGCGTCCGGGGCGCGCCCGCCGCTATTCGGGAAGCTATTCAGCTTCCCGGGCTCATTAGCAGTCGCGGTGTGCGGCTCGGCGCGGGCTCACAAAGAGCTCGGCCTCGCGGACTGAGCCGGCGGCAGCGGGGCGGGGACGGCGGCGTACCCGGGCAGCCCAGCGCCCTGGCCAGGTAAGCTGGGGAACCTGGGCTGCCTGACTTGCCGGCGGCGGCAGCCTGGGGCCGCCCGGGGCGCCGCGAGGACCCGGACGCGTGGGGGGCGGCGCGGAGGTTGCGGCCCGAGCGCTCCAGAGCGCTGCCCTCCCGACTCAGCGTGGCTGCGGGGCGGCCGCCGCTGGGATATGGGGGTACAGCCCGGCGGCCCCACTCCTCTCTGACCGGCCTCTTCCCCCTCCCACGACGGGTGGGCGGGCGGGGCGGGGACCAGGCGGCGGCTCTCGCATCCCGCGCGGGGGGCACCGCGGCAAGGGGCCACCCGGCGCGGACAAGAGGCGCTGTGTGGCGGGGCTGTCCGCTCGACTCCTGCCGGGCTGGCCGGGCTGCTTGGCACCGGCATCAAGTCCCCGTGCCGGGCGGCAACTACTGAGTTTGGGGTCGCCTCTGGGTTCGCTGCCCCCAGAGAACCCAAGCCCAGATCTTCGCCCCCTTCCCTTTCCCTTTATAATAAGGCCCAGAGGGGAAAACTTATCAATTCAAAACCCCACACCCCGTTGCCCCTGGGCTGCAGGTGCCCGGTTGGGGGCACGGCGCGGACCTGCCCCTCGGCCTGGCCCCTTCCCCATGGCAGGCACTGCCTGGCAAGGCTGCTGGCGGGAGATCTGGCTGCAGATGGTGAAGGAGAACATCGAGGCCCCGGGTCCCCAAGCAGGGCGCCATGGGCCGGGCAGCGGGCCTCGGTGTGCCCAGGCGGGGAGGGGGCGAACTTCCTTTCTCCGACGCCTGCCGAGGACCGCCGTGGAGAGCAGAGCCTTAGAGGGGCCTGCTAGTCTTAACTTCGTATTTACTGGCAGAAGGAAGGCTTAATTTTTCAGATCTATTCAGATACGACCTGGCAGGCACCAGACATAAATCTGTGGTTGAGTGCAGTCAGCTCCTAAATGGGCATGTGGAGGGTGAGGCACCCCGAACTCGGCATCTTGCGTCTGGCACTGTTTTTGGGCTAAACTGCCTCTGGCCTCTTCAACCTCCTGTGCCTCTTTCTGTTTTTGTTTTTGTTTTATTTTTCTGTTTTCCTTCCTCTTTGAGAAAGGACAGTGATTTTAGAAATAATGACCCGAGAGCTTTGCAGGTTGAAGTGGGACGAGTTTTCCTAAGGTGCAGGTTGGCAGGTGCCAGGAGCCTGCAGGCGGCTTTTTCTCAGGCCTCTGGGTCAGGGTCCCTCCAATGAGGTGAGGCAGGGGTTTCTCCTGTGTGTCGCCACTACGCAGGGGACAGGATCTGGGTTTCCCAGTCCGGGGCGTCCAGGATGCCCTGCCCTCTGTGCTGATTCCTGGGTGACCGTGGGGGCTGCTTCCCCCTGCAGCCTGGGCTGGAGAGGGTCTCCTGAGCTTAGGATCTGCCAGGCAGGAGGGCCAGGGTGACACGGACCTGGAACGCTGGGGCTCCAGGCAATGTCCAGGGCGTGAGTGGATAAAGCTGGAGCTTGCGGCTGTGTGCCGGCAGCCTTCCCTCGGTGGGCTCTAGCAGCACTGTCAGGGGGGCCCTTGGAGTGGGCTCCATGGCCGGGCTGGGACTGGGTGATGGCATTAGCAATGGGGCACTGAGTCTTCCCTCTCATTTGTTAGGAAGTGTGGTCTGTGCCCCTCCCTACTGCCGGTCTTCTGGGCTCCTGGGATGGGAGGAGCTGCAGGCTGAGTCCCACGGGGTGTGAGTGTGTGTGAGCAGGAGAGTTGGGTGGGCGCTGGAAGGAGGTGAAACTGGTGACCGTCAGCTCCTCATTCTCTTCCACCTTGCATGTTTTCTCTGACACCCTAGACTCAAGTTGTGGCCTGCTAGTTAACTTGTTTACAAAACCTTTTTAAGTAGTTCTAACCTCTTTTTTCCAACAAAATGTTAGTTTTACAGGCATAATTGGTGGGGATGGATTGTGAAATGGAGGTGCATAAATACCTAGTTTGCCAACTGAGCTAAGAAATACTGGATAAAAATAAGAGATAATTGTAAAAGACACTGATCACACCCCTGGAAGCTGAGAGGGGTGATAAGACACCTTGATTTTTCCTAGACGAAACTGAGGAAGTCAGAGGAAAAACAGTTGATGGTGAGGTTGGCATCAGGCTGGGCTTTGTTTGGATTGGGCGGCGGTGGCTGTGGTGAGGGCTGTTGGAGTGGGGAGAGTGGGGGTTGAGCCTGGCTTCAGAGACCCCCTCGAGGCCTCAGCTCCTCTCCGGCGCTCCTGGCTGTCCTCTGCCACGCATACCTGCCCCGGTGACTCAACAGGTGTGGGCCTCAGGTGACACCATGGTCTGAAGTCGTGGAGAAACCTTTACTGTCCAGGGGAGGAGAGGACTGGCGGTCGGTGGGGATCGAGACCCAGCACACATCACTGGGTGGCTCGAATGTCTTCGGCAGAGATCACATGCCCTGCCTTGCAGCCTGGTCCTTAGAGAATGGGGAGAGTGGAGAGAGCTCTGGGCCTGGGTGGCGGGCGGTCCTGGCTGTATCACTCACAGGCTGCGTGCCCTCCCCATGCAGTCTCAGTTCCTCACCCTTGCCAGGTGGCTGTGAGGACTGGGAACGTGGAGGCACAGGTAGGATGTAAGGTAGCCACTGACCACCAGGCAGGCCTCCCCGATGTAGGTCAAGTTTGAGACGGTTGCTCACCAGGAGGCAGCCTGTGTGCCCGGTGGGGGCTGGGGGTGAAGTTTGAGAGGGTTGCTCACCAGAAGGCAGCCTGTGTGCCCAGCGGGGGCTGGGGGTGCTCTTTGTTCCCTTGGGTGGTGGTTGGCCCGAGTGCCCACAGGGAGGCTTCTCTGGCTCCTTCGTTTCCCAGAGTTCCTCCCCAACCCCCTGCCGCCCACCGCCTGGGTTGGGTCCAGCTCGTGTCTCAGAGCAGCCTGCTGGCACAGGCTGAGTCAGCTGTCGTGGGCACCGTCTTTTCTCGCCTCCCCTGAAGCCAATCTTCCCCTCTCTCCCTGTCCAGACACACAAGGGAGCCCCGGGAGGTAGGTGACCTCAAGATCATGCAGCCAGGCTCACTCTGTGGAACCCTACGTACTGGTGGGGTGCCACTGCTGTGTGCATTGTGATTTCTGTGCTGGCTGTGAGGTTTCCCAGGTTGGGGGCTGTGGGGTACTCCTGACTCTGCAAGTTGGCCCAGGCCAGGTGTGTCACCATTGCCCAGGCCTTCAGTGGCTTTCCAGTGCTCCCTCCACATCCACGTTACTCGGCTGGATTTTCTCAAGTTCCCCCACTTGCTCCCAAGAATGGCCCCTCCAGGCTGCCCTGGCTCCAGGCAGACAGGCTTACTGCCCAGATCTGCCCTGGGTTGTCCGCACCCCATCCCCACCTGTCATCTTGGCGCATGTCCATCCTGGAGATCCCAACTGAATGTGGGCTCTTTCCCTCTTATTCCTTGGTCCTCAGATTTGCCAGGCCACTCTTGCCTCAGGGCCTTTGCACCTGCTGTTCCCACCCCCTTGGCATGAGCCACCCCCAGATGCTCACATGGCTGGCCCCTCACTTATTGCCCACTCCCTGAAAGCCCTACATAAATTGGCTTTGTTAACCTTGCTTTGTGTTTCTCTTGTTAACCTTGCTTTGTGTTTCTCCTTAGTACTCACCATTCAGTGTGTTATTTATTTACTTGTTTGTTTATTGTCAGTCTCTTACCACTCAATTGTAAAAGACTTTGCTCACCTCTGGATCCCCAGTAGCTAGAAAAGTGCCTGGCACACAGCAGAGCCTTAGCGCTGTTGTTGGATGAGTGAGTGAACGAAACACGGGAGCAGTAGTCTCCTTGCAGCACATGTCCTGCTCCCTGTGCCTCCTTTTCCCGCGTCCCAGAGCTGGAACCTAGCTGTGTTCACATTTGGATCCTCCTGGCATGTAGCACAGACCCTCACTCAGTGGGCAGTCAGGAAAGAGCTGTAGAATTGTACAGTGCAACGTCAGTTTCACATAGGCCAGAGGAGAATGTGTTTGGGAAGGTAACCAGCCCAAAGAGTGAGCTTTCTGATTCTGCACTAAGATTCCTTTTTGGATTTTCAGTTGTTTGGGTTCTCTGCACCCAGGCGGTCCCTGCTGCCAAAGTCAGCTCTGTGTCTCCCTGCAGTCACCTCGGATGTGGATGCACTTTGGAAGGAGGCACCCCCACGCCCAGATTCCCTTCCCACTCCATCTGGATCTTTCCAAACTTGTCTTGTATGTAATGTCGGACTCTGTCCCAGGGCTCCCAGCCACTCTGCTTTACCTTCCAGAAGCCTCCGCCTGCCTGACTGTCTCTTGCCTGTGTCCTGGCCTAGTTGGAGGAGATGCTTTAGTTTTATGAGAAAGGGACTGGGAGGTTGGAAAAGAGGATGGGATTTGGAGTAACAGGAGCTCAGTTCCAGCCTGGCCCTGCCACTAATCCCTGGGGCTCAGGGCCAGTCACCTGGCTTGAGAGTCTTTCTCAGCATCTGCAATACACGCACGAGGCCTCTTGCCTGCGGTTGTTTTGAGGCACAAATGAGATGCAATATTTAACTGATGCAAGATATTTTATGACAGCAAGTCATTTGGTGTGGCCACGTAGCCTTGGGCCTGTGTGGCTTCTCTTACTGTCCTGAGAGTTTTAAGGGTCAGGTTTGTGAGTTACAGCTACGGCCTAGTGAGAGAATGCAGAGGAGGCACGTCATAAACTCTAAGGGGCTGTTTTAATATAAGGTGCTATGTCTGTTGTTTTGTGTTTCAAGGATCAAAGTTAAGAGAAAAAAAATATGTGGTTGAACTTCCTGCATTGAGTGACTGAAAATATTTTCATCTCTAGTTTTCTGGAAACGGAAACACTCCAACATTTGAAGATGGTTTTGATGGCGAAACCACTGGAATGAAATGCACATCATTGGGCAATTCTGTGTGTTGAGTTCCATCCCTCTTTGTTTGTCATTTGAAATAATTTCCCGACAAATCTGGAAGGCGCGTCTTGTCTTAACTTTGCAACAAGGAGGCTGGGGACAGGTAGCTGAGCTGTGGGTTGCCTAAGAACACTCTGCTGTGACGGGGCAGTGCTGGCCTTTGAGCCTGAGCTGGAGAGAGTGTGAGGCCCATGTTTTCTCCCTGTCTCCTGCTGGGGCCCATTTTGTATCAGATTTGTTTTTCACGGGGTGGGCATGACTAGGACTCGTGACCACTGGTGGGCAAGTACAGAGGCTAATTTTCAACACGTGCTGAGAGACTGATGGCTGGCATCAGAGAGTCATGGAAATGCCACAGATGACATGGGCCCTTCACAGGGATGGGGAGAGGGTCTGGGAGCTTGCCCTCCAGGAAGGTGGCTGACATGGTTGGTGGGACATGAAGGTGTTTTCCGTTTTGCACTTGAAGCCAGCATGGATTCTTAGCACTTGTTGTCCCTAGAATCAACTGCGCAGAGAGATGCTTGGTTCTGAAACTCTCAGGCAAGGACAGTTCTGAGGAAACTCTCATTAGTAAATAGTGAGTCGGAGAACACTATTGACATTTGGCATTTTCAGTTGAGATATATGTGTACAGTCATGCGTCACATGACAGTGTTTTGGGGAATGATAGCATATATGACAGAGGTCCCATAAGATTATTATGGAGCTGAAAAATTCCTATTGCTTAGTGACATTGTCGTAAAGTTGTAGTGCAGTTACTTTATTTTTTAAAAAAATTTAATGTAGCCTAAGTGTACAATATTTATGAAGTCTACGCTAGTGTACAGATGGACTCACCCAGAGAAATTTCCAGTCTTGCAAGCTCCATTCATGGTTAGTGTCCTAGATGGGGTACTGTGTTATATATATTATATATATATGTTTTTTGAGACGGAGTCTCGCCCTGTCACCCAGGCTGGAGTGCAGTGGCTCAATCTCAGCTCACGGCAAGCTCTGCCTCACGGGTTCATGCCATTCTCCTGCCTCAGCCTACCGAGTAGCTGGGACTACAGGCACCTGCCACCACGCCCGGTTAATTTTTTTGGATTTTTAGTAGAGACGGGGTTTCACCGTGTTAGCCAAGATGGTCTCGACCTCCTGACCTCATGATCCGCCCACCTTGGCCTCCCAAAGTGCTGGGATTACAGGCGTGAGCCACCACGCCTGGCCCATGTTTTATCTTTTATACCATATTTTTACTGTGCCTTTTCTATGTTTAGATAGATACTTGTGTTACAGTTGCCCACAGTATTCAGCGTGGTAACATGCTGCCCAGGTGTGTAGCCTGGGAGCAATGGCCTGTAACCTATAGCCAAGGTGTGGAGTAGGTTTGTATAAAGTATGCTCTATGATGTTTGCACAATGATGAAATTGCCTAATGACAAATTTCTCAGAACACATCCCTGCCATTAAGCGATGCATAACTGTGTGTATATGTGTGTGTGTGTGTGTGTATGTGTACGTATATATGTGTGTATGTATGTGTATATATATATAAAATTTTTTTTATTTGGTTGGTTTTACATTCCTGGAATTGACTCTCCAGCAGGGCAGCTGTAAATATGAATTCCTCCGAACTGTTGTATGCATTGTTAATTTAGTAAAGTACAGTTTATGGTTTCCCACCGTTGGTTTAATTGTCAACTGTCTTGGAAAAATCCATTGTTGCAAAAACAGGAAAACCACTAATTGAGTGAATGCGTGCATTTAGGGATGATGGATTTCTCAGGTCTCTCTGGAAGCAAGTGTGTGCCTTGTGCAAATAAAACATAGTTTCTGTTTCTCAGTCTTTTGCTGTAATAAGTGAGCCATGTGCTCTAGCATCTGTCTGGATTATCCGGAGCTGGTGGCAGCTGTCACGGGTGTGGTGCAGTGGGGCCAGGCATGTGTTAGGAACTGGAAGCTCTGGGAAGCCAGGCTTTGCCTCCACGTGTGAGCCAGCTGTAGAGCGTCACTGCTCAGAGTTTGTCTTGACTCATCCCGAGAAGGGCACGTGGAGATCTGTGTCCCATTCCTCACCAGCCACTGAGTTACTATGGATGGAGGAGATGAGATGTGTGCAACTGTTCTGCTACAGTAAAGCACTCAGTCAGTGCAGTCACCAGGTTTAGGGTGTGTGTGTGTTTTACCAACTTGCCTGCTGGGTTTCAGACACCTGGCACTACCTCCAGCCTCTTACTGATTCTGGCTAGTACTTGTGAAAGCCGTCAGCTGGGTGATGAATGGACCGATTTTGGCCGCAGGTCCCTGCACTTCCCATCTGGCCTGACTGCTAGATTCTGAGCCCCTGAGGCAGGACTGAGTGGGTCACATTAATGGCTGATTGTCTCGGGAATGGCATTGGGTGAAGTCGAGGTTTTCCTGACCCACAGCTCCTAGTAGAAGTGCCTTTCTTTTGTGCATGTATTGTGAAGATTCTGCCTGTGAACTTTCTCTACCCTTTGAGTCCTAAGGTTCAGGTACCTGGAGAGGAGCGTGTCATCGTTTTGCAGGTTGGATGTGCGGTTGTTGGGGAAGACATCTTTGTGCTGTGTTGGGTTGGAAGCTTTGAGAGCAGAAGCCCCTCCAGACCAAGAACTCCTGATTATGTCTCTCCCTTGGGCTTTCGCAGTTTTCAGCTTCTAAATTAATTGCATTTTATTAAGTAATGGTTTTCTTCTTGATCACAGGCGTGCCTGTGCTTAATCAGCACTGACGACTGGTGCTGCTTCAGTTGATTTGATACACCTAGAGGCAGCCTCATCTCCAACTTGCCTTGACTTCGTCTGGGGAGCTGCCGTGGGGGACCCCTGGACTGGCAGCATTCCCACCCCTCACTTTGGCAACCCTGGTCTAACTCCGTACGTGTTACTCCTTTTATCCGTCACATAGGGTGGCTTAATCTAATAGTGGAAACAAAGGGGTGCGGGACACTAACATGGTAGGTCTCACCTTGCCTGTCATTCACCTCTCAGTCCTTTGACACTCAGGGACTCTGCAGTGGTAGAACCGGGGGCAGGTACCCTTCACTTTTCTTACCCCCGAGTCCCTTTGCCTGGAGCTCTGTCCATCCATCCACCCATCTACTCAGTAGGTATTTTCTGAGCAGCTACTGTATTCCAGCTTTCTTGTTCCCAGTTTAGAGCTGGGTGGGATCAGGAGGGAGGGCATGGAGGGGGCTGCTGGAGAATGTGCAATGGCATCAGAGCCCCATTCTGGCTCTGGGTCCAAGGCCCTCCTAGAGAGGCACAGTCTGGCAGATGTGAGAGCCCCATGGTAGGTTGGGGTGGATCATGGACCCCATCCTATAAGAGTGGGTGGGTTTACCCCTTCAGAGCCCAGGCCAGAAGAGCCCTCCAGGCAAAGGGCCAGCCTGGAATGGGGCACCCTGGGCACAGGGGGGACTATGTGGTTTGTGTAGGTTAGAGCTGGAGATGGGGGTTGGAGGGCAGTTGCTGACGATTAGGAGCTTGGTGGCCCTAGAGAGTCCTTGCTGTGGGTTGGGAGCGAAGCAGATGGGCCAATAACAACGCATAGTTTACCAAGCGAACTCTAGGAGAGTGATTTCTGCAGCTGGCTTCCCTAGCAGACAGGTCAGAGCGTGGGAGAAGGACGCCGTTAGGGGCATGTTCAGGGGTGCATCTAGAGGCGAGGGGAGGGTGCGGGGAGGTGCTGGTGGAAGATGCACTGCATGGGGTGGGGAGGGGCTCAGTAAGAACGCAGGAGGGTGGCGGGGGCAGGTGTCTGGCCAAGGCAGCTCCTGCGTCATTGGGGGGCTCCAGAGCCCGCTCCCTATGTTCTGTAGGAGGCGGCTGCTGCTGCCAAGTCCCAGCCTTGCTAGTGAGGACGTTTAATTTTACCCTTTAGAGATTTACAGGATTTCTAGATTAACTTGCCCCTGTTTTTCTAAAAGAACGACAAAATCCATGACAAACCGTTCATCACATTATTAACTGGCTCACCCAGCCTTAACCTGTGCAGCTCCGCCAACTTACCCTCGGCACACAGGGAGGCCTGGGTCCCCAGGCAGCTCCAGTGTGCAGGGGTGTGGGTGACAGCGCAGGTGTGGCCTCCCTGCTGCTGGCCTCCGGTGGCTGGCCTCAGCCTGGCTGGGCACGCAGGCTGTCCTTACGGGGCTCCCAGTAGCTTTCTGGTCCTGCGTCAGGAGAGGGGACTGCACAGGGCTTGGGAAAGAGAGCGGGAGCAGCAGTGCCGCAGGATGATGGGCTCCAGAGGCCTCTGCAGCAGGGGTACTCTGGGGAGACATTCGGGTGCCTCCTGTCCATGGCCTCGATGTGCCAGGGCGCCTGCAGCTTGGGCCCTCTTCCCCTTTCAGGCGGAGGGAGCTGTTCATCCTCTGGGGGCTGCTGGGCCAGAAATATCTCTTACCTGATAATGTCAGGCATCAGAGGTTCCTGTTTCGTGGGTAAGTTGCTGTATGTTTTGGGGCTGCAGTCAGTCTGTTTTTCTCACTGGCATGGCATGGGGGTGGGGGGCAGTATTCCCTCCCATGAGGCCCATGTCCACCTCATTATCTCTGTCTGCTGGGACTGCGCTGGATGCTGGCTGAGGCTGCCTTTGTTACTTTCATGCGCCATAACTGGAAAGGCCTGCTGCTTGTTAGGCTCCTTAGAATTCTGATTTGAAGGCTGGGCACGGTGGTTCATGCGGTAATCCCAGCACTTTGGGAAGCCGAGGAGGGAGGCTCGCTTAAGCCCAGGAGTTTGAGACCAGCCTGGGTAATGTAAGGAGACCCCATCTCTACAAAAAAATAGAAAAGTTAGTCGGATGTGGTGGCTCACGTGTGTGGTCCTAGCTACTCGGGAGGCTGAGGTGGGAGGATCCCTTAAGCCCAGGAAGTTGAGGCTGCAGTGAGCTGTGACTGCGTCACTCTACTCCAACCTGGGTGACAGTGAGAACCTGTCTCAAAAAAAATATCTGATTTGAAGGAGAGGGAGCTCTATTTGATGCGGGGGTTGGGGGTGGAGAGCACCTCTGTGAGTAGACCTTTCTGTCATCTTGATGGTTTTAATCAGATATCTAATATTATATTAGTAGTTCACGTCAACTGATGTCCCAAACCCACTTTCTTCTCTTCTCTTCTCTTCTCTTTTGAGACAGAGTCTCATTCTGTCGCCCAGACTGGAGTGCAGTGGCACGATCTCAGCTCACTGCAAGCTCCGCCTCCCGGGTTCACGCCATTCTCCTGCCTCAGCCTCCCCAGCAGCTGGGACTACAGGCGCCCGCCACCACCCCCGGCTAATTTTTTGTATTTTTAGTAGAGACAGGGTTTCACCGTGTTAGCCAGGATGGTCTTGATCTGCTGACCTCATGATTCGCCCACATCGGCCTCCCAAAGTGCTGGGATTACAGGCATGAGCCACCGCGCCTGGCCTCTTTCTTTATTGTGATGTAGAGAAACCAAACTCTGGTGTATTTAATCCATTGTGTTTCACAGCAGGGATCACTGCCTGGCTCGCCTGTCATGGTGTGGGGGCAGTGCCTGATTCTGGAGATGGGCTATCATTGTGCTGACTGGGTCAGCAGTGGCTGCTCCCAAAAAGTCCCATAAAACCCACCCATATTTGTAGAAATCCAAATAGAGTTTACTTCCCAGTGGTCACCCTTTTAAATACAATTAGATTTAGTTTCAAGGAAGTAACTGGAGTTATAATACATTAATTTGGGACTGATTTTTGTCCCACCCATCCAGTCCCTGACAGTGGTCCCCAAACTCTCAATCATGTTCCTTATTGGAACCTTCCAGGCTGGCATAGGCTTAGGGTCCATTACGGGTGTTCAAGGTCCAGAATTCATGTCACCTGATTGCTTGGACACAACTGGACCTCACATCTCCGGCCCTGACACCAGAAACTAGGCCTCCATCTGCCAGTGTCTTAGTGGAATCTATTTTAGCAAATGACTCATCTTAAAATAATGCACTATGTAATCAACAAGAAAATGAGAGAACACCCAGTAGGAAAATGGCAAAAGACACGACACACACACACACACACACACACACACACGTCCACTAAAGAGATGAAAAAGTACTCCACTCCATTAGTCATCAGGGAGATGCAAAATGAATTGTAAATGGGACACCATTCCACACCCACCAGAATGGCTAACATCAAAAGAGCAGAAAAAGCTGGGTGCAGTGGCTCAATGCTTGTAATCCCAGCACTTTGTGAAGCTGAGGCGGGTGGATCACCTGAGGCCAGGAGTTTGAGACCAACATGACCAACATGGTGAAACCCTTTCTCTACTGAAAATACAAAACAATTAGGTGGGCATGGTGGCGGGCGCCTGTAACCCCAGCTACTCGGGAGGTTGAGGTGGGAGAATCACCTGAACCCGGGAGGTGGAGGTTGCAGTGAGCCGAGATTGCACCACTGCACTCCAGCCTGGGCAACAGAGCGAGATTCCGTCTCAAAAAAAAAAAAAAAAAAAAAAAGAGAAAAAGAGCAGAAAATAGCAGGTGTCGGTGAGGATGTGGAACAAATGGACCTCTGATTGTTGGTCAGAGTAGACATTCGTACAACTGCTTTGGGAAGCTTTTTTGTAGAATTAACTAAAGCCAAGCTTACATATACTCTATGACCAGCAGTCTCAATCCAAATGAAATGGAGTGAAATGGGCATATGGGCATTAGTGACCTTCAAATGACATCAGGTTCTAATCCCTGAAACCTGTGAATGTTACTTTATGTGGTAGTGGTTTTGCAGATGTGTTTAAGGATTTTGTAATGAAGAGATTGTCTTGAATTATCTGGGTGGGCCCTAAATGCCATCCTCAAGGATCGTATAAGAGAGAGGCAGAGAGAGATGTGACCAAGGAGGCGGAAATTGGAGTGATGCGGCCACAGCTCAGGGAGCACCGGCAGCTGGGAGAAACTGGACAGGGCCAGGTAAAGGATTCTCCCCTGGTGCCTCTGGAGGGAATGTGGCCCTGCCAACAGCTTGATTTCAGCCCAGTGAAACTGCATGTAGACTTCTAGCCTCCAGAACTGCGAGAGAAGAAATGTGTTTTCAGCCACCCAGTTTTGTGGTCATTTGTCACAGCAACCGTTGGAAATGGATACAGCCATCAAGAGACACACACAAGTGTCCATAGCAGCGTGATGGTAACTGCCAAAGTGCAAATAAACCAGATGGCCATCAGCAGCAGAATAGATCAGTACCCCGAGGGTCTTCTCACAGGGCACACTGTACGGCAGGCCGAGAATGAGCACTCTGCAAATGTGGCAGCTGTGTGGATGGGGCTTGCCACGTAACGTTGAGCAAAAAACCCCAGATGCTAGAGTGTGTAATGCATGATTCTGTGTCTAGGAAGGGCAACAGACAACTGTCATGTGTGGAAATCAGGTTGCCTTCGGGAGATGGTACTGATAGGAGGCCCAGGGGGAGGGAAGCACAGCTTTTGGAGGTGCTGATGATGTCCCCTTTCCCCATCTTGGTTTGCATGGGAAGGTTCCATTTATGCTATGGAACTTTTCTGTATATATATATTTCAAGAAAAAGTATAAAAACAGAGCAGTTCATGATCTTGGAGTTTTCAAGGTGAAATTTGAATGGAATGAGTCATGGCTTCTTCTACTGCTAGAACAATACTATCAAAATTGAGATTATACTTAATGTGAGATAATTAGATTTTGCCATTACAACAAATGCTACTAAATATTCAGATGCACACTATATTTTCTAAGTGAGATCAGGGTATGTAAACCCGAGTAGGACGCTAAGATGTATATAGATTTAATTGGTGTGGATAAGTTATCTGCAGGAAATGTATTTTTATTTCTGCATATAAAAGAAGCTGTGCTTTTAAAGAAAACTAGACACAAGTAACCAAATGTTTAAGTATCAAACGTTATGTGGTTGCAGTTGAGAGGGAAACCAAAGAGCTTTAAGAAGAGCAGTCGGGGGGAGATGTGGCGCATGGAGAACTCATCGGGGGCAGCCCCATGTCCTCGCAGCCCAGAAGTCCTGGGTGGAGGTTCTATGGCACCACCTGGCTACCTGCCTCCCCAGGCAAGGGCCCAACCCCTCAGGTCCCCAGAGGCGCCCCATCTCCTTTGCCTACGTCTCTCCCCACCTGCCTTCCCTGCCTCATCTACCTGTGAACTTCTCATTCCTCTGGACTCTACTTTGCCCCTTCCGGGTTGCCCCCAGAGCTCTTGTTCTGGCTGTGAGCCCACCAGGATAGGGCCATGTCGCTGACTTCAGAGGAGAGAGACTCTTTGTCTGACGACTGTTGACCTCGTAACCACTCAGCTTCATGGGCCACAGTGTGCTTGAGTGAGCACAGCCATGGCGTGGGTTCACCTGAGGCTTCGTGGAAGCCGTGTTGCGTTGCAGCCGGTTGGAGGCTTCCGTATGCTCAGGGCGTCGTGTGTGCCCGGCCTTGCTCTGCACAGCTCATCTGTGCATGTGAGCTCACTTCCTCCTCAGCCTCCCACAGAGGCACTGGGAGACCTTGGACTGGACACGCGTGCAGGCCTGGTCATGGCATTCCTGCAAGCGTGCTATCTGCGGGCTGTTTCCGATTCACAGGGCAAAGGGTGTAGATATGCAGAATGAGCATGTAGGGACCTTCGTGGTCGCCTCTGTGTGTTGGATCGGATAATAAAGTGAGGAATGTCTTTAAAAAAAATTCATTTAGGTAGTAATTTAGTTTTATTTTATTTTGCAAAAGTACAGAACTGTAATATACTATGAAAAAACCAGTCTTTCCCCCAAGATGCTTTGCGACACAGTGGTGTGAAGTGTGGGAGAGTGTGTCGGGAGAGATGAGGAGGCAGGGCAGGAGTGGAGGGTCGGAGAGCAGGAGGTGAGGGACCCCTGGGGGAGAGGACCTCAATGTTGTGTCAGTTCCTTTCTAGGTGAGGAGTTGGAGCCCCAGACAGGGGGACTGGGCCGTGGTCACGGGTGGCAGAAGCAGAGCCTTTGTTTGCACCAGACCTTGACCCTGCGCCCCGTGGGTCCTCCCAACCCTTCTTCCCAGCCTCCTCCGCCTGGACTCAGGCTTCTTCGGGCTCATCAGACCTGAACAGCCTGGCAGTGTGGCTGTGTGGGAATGGGTGACAGGTGCTGTTCTCCCCAGTGCAAATCACCAATGCTGGGCACCGTGCATCAGCGTCGTGGTGACGGCAGCATTGGGTGGATCTTCAGGGAATGTCGCTTGTGCCCTCTCGGGCTCTGAGGGTCCCACATGACAGAGACCAGCATCTACTGCCCTGGCCACTCACTCAGGTCACTTTATGCTTGGTGACACATCACAGTTGCTCAAACTGAAGCCTCCCTGTGGCTTTGTCATCTTCTTTCCAGCCAAGGGGGCTGTCCCGACAGACTCTCCCCATCACCTTGGCATTTTACTACTGTGGTGTGTTTGGTGACATTTGTAAATGTGGTGATTTTTTTTGCTGTGCCCTTTGTTGCTGTGGCTGCTTCTACAAATGTTAGGATAAGCTGTCGGGGGCCGCTTCCCTGCGTTTTGAGCCCTTTAGCCTGGGCGGCGCCCCTGTGTGTCCTGTTTCCCTGTCAGGATGTCCTGTCCCATCTGCAGCCTCTTCACCCTGCAGGGACTTCTCTTGTGTCTCTGTCCTGTGGCTGACTGGCTGCCTGGCAGAGAGGCAGGCACTCACTCATTTGCTCACCCCTTCACCCAGGTCCTCCTTGTAATATGTATTGTAAATTGTATATTTACAACTTACCCTTGTCCACATGCATGCGGCCCACTGCCCTGCCCCTGGCTGGGGCTGACCCCTGGATCCCAGCACCTGGCACAGCACCTGGAACTCGGTAGCTGCTCCAGGAAAGTGGTCAAATGGTTTCAACAGCTCCACACCCCGTCCCATGTCAGAGAGACTAGAGTACCAAGCCCAGCACTGTTCCGGTGGTCATTTCCAGGGATGTGCGTGAAGCAAGCTGGTGTCATGTGATGCGGTCACTCTAGAACCTCAGAAAGATTTTGTGTCTTCAGCCATACTGCAGGCACGCTTGGCTCTGTCCGGTGCTTGGGGAGCACAGTGGCTTCATCAGCCATCACCGTGGCCTGAGGATCTGAAAGGGTGTCTGAGGGGTGGGCCTGGTGGTGCTGCCCCTACCCCCAGCCCCCACCCAGCTCTGGGGTTTGGGGTTGTCTGAGCCCCGCCCCACCCTCCCAGATCCAGTGGGAGCCAGCGTGGCACGGCAGGGCCCTGTGGCTTGGGCCAGGCTCTCTCTATGGTCTCCTGGCTGGCATTTGCACTATGGAAAGCCCCTCTTCCTATGGGCCTGTCCTTGCCTTCAGCACAGCTGGGATTTGGGGTGGGTTTTCAGTATGTGGTGCTGTGTGTGGTTCAGAAGCACAGACGCATGACTTCTCTGTGCCCTGGATGCTTTCCAGCTGCATCTCCCATGTTCTTGGTTGGGGGGTGGCGCTTTGTTTATTGCACCTGGGGGAGGGTTGAGTGGTCCTGGATGCAGCCCCTTCTCATCTCCCTGTGCCGTGGCCACACCCCTGACTGTTTTTGCCCTGGATGATTGATGTGGGAGCTGGACTGTGGCCAGAGACTCTCCCTGCCCATGTTGGCCTGTGGACTGCTGCCTGGCCACCCTGCGGGGTTAGGGACGTCTCAGGAGTGAGCATTCCAGTGTTTGCAGTGCCGAGGGCATCATGCCAGATTCTGGCACACACACAAACCAGCATCGGGAAGCCTGGACCCTGCCCTCGGGGAGCTTTTGATGTGTGTGTGTGTGTGTGTGTGTGTGTGTGTGTATGTTGGGGGTCTGGGGTGGGGGAGGGGAAGAATAAAGGGCCAGATGGGGCTCCAGCGAGGTATGGCAACAGGAGGGAAGATTCAGGCCTGAGTGAAGCAGGCATCACCGATGGGGGCTCATAAAAACCCGAAGGTAAAGGGGGGTGCATTTCCATCCTCGCTCCTCCAATGTGGGCTGCACACAGTGACCTCTGTCCACAGAGCCCAGTGCAGAAAGGGGAAGCAGAAACCCAACACACACCGCCTCAGCCTGGGGGCCACAGTTGGCGCCAACAGCAAGTCATGTGGGTGGCACATGCCCTGGGTGCTGTGGAGGGAGGAGGGCACTTTCCTTCTGTATCCGTCCTCCCCCAAATCCGTTACCACTACGTAATTATGAGGAAAACTCCAGACAAATTCCAGTTGAGGGGCATTCTACAAAATACCTTGCCAATGCTCTTCAAAATATCAAGTCCATCAAAACTAAGGACACTCTGAGATGCTGTCACAGCCAAGAGGAGGGCCCTCTTCCCCTTTCAGGTGGAGGGAGCCTGAGGAGACGCGACAGCTGAACATGATGTGCTGTCCTGCAGGAGGTCCCGGAGCAGAAAGAGGGCGCTAGGGAGAAGCTATGGAAATGCCAATGAAGTATGGACTGTAGTTAATAATGGTGGATCGAGATTCATTAATTGTGATTCATGTGCTGTGCTGATGTATGGCGATGTTAATAATCATGGAAGGTGGCTGTGGGTATATGAGAACTCTGTGGAGTCTGCTCAGTTTTTCTGTAAGTCTAGAACTGTTCTAAAAATGAAGTCTATTAATTGTTGGAAGGCAGATTGTGTCCCTCCACCATGTCCCTGGTGGTGGGACCTTGGCTCCAAACCTCACTGTTCCCCCATCGGTCTCAGGACCCTCAGCTTTGTCATCCTTTTCGGTTCCTCTTTACTGTTCCCATGAAAACTGGGGGGTAAGCTCATGTTAGTATTTAGAATATGTATGTTTTAGTGCCCCAAGTTTCTGGGTGCTTGAAAATGACCGGTTTCTCAGATGCAGCCTGCCTGGGTGCTGGGGGCCATCCCTGGGAGAGAGAGAAGCCCAGTGACTTGAGCTTGGAAGATTTTGAAAACAAAACATCAAAGCCTGGTTTGCTGACGTCCTGTGGCCCAGTTCACTTTCTGTGGTGCCGGCCAGGTTCCATGGGTCTGATGATGCCGGCAGCAGTGTCCCTGGCCTCTGGCTTTATCTTATGTTCACTAGAAAAGAAGAATATGTCCTGTGATACTTGATCCCCTGATCAGCCCCTGGGCTCACTTATAGTCAGTGACAGAGGCCATGTTTTTTTGGGGGGTGATATTGGTCACGATAGACGATAGTGACCAAAGCTGTTGTAAGTGCGGTTGACCGTCCAGTGAGGAGGCAAAAGAGAGCCAACATCTTCATGAACTGGGCTGGCACCTGAGCATTTATGGCCATGGCCTAGCTGAGTAGCTGGTCGATCCACTTTGTTCCTGCAGAAAGGGTGGCCTGCTGGGGACACAGAAAAACAGCCCTGGCCACTGAAATGGCCATTTCAGCTTCAAGTTACATAAGCGTCAGCGCCTGTATTTGTGGTGGAGGCCCAGGATGAAATGAAATATTGCCCAGGGAGGGCAGAGCTGCAGTCCTGTAAATGGGCGGGGACCCCGTGGTCTTGTGGAGTCAGCAGGGACAGCTGCGGTTTAGTGGAGAGTCAGAGGGGCCTTCCTGGGACCCCACTGCCTCCCTACAGTCCAGCTTGCGGCTGGCAATGACATCCACTTTGCAAGATGATGTGAGTCATGACAGAGCCAGGACCTGGCACAGGGGAGGTGCTGGGTGAGGGACAGGCAGTGCTCTGTGGTGGGCCAGTGGTGGGAAGGACCCTTCTGGAAGGCGGAAGACCTACACTGCCGGGGCCCTGGGCAAGTCACAGCCTCCTCACTTGTCCCTGAGGAGGGACAAGGACAAGTCAGAGGAAGTGATTCCTACGGGTCTTACCACTCATCCGGATTTTGTGACAAAATTAGGTTGAACCATATGAAACTGTTATTTCTGTATGTCAAAAAGTGATCCAATATAGGCAACTTCATATGCCTCAACTCAGCAGTTTAGCATTACAGCGATTTTTGGCAAGAGAGAACACTTTTATTTAAAAAACATTATTTTTAGTTATCACATATGAATTCATTCATTGTATTGGAAAACAGAGATAGCAGAAAGCGAAAGGAGGAAGCTTTGAGATACCAGACTCCACCCGCCGGGGGCCCTCCTGTTGTTTGCCCACGATTCCTCCCTGTTCCTGGGCACCCCGGCTCCCAGCATTCCTTCTCCTGGACGGTATATGAGGAGCACTTTCCACACTCATGGACGGTTTCTTCCACACCCAGCCATACGAGTTTGTCCTTTCTGGAGCTGGATCCCAGGGTTGGACATTAAATTTGTTTAGAATGTTTTTCTGCTATGAATGAATGCTGTAATAAATATCCTTGTAGTTGTGTTTTTTGTTTTTTATTGGCAGATATTCATGATCCCTTACTATAAATTTACAAGAGTAGAATTGCTGGGCAAAATGTTAAGGCTTTTGATTGACATCTGGAAAGGTTTTATTACCCACTGACAGTGAGAGTGAGGGGTTGCCCTCCCCTCTTCCTTCCTTTTCCCTCTTCCCTTCCACCCATTTGATGGTACACCATTGAGCAGCATCCAGCAAACAGTGTTGGTGGCTCCCCTCGTTATCTGCAGCACGCAGACTCCCTGTGTCCAGCAAACAGCGTTGCAGCACCCCTCAGTGTCTGCAGCACGCAGACTCCCTGTGACCCAGCTTCCTAGGCTGGCTGGTGGTGTTTGGAGAGGAAATCAAGAACGTGTGGGGAAGCCCGTGGAGAATTTTAGAGACTTCCCATGACACACGAGGCAGTGGGAGTGGGGCTGGAGAGAGACTGTTAGTTATTCCAGGGAGAGAGGCCTTTTCTGATTGTCCCACTCACCAGCACACTGAGGGGCTGGGCCGCTGACCTGATGGGTTGGGGACCAGAGCCCTGGCTTATGTGCAGTTGTTTCTTTTGAACATGTCTTATTTTGCTGGTGATCTGGCAAGTAGGTTGAAACCAAGCCCTCCCCCAGTTCCTCAACCGCCTGGGACTGCACAGGTGCCTGGGAGTCTGATGGCTGGCAGGCTGCCTTTTGAAGCTTGGCCTGGTGTCCCGGAGCTGTTGGTTGCCCTAGGAATCCAAGGAAAAGCTGCTGAATTCTGCGGCCCCAGGAGGATCTTTGTCCTCCTTTTGCAGAAGCAATAGGTGGATTTGCTCTGTTGAGCTGGAAGGAGGAATTTTTAGATTTCCTCTGGCTGAAGAAGTTAAAATGGAACCATCTACATCAATTCCCCGCAATTGGACTTTGAAGCAAGCTTTCGGAAGAACGGACTTGACTATTTTCTATGCGTGGAAGCAAATTCCTTGGGAACTTCTGGTGAATTTTAAAGTGCTTGTCTATTTTGTTTCATTCTCCAATACTGAGAAGTCTTTAATAACTAGAGGCTGCCTGGGTAGGTCAAGGTCTGAGGGGCAGCACTCCCCACCAGAGCTAGTCATTAAATAGATCTGCCATCTGTAGTTTTTGTTTTGCATTTTGAGATGGAGGTGTTGCTATGTTGTCTCTAGGCTGGACTTGAACTCTTGGGCTCAGGCAATCCTCCCGCCTCAGTCTCCTGAGTAGCTGGGACTACAGGTACATGCCACCGCACCTGGCTTGATATCTCTGTTTTAAAAATGCTGTCTTCTAGCAATTATCTTGTATCTCTGGAGGAGAAAGGTGCCATTTTTCTGGCAGTGGAATTTGGGGCTGAGAAGGACCCTGGCTCCATCAATGGGGGCTGGCGTCTAACATGCTAGATTTTAAGATCCTTTAAATATTTTTTCTGATTATGAAATTAAAATGTACTAATTATAAGGGCTCGAACTTTACAGAAATGCATCATGTAGAATAGAAAATGAAAGCTTCCCCCCAAGTTTCACCACTGCCCCATTCAGTGCCCACAAGGATAATCATTATTCACAATTTGGTGGAGACTCCTCCCATTTTTTTTTTCTGTCTGTGGAAATATTTTACTTGTCTTTTACACAAATACATGTTTTAAAAGTATTTTTCAACAAAATGAGATCCTATTGTAAATAAGATTTGCAGTTCGATCCCCCAGCCGTGTGTCTTAGCCATGATCCCTTGTCCGTTGTGCATAGCAGCATTATTCTTTTTTAAAAAAAATTTACTTTAAGTTCTGGAATACACCTGCAGAATGTATGATAGACTAGATAAAGAAAGTGTGGCACATATACACCATGGAATACTATGCAGCCATAAGAAAGAATGAGTTCATGTCCTTTGGAGGGACTTGGATAAAGCTGGAAGCAGCATTATTCTCTCTGACACTTGCACAATATGTGACCGTTTACTTATTGAACTTTTGGGTTGTTACCATTTTTCTCACTTATGGAAAATGCTGACATGTGGAGTCTCGTACATTAAACTCTTGTGTCTGCATGGGGTTGTTTCCGTAGCATAGGTTCCTAGAAGTGGACTTGCTGGGCTGAATGGTTTGGGCATTCAGAGTGTCAACAGATATTGCCAAGTTGCTCTCTGGACAGGTGGTGACCATTTTAAATGATGCTGGTGTGTGGGGCAGCGGTGTCCCCACTGACACTCTCTGGACATCGACACTCTCTGGACATGATCAGTCTTTGTGGTTTCATTCAGTCATGTGGGTATAAAGTGATAGCTTATTTCATTTTGTATTTGTAAAAATTGTGAATGACAACAAGCTGCTTCTTGTGTGCTTAATACTAATTTGAATTTCTCCTTCTAATTCTCTTTTTCATCCTTGCCTCTTTTCCTCTTGACTTGTGAAGGTTTTTTTTGTTGTTGATTTATAGGTGTTCTTGGTACATAGGGTTATTCCTCATTTGCTATATATATTGCAGATATTTTTTTCTCAGATGCCACTTGTCCTTTGATTTTATTTAAAGACATATTTGGCAATGCAAAAATTTGGAAGTTTTACATTGTTAAATCTATCAAGCTTGCTTTATTTACCCTGAGTTTTGTATCTTACTTAGAGAAAGGGTTTCTCTACCCTAATATATATAAGCACCCTCCTGCATGTTCTGCTAATACTTGATAGTCCAGATTTTTCTACATTTACATCTCTTATTCAATCTAAAATGTATTTTAGATGTAGTGTGAGTTGGGGATGTAGTTTTTTTATAGGAGTATTCAGTTTTCCAGCCTAATTTCCTAGTCAGCCACTTTGACCTCTCTCTTTTGGCAGATTTGTCATGGGTTAAGTTGCTGCTGTGTTCTGAGTGTTTCTCCTGTGTTTCTGGATTCTCCATTCTAATTTACTGCTTTATTCTTGTGCCGATATCTACCGTACAAGTTACTGTGGCTTTTGGTAAGACTTTGTTATCTTAAAGGGCCATTACCTCTTCATTCCTCTTCTTTTTTCATTTTCCCCCTAACCTTTCTTCTATATTCCTTTGACTAGAATCATCCTTTCAGCAGGAGCCAGGCAGAGCAGCTGTCCGTGGGCTCCCCAGTTGGCCAGAGCTGTTGGCCAGGATGTGGAAGGAATCAGGCGGGAGCCCCCAGCGGGATGGTCATTGCGGTGTCTCTGCACCTAAGTGATTTGTTTTTGCAGACATCAATGCTCAGGATTGATCAACCTCAGGATCAATGCTTGGGAAGTGTAGAGCTTGCGTCCCATCATAGATATGACTCCGAATCTGTGGGGACTCTCCCTGGGCTGACTCATAAAATGAATGGGCACCTGAGCCACTCTGTGTGATGCTGAAAACCAGGAGCGCTTGGGCGACCCTTTCAGCCATAAAGTCTGCCTTTCCCCAGGGGAGTGGCTGCTGCTGGTGTATTTTCTATTTGAACCAACTTAAAGGGGCCTGCCCAAGTTTCAGAAAGAAACTCAGGTTCTTGACATATACAGGGGGAACCCTTTCGTTTCTAAAATCTGTTTAAAAACCTTAATGTTATTTAAAAATCCACTTTACCATTGGTGAAAATATCCTCTTACGCATTTGCAGTGCACCTCTGTCCTCTGTGAAGTACCCCGTGAGTGCAGGCCTGTGCCCGTGACCTGGCTGGACCCTGGGGTTTTCCCGAGCCGTTGTCCCTGAGCTGTTTGTGGTGTAGACAGGCAGCCCTGTGGGCCTGGATAAGAGGTTTTGCATGCTCCTTACAGTTCAAAGCAGGCGTGGGCCATCTTCCCTGACTCCTGCCTTGTCCTCCAATAGTAAGTCACGCCCCTGTCACTCCCTGATGGAGCCACTCCACTGAGGTTATTGTTGTTTTTGTTTGTTTTGTTTTCTTGTTTTTTTTTTTTTGAGACAGAGTCTTGCTCTGTCGCCCAGGCTGGAGTACAGTGGCGCAATCTCGGCTCACTGCAAGCTCCGCCTCCCAGGTTCACGCCATTCTCCTGCCTCAGCCTCCCAAGTACCTGGGACTACAGGCGCCCGCCACCATGCCCAGCTAATTTTTTGTATTTTTAGTGGAGATGGGGTTTCACCATGTTAGCCAGATGGTCTCGATCTCCTGACCTCGTGATCCACCCGCCTCCGCCTGTCAAAGTGCTGGGATTACAGGCGTGAGCCACTGCACCAGGCCCACTGAGGTTATTGTTGATTTTACACTGGGGCTTTTCTTTGGGATACCTCAGGCTCCTGGTTATGCAATAGAGGAAACATTCTGAGAGAATCGGCTGGTGAGATGCCTGACACCGCTCTCCTGGCATCTGACATCAAGGATATCTTAATATTTCTAGTTTTTAAAAATTGTGATAAATAACACATAACATGACATTTACCACCTGAAATACTTTTAAGTATATGATTCTATGGCATTAAATACACTCAGTGTTGTGCAACCATCACCGTCATCCATCTCCAGAACTTTCTTCATCTTGCAATCTGAAATTCTGTGTCCATTAAACACTAACTCCTCCTTCCACCTCCCCCAGCCCCCGGCAGCCACCATTTTACTTCCTTTTTTTTTTTTTTTTGAGACACTGTCTTGCTCTGTTGCCCAGGCTGGAGTGCAGTGGTGCAATCTCGGCTCACAGCAAGCTCCGCCTGCTAGGTTCACGCCATTCTCCTACCTCAGCCTCCCAAGTAGCTGGGGCTACAGGCGCCCGCCACCATGCCTGGCTAATTTTTTTTTTGTATTTTTAGTAGAGATGGGGTTTCACCGTGTTAGCCAGGATGGTCTCAATCTCCTGACCTCGTGATCCGCCCGCCTCGGCCTCCCAAAGTGCTGGGATTACAGGCTTGAGCCACCGCGCCCAGCAACCACCATTCTACATTCTGTCTCTGTGAATTTGACGATTCCAGGTGCCGCATGTGAGTGGAATCATACAATCATTTATCTTTTTCCAACTGGCTTCTTTCACTTCGCGTGACGCCCTCAAGGCCCATCTGTGTTGTAGCATGCGTCAGAACTTCCTTCCTTCTTAGGGCTGACTACTGCCCCCATTGTATGGATAGACCATGTTTTGTTTGTGGTTCATCCCTCAGACATCGAGAATATCTCACACAGTAGAAAGAATCCAAGAAGCCAATGAGGACTTGATCTTGGTCGCCTCTGTGAGGGTTGGGTGGACAGGCCAAAGCTACCTACTCATCCTGCATCGAGCTGGATGCTGGGCACAGGTGCTGGGCACAGGTGCTGGGCACAGAGGATGCAAACTGGAGCAGGAGCCAGTTCCTGCCCCCAAAGTGCAGCAGCAACATGCCACGTTAGTGCCAGCCTATCCGGGGCTTTGTAAAGCTAAGAAAAGAGCCTGTATCCATCCTGAAGGCCGTGTGACCACAGGGCTTCTAAAGGATGCTTCTGTGTTCCCAGAGTTAGGTGGAAGCTCTTAGAAGGATCTCTTTTATCCCAGTGCTCTTGCTAAGAATGGAAAGCCCCTCTGCGTGACTGCAGTAGCTGGTGCGATCCTCTGGTCACTTGTACCAGAGCCGGGGAGGTCGTGGCTTGCAAAACTCACCTCTCATAATGGGATGCCAATAAATATTATCCGAAGTTGGTATACCCAGAAAGAGAGTTTAAACATTATTTAGAGAGGTGGAAAACAGCCACCGGTAGAATTAAAATCAGAAATAATGACAAGGATGGCCAGCGGAGTGGGGAAGTCCAGATTGGGGAATGTGATGTTTCATTATAAGCACTTTCAGCATTTGCTTACTTTGGTCTGAGTAAAAGAATTGTCTCCTTTTTTTAGGGCCATGTACAGCAAAGGACTGACCATCTGTCAGACATGCTGGTCAGTTTTCCTGGCAAAGCAGGGTTGGAGGTTTCTGTCCTCAGGTGGGTGGGCAGGGACGGCAGCTTGCCGTAAGGTATCCAACAGCACCAGGGGCAGGAAATGAAAAGTGCTCAGTGATTGGTGGGATAATGGTATCTAGCACAATGATTCCTGCCAAAATCTTAATGGTGTGCAATAAATGAAAATGCTGCCCCAGTCAGATGGGACCAGCATTTTTCAGCAACTTTCAAGGTCTTGTGTCACAGGAATGAAGATCCGAGTATTTCCCACCCATGGAGGGGGTGGTGAAGGAGTTTTCAGTCCTGGGCACCCTGGGCTGTGCCGAAAGTCTCTGCGTCACACCGCCTGGGTTAGTTGGGAAAGAGAGCTCCCACCGTTCTCTTTTAACCCTTGTCCTTTTGTACCACAGCAATTGCTTTCCTGGAGATCAGAACCATGTCTGGGCTTAACATCATCTTTGGAAATCCTAAAAGGCAATGAAGAGATTTTTCTCTTTTCATTTCTTTTTGATACAGCCGTGTCAGTTTGAAATTTTATTTTCATATCAGTTCTAATAGTGTGTCTGCTTGACATAGTTTCTGTTAAATGGGCTTGATATGAAGTTATTTAAAAATTCAAATATTTAGAGTTTCAGGGCCCATCGTCTTGATTTTTGGGGCAGTACCTCAATTTCATACGGTGTTATTCTTTTCCAGAGAGATGGGTCACTGAATAATTTACATTTTATGGTTGTTTTGTGAGAAACTATTTCTGGTTATAAATAGTAAACATCTTCTAGGTTTTGCAGTAAGAAATAATGGATTTTGTTAGAAAAAAGAACCATAAGAAGATGTGATTTTAATTTTGACTATTTTGACTTCCTGTAAGTACCTTCTGGAGCAGAAGGTTTTCTCTTCGTGGATTCTGCATCTTGGATTTGGGGACTCTGTTGCACTGAGCTGTGCTCTGTGGGGAGGAGCCTGTGGCAGAACAGTTTGGGTTCTGCTGGCCACCTTTCACTCTATTCAGTGAGGCTGGGTCCCAGAGAAAGATGACAGCGGTTAGGTCTTGTTGGGAAGAAAACTCGGCTACCAACCCTGGACCATTTTGCTTCCCCTGAACAAATAAGATAGTCATTTGCCTGCTTTTGGGGACGGAGCCTGTGGTTTGCACAGGGTGAACGAGGTGGCAGCTGGCTTGCCTGCTGGCCTGCTTCGTGGAGATAAGATGCTCAGACCCACCGCTGCTCTTCAGGGGTTGTGGAGGGAATTAATGCACTTCCTTTTGTCCCCCAATCTCATTTACATGTCTCTGGAGCTGAGCATGTGTTCTTTTTCTTTGTTCATCTCAATAGAGCTTTTAAATTAAATAGATGTTGCTTAAGCCATTCAGAAATGTTTCACATTTTAAAAAACAAAAGGTAGTTGCTGCCATGATTCCTTTGCCACCCCTACACCGTGGCCTTGTAGGACAGTCCCCCCTTGGCTGTGCTGAGCCCATCTGGAAGTGTTTCTGATTCTAATCAGAAGTGGAACAGTTTCAGTGCAGATTATAGGTTTATGTTAGCTTTAGTGATGGAGGGATGGAAATAGATGCTTCCTCGCTATTACCATTCCAAGTAAAATAATGAGGCTGCATATTTGCAGTGAGCTGCTGAAGCCAGACGTCACTAGAGTAATTTGGATTAGTGGGAAGTTGGAACATATTGTTTTAAAAGCGATTTCAAGAGCATCATCTTCGGAAATCCTATATAGCAATGAAGTGATTTTTTTTCACTTTTTCATTTTTATTTATGTTGCTGTATCTGTTTGAATTTTTAGTTTCATATCAGTTCCCTCTAATAGCATACGTGCTTGAGATATTTTGACTTCTATTAAATGGGCTTAATATGAAATTATATTAAATAATTTTTATTGCTATTTGGAAGGCCAGGAAGTGTTTCCAGTTTTCATATTTTGGGTCATGGAGATGCTACTTCCCATCCATTTTGTGACATGTAAGAGTCAGGCCATTTCAAGGAAGGGCCAGAGGAGAGACTTTGTGTTTCTGGGAATATACTATGGATTAGGACATGTGGGTTATTCAAAGATCTATCCTTTTGTGCTTTGAAATCTGAAATGTAGAAACTGTGGCCTCACTGAGGAGGAGTTTTAGAATATGCAAGGGAGATGATCAGGACTGGATCTTGTATTTGGGTACCACATCCAGTCCCAGACAGCATTGCTAAGGCAAGGAGCTCATAAAAGCCCCAAGCTCTAGCTGTTGGCTACTTATCTCCTGGAGCATCAGGGTGAGCGCGGTTCAGGCTGGGGAGTCCTGATGGCTGCCTGGTTGTTACAGGATGTTACAGCTTAGGCCTGGGGACATAGCCCAGCACCCTCCAGAGGTTGTGTCTGTTCTTTACTCTTCAGGTTCCCTGGAGGCAGGAGAGGAGCTGGCCTCATTTCTGGCAGGCACCCCACTACTGTTATTGAGCAATCCTCCAGGCTGCAGAGATGTCAGAGGAGGACCCTAATGTCTCCTGATTTTGATTATTTTGTTCTTTTTCCCTAGGTGTTTTACTTGCAGATACCTTGAGTACCTTGTTTGTATATTCACTTTGAAAGCACACATTTAAATGTTTATAAGGAAAAGGTTCTAAAGACATCCATTGATCCATTCATTCATCATTCAGCAAATACCTGTTGAATACCTGCTGTGTGCTAGGCACTGCGGTGGGCGAGCCAGAGGGCTTTGTTGCTCCAAGGAGCTTGCATTCTAGTATTCTAGTTATTTTCACGCATCTGCACTATCTGGGACAGGGACCATTGCGTTTTGTCGTATATAAAGCAGCATGTGTCTGCACTACAGTTTGTGTCCGTCGCAGATGGGCAAGGATTGAGTGCAAAAACTTCTGGGCCAAAAGGGGTTGGCTTGGGTCAGGCTGCTCAGTAGCTGAGGTGAAAGCATGTGCCACCCCTCCTGATACAGGGATCCTTGCTGATTGTGTGTGACACCAGGGCCTTCCCATCTGTCAGCTGGGTTTGTCCTCACAGTAGCTCGAGGAGCAGGCGGGGCAGCATCTGGAGGCCTGGTGCCCTTTCACACCTTGCTGCGACCACCAGGCTGCTCAGCAGTGGCCCGTGCCCACCACTGCACCTGCCGCCTTGTTCCAGCTCCGGGACCTGTCAGGCCACAGTACTACCTCCTGTCCCTTCCCCCAGGATCCTAGGGTCTCTGACTTCAATCCTCTGGGCCCAGGTTTGCAAGCCACTCCCTGGGAAGCTGTCCTGGGATCTGTGCCTGTCTACTTCCTGTAGTCCACCACCAGGAGGTAGAAAGGGACAGTCTGCTGACCTCCAGTCTTTCCACAGCAGTGTCTGAATGGATTCAGGAAATCCTTGGCGGTGCCCCAGGATGTGCTGGTGCTGGCTTAGGGGTTGGTGCCATAGCAGCACATGAGACAAGGGGAGCCCCCACTTGTGGGTCTCACCGTCTTTAGAACGTTAGCACTTATTTAAATTAAAAAAAATTCTACTAGTTGTAGCTTACAGTCACCGAGTTTCTTTCATTGTATTCGGTGACTTTGAAGCCAGTTTGGTAGATTCTATTTCATGAATAGTCCTTGCTCTGGTCTGACATCTGGGTCAGTGAGTAGCTTCGGCCCCTCCCTAGAGCCTCCTGTCCTGGGCTGCAGTGACAGGCTGCGGGCCAGTGGGGTACACTCACGCACACCCCTCTAGGAACACTGGGGCCCTGGATAATTATGCCAACTGCAGGCTATTTCTCCCTCCAAGTGGAAGTCCTTGAGGTGAAACATTGGGTTTTTAAAAAATATTTTAGTCTTCTATTGTGTCTAGTCTGAAAATGACTTATTTGCTTTTTAATTCTGCGAACATGTTTCCTAATGGAAGGGTCAGAAATGTTCTCCTTGCACTTTCCATTGGTGCTGCAGTTGAGAGAGGAGAGGGGAGTGGTCAGGCTCCCCCTGCTCATCCCAGGGGCCCTCACAGGGGCTGCTTTGCGGTGTAGACCTTGGGGAAGCAGCTCACCTCCGAGCCTGGTGTATGA